>NC_000002.12:2131212-2434242 GCF_000001405.40 Homo sapiens | reverse complement strand
CTGTCACCCAGGCTGGAATGCGGTGGCATGATCTCGGCTCACTGCAACCTCCACCTCCTGGGTTCAAGCAATTCTCCTGCCTCAGCCTCCCGAGTAGAGTAGCTGGGACTACAGGTGCACACCACCATGCGTAGCTGATTTTTGTATTTTTAGTAGAAACGGGGTTTCACCATGTTGTCCAGGCTGGTCTCGAACTCCTGACCTCAAGTGTTCTGCCCGCCTCGGCCTCCCAAAATGTTGGGATTACTGGTGTGAGCCACCACACTCAGTCCCTTTGCTTTTAGAAAGATCTTTTCACCATTTACTCTTTAGTCTCTAATACTTTTTGGTCTCTATTTCTTGAAGCACATAAAAACCTACTTTCTCCAAGCGGCATTCCAACCTTTGAATTTGATCCCTTCCCCTTCCTCTATCACATTCTTAACCTCATATGTATCTATCTGAAAAATAGGACTTTTTGACAATTGCATTCTTTCAACATACTATACAATATTAGTATCTAATAACTTGACATTTTATAGATTAAGACAATTTAACTAGTTAATGTTGATGAATTAAATTCCATAAAGCATATTAAGAGCCAATGTTGGTACCACATGCTTCCAACCGTGGACCAGCCACCAAATAAAAATAAAAATAATAATAATTTTATTTTAAAATAAAATTCTAGCAGAATAATATCTGAAACTAAGTGAGTTAGTATTGATTTCTTAATATCAACCTTTGGCTTCAAGGATGTCAATTGGGAAAAAGATAATTGGATAAACTCCTATTCAGCAACGGTGTTTGAATCAAAGTATTTAGGTGACAATTCATGATCTAATAGTGCTATCCTGCTATCCTAGATTGAGGCTTCAGAGCCTACATAAGGTTTGTTGAGAGAGATGCATGTGCACGCACACACACACACACACACACACTCACAGAATGATTAGCAGTTTTTAAAGACAGGATGATCGACCTTCTGACTTGGGAACCCTGGTAATGACAGATATGCACACAAAGGCTAGAAGGTAAAATAGAGTAGACTTTTTCATACATAAATCTGAGAGATAAGATGTTGTCTAAATCCCAACCTTCCAATCCTAGATTCTGTTCCATTAATAATTACTGGTGTTACCACTTCTGTAGTCTTCTGGGTCTGCCTTACATGCCTAAGAGGGATATGAAAAATCTTAACCTAGTACTTAGCTATGTATGCAGAGACAACCACCCTTGATTTTAATCCACATTTTCTCCAGCTCATGGTCACTACTGCATAATGTTCACTTTGGAGGCCTAGGGATGAGGAGACTCTGCTCACAGTATTTTATGTTTGATTTTAAGGCACAGGAATTGGTTAAATTAAATTAAAAGCAATGTGATTTTTATGAAAAAAAATTCTAGGAATTTTTCTTTCCTATCTGGAGATGTTTAAACTTGGAATAAAATGTTAAACTATATGTAGTCTTCTTTGTTAATACAGGAGGCATAGTGCAATCTATATCACATCTGCATATTGTTTTGTTATGGAATATTAAAATACTGATTTTTTATTATACTTTAAGTTCTAGGGTACATGTGCACAACGTGCAGGTTTGTTACATATGTATACATGTGCCATGTTGGTGTGCTGCACCCATTAACTCGTCATTTACATTAGGTATATCTCCTAATGCTATCCTTCCCCCCTCCCCACCCCATGATAGGCGATGGACTGGATTAAAATACTGATTTTTTAATATTAAGACATTACTTTGCCACTAAAGTTTGTGAATTAAAGTACATTTTTACCCTTGGATGCTGATCTTTTTGGCATATTTTGTCTGTCACTCAGGTAATTTGTTTAAGCTTTTATTTTTCTTCTTTGATTGACCTAAAAATAAAACCTTTGTCTGAGTTTCTCAGGGTTCTTCCGCTTATTAATCTTACCAGATACAAAAAGGATAAAGGTGGAGACTGGATTAGGATGGAAACATTACTTCCTTCCTCACTTACTTCAAATCTTGAAAAATTATAAAAATAATGTTGAACGCCTATGCCCGGAAGACCTGGGACTAGCAAGTTCATCCATCCTGACTACAGGGTGTTTTGTTCTGCCTCTTCAATCATAAAATGCCAGTAATGATAAAGACAAACTCCATAGACAGAGGAACAGGGAATTAGGAAGATAATCTAAGCAAAAAACAAGATCGCCAAGTATTTCATAAAAGTTAGCAATAAAAATTAGCAAGCAAAATAATGTAAACAAAGTCAACACACAGAAAAACATACCCCTGAGATCACAGGGTGGAAAATGTTCTCATAGGGACAGGAGAAGACATTGCATTCATAACACAAGAATAGGTTATAATAATTTTTACAAAACAGAGCTCTTGAAGAAATTAGAAACATGATTATCAAGATAGGACAGGCTATATATAAAATTAGAATCGATGCAGCTGGAGAACAAAATCATCAACAATTGATTAAGCTGAAGAATTATTTAAGAGCACGTTTTCAAAATCTGAACATTTATTAACACCACAGGGCAAGAAATAAGCCTCAATAAATCATAAAAGGCAGAAAATATGTAAGTAGCATTTTATTATAGTATCAAATAAAAAATTATACCACTACCATACTGCTTAATTACAGTAGCATTGTAATGTATATTGGAATCAGGAAGTGTGATGACTACAGCCCTGTTCTTCTTTCTCAAAAATGCTTTTGCTGTTTGGAATCATTTCTGGTTCCATAAGAATTTTGGTATTTTTTTTCTATTTTTGTAAAAAATGTTAGTGGGTGAATTTCAATGAAATTATATTAAATCTGTAGATTGCTTTAGGTATTACAGACATTTTCACAATATTAAGTCTTCCTATTCATGAACATGGGATGTTCTTCTATTTATTTGTGTGTATGTTAATTTAATTAATCAATGTTTGTAGTTTTCAGAATATAAGTTTTTCATCTTCTTAGGTAAGATTATTTCTGAGAATGTTATTCTTTTTAATTGTACAATAAATGGGATTGGGTTCTAAATTTAATTTTCAGCTTATTCACTGTTAGTCTTCAGAAGTACACTGCTTTTTATATGCTGATTTGAAGTTCTTTATTTGCTGTTTCCAACTGAATTAGCAGTTACGCCTCTGGAAGCTAGACATTTTCCTACTCCCAGGAGTGCAAGTTTCTTTCTCTAAAATTAAATTAATAAAAGTTTTTTTCAATATTATGCTTCTTAAGTGTAACATATCCCCAAAGTATAAAGAATTATTAGTATACTTTTGTATATTTTTAACCACACCTGAAACATTGCTGTATGGTGCTGTCCAGTGCATTTTATCTGATTAAAATTTTAGCCCAGCCAGCCTGCTCTTCCTTCTGCTGCTTCTCCTGCAGCCTTGCCCACATAACCTCCATGCTTGGTTTTCTCTGCTTCCTGTTTCACCCTAGTCCCTTCCAGCATGAACTATGCATTCATTTTCATGAGCTAGGATAAAAGTAGAGATAATGCCTCAATAAAAATATAAGCATACATTAAATACAATGCAAAACCAAAAGTGTTAAAACTCAGTAAATTCAATCAATAAAAGCAAAACCATATTTTCTTAAAATTATTAAAAATAGAGAAATATTTTACAAATCTAATTTTTAAAAAGGTTTGGAAAAATAACTAGCTAATATTAAGAATGCCATCGAAGAAATTAGAACTGTAATTATGGAACTGACACATACTTATAAAAATAAAATATATACGTTAATGACAACTTAACAATTTAGAAGAGAAAAGTGATTTTATTAGAAAAGATACATTGCCAAAACTAACTCAAGAACGAGTGGAAAATACGAGTAAATTATGCATCATGGGGAAAAATAAAATAGTAAGTGAATCATCACCATCTTCATCATCGTCACCATCATCATCTGAATCACTGTCCCAGCCTGAAAATTTCTAGGCTGAAATAATTTTTCAGAACTTCAAAGACCAGAAAATGTATACTCTATGTAAACTATTCTGGAGAATAAGAAAACCAAAAACCTTCAAAAGTAATTTAAGGAATTAAAAATCTTGATACCAAGACTAGACAGTGATAAAATGGGTAAACTACAGGACATTTCCACTTATGTACATTGGCACAAAATATGAAATAAAATATTTGCAAATAGACTACAAAAGTGTACTAATAGAATATGACATTGTAACTTTAATATTTGTTTTGATATTAAAAGAGCTTCAAATTTTAAAAATCACCTTACGTTCAATATTAGAAAATCTATTCTATCTCAGGAAATTGAGGATTAAAACAATACAATTATCTTAATGTTATAAACATTTGATACAATTCAACACCGTAATGAAAGCTCTTATGAAACTAAGGTATAAGAAAATGTCTTTAACTTGATAAAAGTTATCTACCAGAAATCGAAGTCAACATCATAAAAAGTAGTAGAATAACAGGAGCATTCTCATTAACATTAGGAAGAAAATCAGGCTTTCATTGGTTGATTCAATCTTGTAAATGTTTCCTTATCATTGCTGTATAGTATTCCATCATGGAACTATTTCACAATTCATTCATTCATTCCATTATTGGTGGGTATGTGGTTACTTTCCGGTTTAGGGCTACTAGAAATATTTCTGTTATGAATAACAGAGTATTTGTTTATTGGTGAACAAATGTATACATTTCTGTTGAGCATATATCTACAAGTGGAATTCCACATGCTGTTTTAGTAACATTGTCAAAATATTTTCCAAAGTTTGATATGTTGCACCAATTTACATTTCCACCAGCAGCACATGATGATTCCAATTTCTCACCAATACTTAATATCTTAAATCTCATTTTAGATCTTCTGGTAAGTGTGTAGATTATCTTATTTTCATTTCCATTTCCATAATTGATGATGTTTGTAATTGATATTCCCTTTTATAAATGTATAGTTTTCAACCTACATAGAGTTTATATGTTTTGTTAAATAATATGAAATAGTTTCTCCAGGCCTTGAACTTTAAAAAAACAGCATAATCCTCTTCATTCTTTCATGGTTGGTTTCTTTTACTCAGTTTCTGTTTCTGTTGTTAATGGTATGTGCATTAATTGTGATCCATTGTGGCTTAAAACTTTTGATGGACATTTGGATTGTTTCTGATTTGGGGCCATTATGAACAATGCTGCTACAGACATCATTCGTACATGTATTCTAGCATGCATGTATATGACTTTATACTGGAGCATATATTTTGTTATATCTTTCTAGATAATAGAGAATACAATTATTATTAAGGTATCCTGCTTACCTCTTAATGTAAGATACCTCAGTCACTTTTGTATTTACTGACCCAGCCAGACTTTCCTTTAACATTTCGATTATATATATATAGTTCAATATTTTTATTTTCAATAGTCCTGTATTCCTGAGTTATAAATATTTCTCATAAATATTGTATAGTTTTAATTCATTATTCTAAACTTTTAAATTAAATATTTAGCCTTTTTAAAGCTAATTTCAATTACTGATTATACTTTTGTTTTCAATCTTGTCTTTATATCTGTTTTCTCCTTTTGAAACTTCTGTAGAACTGGTTAATTTTTATCACTCTAACTTCTGTCAGTTTGAAAGTTAAACACTCTGTTTTCTTCATTTAGAAGGATTTATTGGCCCTTTTTGTATATCCTCTTGTGTAAAGTGTCTGTTCAAATATTTTACTCATTTTTTTATTGGTATGTAGAATTTCTTTATATGTACCGAATACATACCCTTTGTAGGAAATATATGTGGCAATATTTCCTGCTTTTCTGAAGTTGCTTCTTCACTTTCTTTTAGTAGTATCTTTTGATGATCAAAGTTTTTAATGTTAGTATTGTTCACTATCATTTTTGCCTATTTTAAGGATATGCAAAAAAAGTAAAAACTTCAATGTCTTTGAAGATATGTTCTTCTAAATCTTTATGGCTTCCCTGTCACATGTAGACCTGCACTATATCTGAAGTTAATTTTTGTAAATAGTTTAAAAAGTAAGGATGCAAACTGGTTTTGTGTATAGAAAATCCAGGGAGCCCAGCACCACTTACTGAAAAGGCCCCCTAGTAAGTATGATCTCTGTCATTACTCGGGTTCATGTATGTGTATGGGTCTATTTCTGGATACATTTCACGTTCCACTGTGAAACGTTCATCTTGTTTGCCAAAGCACACTGTAATGATTTCTATTACCTTTATAGGTCCCAATATGTGACATTGTAAGTCCTCCAGCTTTGTTATTCAATATTATCTTAGCTCTTCTTAGCAATTCGCATGGCCATATCCAGTTTGGAATCAACTTGTGGATATGCACAGTAAAAAACTCACTCACACAAACACAAATCCAGCAGGGGGTGAGATAGTATTGAATTAATAGATACATTTTGGGGGATTGACTTATTTACAATAATGATCTTGCAACCCTATAATATGATATAGATAGCCATTTTTAGCTTTCTTTATTTGTTTTCAATAATGGTGATATGGTTTGGCTCTGTGTCCCCACCCAAATCTCATTTTGTAGCTCTCATAATTCCCACATGTTGTGGGAAGGACCTGGTAGGAGGTGATTGAATCTTGGGGGTGGGTCTTTCCCTGCTGTTCTAGTGATAGTGAATGGGCCTCACGAGATCTGATGGTTTTAAAAACGAGTTTCCCTGCACAAGCTCTCTTTTTTTGCCTGCTACCATCCACATAAGATGTGACTTGCTCCTCCTTGCCTTCTGCCATGAGGCCTCCCCAGCCATGTGGAACTGTAAGTCCAGTAAACCTCTTTCTTTTGTAAAATGTCCAGTCTCAAGTATGTCTATATCAGCAGCATGAAAATGGACTAATATAAATGGTTTGTATTTATCAGTACAGAAGTCTTGTGTCCCTTTTGTTAAACTTATTTCTTGGCATTGGATATTTATGAATGCTATTTTAAGTAGCATTTTACTGTTAATTTCATTTCTTACTTGTTTGTGGCCGATATGCAAATATACAATTCATTGAATTTATATTGATATTGGATCCCATTTTTGTTAAATTCACTTATTAATTCTAAAAAATTTGCCTTTAGATTAACTTAGATTTCCTAGCTATATAGCTATATCATTTGAAAATAATATTTATTCATTTCCATTCTTACGCCTTTTTAATTTTTGTTGCTTGATTGTTCAGGTACAGTATTGGATCAGTCTAACTTTGAATAGAAATGCTATGAGTAGGCATCCTTGTCCTGAAAAGGGAAACACTCTTTGTATTTTACCACTAATCATTTTACTGCAAGTTCTGTTCTGTTTTTTGTTTGATATTCTTTATCAGATTAAGAAGATATCCTTCTATCCATGTTTGCTGAGAATTTTTATCTAAAGTGCTTCTAATGGGTATATTGAAGTAATGACATATGTTATTCCTTTTTCTGTTACTGACATAAATGAATTTTGTTAAAATTTTATAGTATGATAAATATATTCACATATATATTTCATCTATATATAAACATATAGATGAAATATATAAACATATATTATCATATATGTAAACACATACAGCACATGTATATAAAATCATATATAAACACATATATGTGAAATATACACATTATCATCATACATACAGTTAGTATGTTTAATATATAAATTTATAAAATATATATGAAATTTATTTATATATGTGAAATAGATCAACTTTATATGTATAATAATAATGTTCTCATTAGTTATACTAATAATCATATAATTATAAATAGAATCATCATTAATGATAATATGTCATTGATGATAACACTGGGTTCAACTTGTTTGAAATCACTGGGTTCAACTTGTTAATAATTTGTTTATTATGTAAATAATAATTGTTTATTATGTAAATTTATTATGTAAATAATACTAAGAAAAATAATAATAATTTGTTAATGTAAATCACTGGGTTCAACTTGTTGATAATTTGTTTAAAATTTTTGTTTTTCCAACTGTAATAGATTGCTTAAAATTTTTGCATCATATTCATAAGAGATTAAGGTACTTACCTTAACATCAGCAACGATTTTTTAAATATAAAATTTAGGTAGGCTTCATTTAACACAAACTACTTAAGAAATATTTTATACTTTTTTTATCTGAAAAATTTTGAATGTTTAGTATTATTTCTTTTACAAACTGTTTCAAGAATTCACCTATAAACCATGTAGGCTTAGAGACTTCTTTGTGAAAAAATGTATTTAATTTTTTAATTATTAAAATTATTCTGATATTCCATTATTTTCTTCATTCAGTTTGGCAAATCTTATTTTGAGGAATTTTTACATTTTACTCAAATTTTTGGTTTTGTTACAAGGTTTATAACCCTATCTCCACAAAAAATGCAAGAATTAGCCAGGCGTGGCGGTGAGAGCCTGTAGTCCCAGCTACTCAGGAGGCTGAGGGGGGAGGATCGCTTGAATCCAGTTGGTTGATGCTGCTGTGAGCCATGATCGCACAACTGCATTCCAGCCTGGGTGACACAGTGAGATCCTGACTCAAAAAAATAAAATAATATAAAATAAATAAACAAAAGATATCCAAAATGTATCCAACTAAAACTTCTAGCTCGCAATTTTTAGCATATAATACTCCACTTTTAACCCAAAACTCGGAGTCTACAGATAAATAAAGGTACTTGTCTTTATTTTCCCCCACAAATAAAATGAAGACATCGCCACTGTAAATTATAATAAAACAAATCCTGGATGCTTCTAGGATATTTTTTAAAACTTTTCCTCTATGTTGCTATTTATCTACACTGTAACCATAGGGACCTCAATTAAGAAAGTTAAGTGAATTCTGCAGGCCTTGATATTTTTAGCAAGTGAAAAGGGTAATCAAATTTCACAGACACACTCACAACCGGCATGACCCCTGGATAGACCCACTGAAGTACATTTCAATGAATACAACCTCAAAATCTGTTACTAGTGGGATAGTAGTACAGTACTGTGTTTAGCAGAGTATTTCAAGTTTATGGGGAAAGATCCATTTTCGAAAACCTCTTATGTTCATATGTTTTTCATGCTGTTTTGAGTATGGCAGAATGAATAAAACATTAAATGGTTTAAAATTTTTGAATGAATTTTACAATGTCTACTGATCTTTCATATAGTAAACATGCAATAACTCTTCATTGTTTATGTTCATAAATTTATATTCTTTGTCTCAAGAGGAGACATTTGTTAGCCAAGATGTTGGACACATGTCAGTCCTACCACTGGCTAAATCTAAGTTCTCAGGCGCAATTTACCATATATCTCACTGGCTTCGTCTGGCATTTAAAAAATAAAAATAAAGAGATAAAGACATACAGAGAAGTGTTTTTAGTTACTTTTGGGTAACACAAAGTATAAGGTCATTCCTGTTCACTTATTTATGTGCTCAAAAATATTTATTTAGCACCTATTATGTTCCAGACCTTAGATTATTTACAGTGTCATAATAACAACAATGTTATTTGTTACTCTCTCCCCTCCCTACCTCCCAATCCCCTCTTCAACTCATTCCTGTCTTCTTTACCCATCACTCCATTGATATCTTCTTGAAAAGGTCTCTGATGATTTGCATGTCTCCCAATTCAATGGTGAGTTCTCTGTTTTAATCTTGCTCACCTTTTTAGTCTGTTCTTATAGAGCTGAAATTTTTTGAAACACTTTTTTTTTTTCCTGACACCAGCTCTCTTGGATGTCTTTCTGCTCAGTTGACTAATTTCTATTTTTCTTTGCTGGCTCTTCCTTTCCACCCAAACCTACCTCCTAAAATCACTGAGGATTCGAACTTGGACTCTGTTTACCTCTCCATGCACTCTTCTCCTAGATATTGTCATCCATCTAATATGCTTTTCATGTCATTTTTATGCTGATGACTTTCACATTTATATTGCCCACTCAGACATCTCCTCGGAGAATCACATTTATATACATCCAGCTGCTTACCTGACATTTCACTGGTAACTTCCTTCTATGTCTGAATTTAAACATGCTCAGAACAGTATTCTCAATGTGCTCTGCAAGGCTGCTTCTTCCCTGGCTTCTTCTCAGCACCACTGTCCACCCAGCTGTTCAGACCAGAAGCCTGTGTCTCACCTGCATAGGTGTCAAATAGCACTTAACATGGATTCTCCTTTAAAATAATATATCTTGACGCTTTCACTGCCATCACAGTGGTTCATTCCCCATCACATCTTGCCCAGCTTTCTGCAACAGGCTTATTTTCATTCCCCATGCTCCTAGTCGATTGGAAACATATGCAACGTGGGAAGCAGAATCACAACACCAACAGCCATGAACCCAGCACCAAACCTCATAACTGTTACGAATGTTGAAGAACGTAGCTGAGCAACCCTTCCCTAAACTCCTCCTGTAGCCTTCCCCACACAGTAAACACCATTCTAAATTGTCTCATCCTGTAGCCTTCTCCACACAGTAAACACCATTCTAAATTGTATCATTCTCTGATTTTTAAAGAGTTGTTTTATGACTAGGTAATATGCCTAAACTATATATCAATATTGATTGATTTTATAGACATTTTATTGAATTATAACGTACATAAGAAAAGGATGTTATAACCATAAGTGTACAGCTCAAAAACATTTCACAAATGAGCACAGCTTTGTGTGTAGAACCAGATCAGTCCAAGTAACAAAGCATCAGTCCTGCCTAGAAGCTGCTGTGAAGCCCCTTTTCATCACCCAGTCCCCAAGGGAAGCCATTATCTGAACTTCTAGCACCACAGATTACTCTCATTTACTGAGTATGTACTCTCTGTGCCTTAGTTATGGCATTCAACACTCCGTTTGTGAGGTCTCTCCATGTTGTTTCATGTGGTCGTGCATATACTGTCATCGTTATACGAGACTCCATTGTGGGAATATGGCATGCTATGCTTCTCCACTCCAGTGTTGTGACCAACACTCATTTGATGAGACTCCAGTTCTGGGAACCTGTTTGTACATGTCATTTGGTGACCATAGTACATATTTCTCTTGGTTATGTGCCCAGGAGAGGAATTCTGGGATGTGAATTTCTGAAAGATGCATGGTTACCTTTGGTGAATACTACTAATGTGCTTTCCACCATTCCTGCATCAATCTGTATTTCCATAAGCAGGGTGAGTGAATTCAATTCTTCTGTATCATCACCAACACTTAATATATTCAGTCTCTTGTCCTGTCTCTGTTTTTAATCCATTTAGGGAAGAAATGTAAATAATATCAGGTTGTAATTTTTTTTGTATTTTCTTGGTAAAAAATTACATTGAGGGAGAGTGGTGGGGCAAGATAATGGAATAAAAGGCTCCACCAATCACCGCCCCACCCCACCCCCCACAAGGATACCAATTCAAGAACTATTTACATGAAAAAAGAACCTCTTTAAGAACTCCAAATCAGGCGAGAACTCACAGGACCTGGTTTTGACTTCATTTCACTGAAAGAGGCACTGAAGAGGTGAGAAAAGCAGTCTTGAGTCACTAATGCCACCCTTCCTCCTTCCCCCGGAAGCAGCATCAAGGTGCAGAGTGTTTCTGTGTCCTGGGAAGTGCGAGAGCCAGCAATTGTGAGGCACAGAGCTCCGTGCTGCCCTTGTTATAGCACAAAGCAAAACTGGACCAAACTCAACTGACACCCACCCATGGACAGAGCTTTTAAACCAGCCCTAGCCAGAGGGGAGTCACCAACCCCAGCTGTCAGAACTTGAGTCCCCACAAGCCTCACCACCATGGACTAAAGCACTCTGTGGCCCCAAAGAAAAGTATTCTAGGCCACAGGGACTGCAACACCTAGGTGAGTCCTAGGGCTCAACTGGGCCCCGAGACAGTAGACTATGAGGGCATGTGACCTACGGAGACACCAGCCAGGGTGGCTAAGAAAGTGCTGGGATCACCCTTCCTGTAACCACAGGCTGCACAGCTTGTGGCTCCAAAAAGACCCCTTCCTTCCACTTGAGGAGAAGAGAAGGAAGAGCAGGGAGCACTTTCTCTTGCATCTTGGATACCAGCTCAGCCACAGCAGGATAAGGCACCAGTCAAAGTCATGAGGCCCCCTTTCCAGGCCCTAGTCCCACGACGTTTTTGTTTTTGTTTTTTTTTTGAGGTGAAGTTTTGCTCTTGTTGCCCAGGCTGGAGTGAAATGGTGTGATCTCGGCTCACCGCAACCTCCACCTCCTGGGTCCAAGCAATTCTGCCTCAACCTCCCGAGTAGCTAGAATTACAGGCATGTACCACCACACCCAGCTAATTTTATATTTTTAGTGGAGATGAGGTTTCTCCACGTTGGTCAGGGCCCCCAGACATTTTTAGACACACTGTGGGTCAGAAGGAAACCAATTGCCTTGAAAGGAGTGACCCAGTCCTGGAAGGATTCATTACCTGCTAACTAAAGAGCCCTTGGGCCCTAAATAATCAGCAGGAATACCCAGGTACTATGCTGATACTTGGTGGCCTCAGGTGAGACTCAGCACATTCCCAGGTGTCGTGGCTAAGGGGCAAGACCCCTTTTGCTTGATAAAAGTGGAGGGAAAAGTAAAGGGGACTTTGTCTTGCACCTGAGGTACTAACTCAGCCACAGTGGGGTAGAGCACAAGGCAAGCTTTTGGAGTCCTCGATTCCAGGACTTGGCTCTTGGATGGCCTTTCTGGACCTGCCCTGGGATGGCATGGGGGCCACTCCCCTGAAGGGTGAGTTCCAGACCAGGCAGTATTCACCACAAGCTGACTGAAGAGCCCTTGGGCCTTAAGGGAATCTTGGAAGAATCTGGCAGTACTCTTCATGGGCCTGAGGTGGCAGTGGCCCTAGGGTGACACTCCTCTGCCTTTGGAAAGCGGAGGGAAGAGTGGAAAGGACTGTGTCTTGTGGTTTGATTGCCAGCTGAGCCACAGGGCAATAGAACACAAGGTGGACTTCCAAGGTTTTTAACTCTAGTCCCTGGACCCTGGATGGCAACTCTGTATCCACCAAGGGCCTGGAGAAACTTGCCATCCTGAAGGGAAGGCCATAGGCCTCCCTGACTATGCCACCTGCTGATTGTTGAGCCCCAGGGCTTTGGGCAAACATAGGTGGTAGCCAGGGAGTGGTTACAGCAGGCATTGGGTGATACCAGTGCTGTCCTGGCTTCAAGTCTGATGCAACACAGTCCTAGGGTTGGTGGCCACAGGGTTCCTTGTGTCACCCCACTGCCAGCTCCAGGAGGCTCAGTGCAGAGAGAGACAGAGACTTTGTTTGTTTCGGAGAAAACAAGAGAGGAGGACAAATGTCTCTGCCTGGTAATCCAGATAATTAATTCTTCTGGATCTTGTCCAAGACCATCAAGGTGGTACCTCTAAGAGTCTGTAAGAACCACAGAGCTACTGGGCTTAGGATCCCCTCTAAAGCAGACATGATGTAGATCACAACACTTGAGCCTTTTCAAATATCTGGAAAGCCTTTTCAAGAAGGACAATACAAACACGTCCAGATTTCAAAGACTACAATAAATACCTAACTCTTCAATGCCCCAATACAGACAAACATCTATGAGTATCAAGATAGACAGGAAAACATGACCTCACCAAATGAACTAAATAAGGCACCAGGGACCTATCCTGGAGAAACAGAGGTATGTGACCTTTCAGAGAATTCAAAAGAGCTGTTATGAGGAAACTGAAAGAAATTCAAGATAACACAGAGAAGGAATTCAGAATTATTTCAGATAAATTTAATAAAAGATTAAAATAATTAAAAATAATCAAGCAGAAATTTTAGAGTTGAAGAATGCAACTGGCATACTGAAGAATATATCAGAGTTTTGTGGGTTTTTTTAAGACATAGTTTCGCTCTTGTTGCCTAGGCTAGAGTGCAGTGGCATGATATTGGCTCATTGTAACCTCTGCCTCCCAAGCAATTCTCCCACCTTAGCCTCCCCAGTATCTGGGATTACAGGCGCCCAACACCACACCCAGCTAATTTTTTGTATTTTTAGTGAGACGGGGTTTCACCATGTTGGCCATGCTGGTCTCGAACTCCTGGCCTCAAGTGATCCCCCCGCCCTGGCCTCCCAAAGTGCTGGGATTACAAGCATGAGCCACTGTGCCTGGCCCATCAGAGACTTTAAGTAGTAGAATTAATCAGGCAGAAAGGGTTAGTAAACTTGAAGGCAGCCTACTTGAAAATACAAAATCAGAGGAAATTAAGAAAATAATAAAAAACAATGAGCACCCCTGCAAGATCCAGAAAACTGCCTCAAAATGGCAAATGTGAGAGTTTTCGCATTAAAGAGGAATAGAGAAAGAGATAGAAATAGAGAGTTTATTCAACAGGATAATAACAAAGAACGCCTGAAATTGAGAGAAAGCTATCAACATCCAAGTACAAAATCATCATAGAACATCAAATAGATTTAACCCAAAGAAGATGACCTCAAGGCATTTAATAAACTCCCAAAGGTGAACAGTAAAGAAAGAATCCTAAAAGCAGCAAGAGAAAAGAAACAAATAACATACAATGGAGCTCCAAAACATCTAACAGCAGACTTTTCAGTGGACACCTTAAAGGCCAGAAGAGAGAGATATGATGGAACTAAAGTGCTGGAGGAAAGAAAACTGTTACCTCAAGGTAGTATATTTGGTGAAAATGTACTTCAAACATGAAGGTGAAATAAAGACTTTCCCAGACAAACAAAAGCTGAAGGATTTTATCAACACCAGACCTTTCCTACAAGAAATGGTAAAGGGAGTACTTCAATCAGAATGAAAAGGACATTAATGCGCAATAAAAAAAATCACCTAAAGGTATAAAACTCACTGGTAATAAAGCACACAGAAAAACACAGAACATTATAACTCTGTAACTGTGGTATGTAAACTACTCTTATTAAGTAGGAAAAGTAAATGATGAACCAGTCAAAAATATTAACTACAGCGACTTTTTAAGACATAGATAGTACAATAAGAGAAATAGTAACAACAAACTGCTGAAAAGAGGGGAAAAATTAAGGCATAGAGTCTTTATCAGTTTTCTTGTGGTTTATGTATTTGTTTATGCAAACAGTGCTATGTTGTTATCAGCTTGAAATAATGGGTTATAGGATAGTATGTGCAAGCCTCATGGTATCCTCAAACAAACAAACAAACAAAAAACCATACAAAAGATAGACAAAAGATAAAAAGCAAGAAAGTAAATTATATCATTAGGGAAAATCACCTTTACTAAAAAGAAGACAGGAAGGAAAGAAAGAAGGAATAGAATACAACAAAACAACCAGAAAACAAATAACAAAATGGTAGGAATAAATCCTTATTTATCAATAATAATATTGAATGTAAGTGGACTAAACTCTCCAGTGAAAATCATAAGCTGGCTGAATGGATTGAAAAAAAGGACCATTAACCTATTGCCTACAAGAAACACACTTCACCTATAAAGACACACACAGAATGAAAATGAAAGGATGTAAAAAGATATTCCATACCAATGGAAACCAAAAAACAGCAGGAATAGTTATACATACATGAGGCAAAATAGAGTAGAGTTCAAGAGAAAAACTGTAAGAAGAAACAAAGAAGTTCACTATGTAATGATAAAGGGGTGAATTTAGCAAGACAATAAAATAATTTTAAATATATATGCACCCAATACTGGAGTAGTCAGATATATAAAGCCAATATTGTTGGGGCTCAAGAAGGATATAGACTCCAATACAATAATAGCTTGAGACTTCAACACTCCACTTTCAGCATTGAACAGATCTTTCAGACAGAAAATCAGCAAAGAAATATCAGACTTAATCTTCACTATAGACCAAATGGATCTAATGAGATCACTATAGAGGAAATAGATCTAAGAAACATCAGACTTCATCAGTATTATAGACCAAATGGATCTAATGAGACCACTATAGACCCAATGGATTGAAGAAACATCAGACTTCATTTGCACTGTAGATGAAATGGATCTAGATGTTACAGAACATTTCATCCAATGGCCACAGGATACGCATTCTTTTCCTCAGCACATGAATCATTCTCAAGGATAGAGCATATGTTAGGTAACAAAATTAGTCTTAAAACACTCAAAAAGATTGAAATAATATCAAGCATCCTCTCCGACCACAACGGAATAAAACTAGAATTAACCAGAGGAATTTTAGGAACTATGAAAATTCATGGAGGCATAGTTTCTTTCATGATATGATTATTACACATTGCAAGCCTATATCAAAATATCTCAAATACCCCATAAATATATACACCTACTATGTACCCACAAAGCATTTTTCAAGTTAAAAAAATTTCCCTGAAAACCTTTAGAAATGTTTATTGGCTATTTTTGCCAAAGCAGCTAGTCAAGTATTTTGTTTATTTTTTATTTGAATTATTTGCCTTGTTCTTGTTGATTTTTCTTATTGATTTTTTTGAAATTCTTTATATGTGCTGGGTAGAACTTTTCTGTCAAGACATAAATCATATTTATGTATGTGTATGTACATATTTACAATTTGATGATCAGAAGCTCTTCTATTCCAGTTAACCCATTTTTCTTTTATAATCAGCATTTGTAAATTTGTCTATTTCTCTTTATTTCACATTTTTTGTATTAAATTTTCTATTTTGTATATGTGTGTACTATATATGTGTGTAAAATATGCACACATACACACACACACACACACAAACCCAACTTTACCCAAGACATTGTCTTTCTTAGGTTGCCATCACATGGTGTCATATACTGGCTGGCTTACAAGCAACATCAGTTTCTTTCTTAAAGTTCTGGAGGCTGAGAAGTCCAAGATCAAGGAAGCAGCAGACTCAGCATCTGGTGAGGGTCCTCTCCAGGTTGCAGGCTGTCTCTTCTCCCTGCATCCTCACAGGGTGAAAGGGGAAAGGGGTTTTCCTAGGACTCTTTAATAAGAGCACAAACTCCATTCATGAGGACTCTGCCTTCATGACCTAAATACCCTCCAAAGCCTCCATTTCCTAATGCTGTAACACTGGGGGTTCGAATTTCAACATATACATTTCATGGGGACAAAAAAAATCAGTCCATAGCAGATATAATTTATATCATGCAATTTATTCATTTAAAACATGCAGTTTAATTTATTTCTTTCAAATACACAGAGTTGTGCAACCATCACCACAGTTAATTTTAAGTCACTCCTCACTCCCCTCAGTGTCGCCAGCCTTAGCCTGCCACTGATGCTTCTTTGTGTGTGACTGGCTTCTTTCATTTTAGGTGATGTTTAAAATACATCTACTAAACAATATTCCATGTGGAATCAAGCACATATATATAACATTTTATCTATCCATGAAACAATGTATTGACATTTGAGTTGTTTCTATTTATTTGTTTTTACAAAGTTTACATGGACATTCATGTACATACTTTAGTGTAAAAATGTGTTTTCATTTCTCTTAGGTATGTCCCGAGGAGTTCAGTAGCAGGGTCATATGGTATCTCTGTGTTTAACCTTCTGTAGAACGGCCAAACTGTTTACAAGGTGGCTGCACCTTTCTACGTTCCTTCCAATAATGGGTGAGGGTTCCGATTTCTCTGCATTTTTTTTATTATATTTTTGACGATAGCCATCCTAGTGGATGTGAAGTTGTATTTCAATACGGTTTTGATTTGCATTTCCCTGATAACTAATGATGTTGAGCATCTTTTCTTGTGTTTCTTGGCTATTTGAATATCTTATTTGGAGCATGTTTATTCATATATATTTTCCCATTTTTAATTGTGTTATTTTCTTTCTATTACTTTTTATACAATTGACCCTTGAACAATGTGGTTTAACCTGCATGGGTTCACTTATATGTGAATTTTCTTCTACCTCTGCAACCTCTGAGACAGCAAGACCAACCCATCCTCTTACTCCTCCTCCTCAGCCTACTCAGTGTGAAGATGAGGAAGATGAACACCTTTGTGAAGATCCAACTCCACTTGATAAATAATGTTCTCTCTAATAAGTTCAACTTAATAAATAATAAATAATATTCTCTCTTAGGAATTTCTAAACATTTTCTTTTCTCTAGCTTACTTTATTGTGAAAATACAGTATATAATGTATAACATATAAAATATGTGTTAATTGACTATCAATAAGGCTTTCAGTCAACAGTAGGATATTAATAGTTAAGTTTTTTGGGAGTCAAAAGTTTTATGCAGATTTTTGACTGTGTAGGGGCATTGTTAAAGGGTTAACTATATTAGTCCCTAAGATATGATTTCCTAATATTTTCTTCCATTCTGTGGTTATCTCTTATTTTCTTAATGGATTCTTCAAAGCACACAAATTTTTAATATTGAAGAAGTCTGTTTTATCATTTTCTTTCTTTTTCTTGTTTGTTTTTAGTGTGATATCTAAGAAACTATATAGTCTATTTCAAGATCACGAAGAAATGCACTGGTTTTCTTCTAAGAGTTTTGTAGTTGTAGCTCTTATAGTCAGGTCTTCGATACACTTTTAGTTAATTTTTATATATAGGTTGAGGTGAATATCCAATTATTCCAGCATCAATGGTTGAGAAGACTGTTCCCTCCCCTATTTCATTGTTTTGGCACTGTTTTCAAAAATGAATTGACAATAAACGTGAGGATTTACTTCTGGGCGCTCAGTTGGATTCTATTAATCTGTGTGTCTCTCCTTTCACCAGTGCTGACTGCCAGTGCCATGCTTTTCTGATTACTGCAGCTGTGTAGGAAGCTTTGACATTGGGAAGCCTGAGTCCTTCAGCTTTGTTCTTCTGTTTTAAGATGGTTTTGAATATTCTGGATCCCTTAAATTCCATATTAATTTTTGTCTTGTCAATTTCTGCAAAAATAATAGCTGGGATCATGACAAATATTGTGCTGAATCGGTACATCAATTTGGGAAATATCAACTCAATAATATTAAATCTTCATATCTAAGTTCAAATGATATATTTTTACTTATTTAGGTCTTTTAAATTTTTTTTCCAACAATTTTTTATGGTTTTCAGAGGAAAGCTTTATATTTATTTTGTTAAATTAATTTTGATTTGATTAATTTCATTTCATCAAATTGTTTTATTCGTGTTGATGTTTTTGCAAATGGAATCTTTTTTTTGTTTAATTTTTGGGCTTTTCGTTACTAGGGCAAAAAATACAATTGATTTTGGATGTTGATGTTCACAAAATTCTCTATTAGCTCTAACAGTTTTAAGAAGTTTCCTCAGGATTTTATATACATAAGATGATGTCATCTGCAAATAAAGGTAGTTTTACTCCTTTCTTTCCAATCTAGATGCTTTCTATTTCTCTATCTCGCCTAATTGCCTGGGCCAGAACCTCCAGCACCATGGTAAATGGAGCGGCTGAAAGCAGAAATCCCTGAGTTGTTCCTGATGTTAGGGGAAATTATTTAATTTTTCACAGCAGAGTCTGATGTAGGCTGTGGGGTTTTCATGGCTGCCCCTTTTACCAAGTTAAGTTTTCTTCTACTCTTAATTTTACAGGCTTTGTATTATTATTATTATTATTATTAAGGGGTAGCAGATTTTGTCATTTGTTTCATTCTTCATCTATTGAGATAATCACGTATTTTTGTTATTTATTCTATTAATATGATGAATTACATCATTAGATTTTCACATGGTTAAAACAATCTTGTGTTCTTGGGACAAATCCTACTTGCCTATTGCATATAATCTTTTTTTTATGTTTCTAGATTTAGTTTTCTATTATTCTGTTGATGATTTTTGCATCTATAGTGTAGATAGTATTTGTTTTTATTTTATAATTGATGCAAAGGGAGACTACAGAAGTTCAGCACATTTTCCAAGCTCATGCAGATAGAAAATGAAGGAGCAAGATTCAAGCCTGAGATTAGTTGCAATGATGACTTTCAGTTTCGGTGACACATTTAGCTACTAAAACTCCAAATTCCGGATTAGAAGAAGAATACTGTTTATTATTGTAACCTCAAGAGGATTTAGTACACCCCCAAAGAAAGACCATTTTCTCAACTGCCTTCTTTTTTTTTAAAAAAAAAAAAAGGTCAGATTGTTAAAAAAAAAAAAAAAAGCTCTATAAGCTAAAAATATCAATCAAGCTTTCTGCCTAGCTCTCCATAAGCAAAAATGGCAAAGCTATATAACAAAAGAAATTAAATAATTATCTATATCATAATAAAGAGGAATCTACCACATAGTCTTATAGAGAATTCTTTTTGGAGTTTTTCAGGTTTAATTTCAGATTCCCAATAGAAAATTAACAATTTGAGATGTACAAGTTACATAGGCATGTCACTCAGGACAGACAGATGTTTAAGTCATGCAAATAAAATAAATGTTTCTATGTTTTAAAAAAGACCACTTTGATTTAGTGAGTCCTCACATATCTGTTACCTTTGGATTTAAAATTGTGCCAATGTATAGCATGGTGACTGTAGTTAGTAATACTGTATTATGTATTGAAATTTTCTAAGAAAGTAGATTTTATGTGTTTCTTACTCCACACACAGACACACACACAGAAAATGGTAACTATGTGAGGTGATAAACATGTTGACTAGCTTGATTGTGTAATCATTTCACAATGTATACATATCGCAACACCCCACTTGTACATCTTCAATATATGCTATTTTTAATTTGTCAATTATGCCTTAATAAAGCTGGGGGAAAAATAGTGCCATGGAGCCACATATCAAAATACACTTCTCATCTATCGAGTATCAAGCTAGTATGTGAAGAGTGGATGGAATACTTTATAGCATTACTGATATTTGGCTTTAATTAAACTAGTTCAACCATTGTGGAAGTCAGTGTGGTGATTCCTCAGGGATCTAGAACTAGAAATACCATTTGACCCAGCCATCCCATTACTGGGTATATACCTGAATGATTATAAATCATGCTGCTATAAAGACACATGCACACGTATGTTTATTGCAGCACTATTCACAATAGCAAAGACTTGGAACCAAGCCAAATGTCCAACAATGATAGACTGGATTAAGAAAACGTGGCACATATACACCATGGAATACTATGCAGCCATTAAAAAATGATGAGTTCATGTCCTTTGTAGGGACATGGATGAAGCTGGAAACCATCATTCTCAGCAAACTATTGCAAGGACAAAAAACCAAACACTGCATGTTCTCACTCATAGGTGGGAATTGAACAATGAGAACACTTGGACACAGGAAGGGGAACATCACACACTGGGGTCTGTTGTGGGATGGGGGAAGGGGGGAGGGATAGCATTAGGAGATATACCAAATGTTAAATGACGAGTTAATGGGTGCAGCACACCAACATGGCACATGTATACATATGTAACTAACCTGCACATTGTGCACATGTACCCTAAAACTTAAAGTATAATAAAAAAAAAAAATTCTCAATAAAACTTCTGTTTGTTATTTCAGTTAGCCAAGCCATTTTTCTATTTTTCTTAAATTCCCTCTGCATCTGGCACAATGCTTGGTATATGTTAATCTGATTAGAATTAAAGAATGAATATAAAATTACTCTATAATTTCTAAAATACCATACAAATATGAGACATCAATAATTAAGAAAATAGTGATAAGAATGCAGTAAATATGTGTTAAATTTAATGGCATTATAATTCTACATTATCTTATAATCAAAGTCATGTAGGTACACACAATATAATATAAAATTGGGTTCTTAATCATCTTTTGAAGATAATGATGAAGTTTAAACGAGACATTTAAATGTCTGCTGATCTAGAAATACCAGGTAACAGGTAAAAGGACAAGTAGAATTTATTTATTTTTTTAAATTTATTGAGACAGGGTTTCCCTGTGTTACCCAAGCTGCAGCGTGATTATGGCTCAGGGTACCTTGACCTCACTTGATCAATAAGTAATGCTCCCACCTTAGCCTCCTTAGTAGCTAGAACTCTAGACACACGCCGCCATGCCTGGCTAATTTTTTTGGTTTTTATTTTTTGTTGAGATGGGGTCCCACTACATTGCCAGGCTGGTCTCAAACTCCTGGGCTCAAGCAATCCTCCCACTTTGGCCTCCCAAATTTCTGTGACGACAAGCCATGAGCCACTGCACGTAGCCATAATTTATATAGAATATTAGGGACAGCAAAGACTAATATTGTCAATGAGACTTTTTATGTACTTGTTCTAAGGATAAAAACTGATGCTCTATGAGCCCTATTCAGAACAAATTTGAAATGAAGTGTGAAATTAACAAATAACAGTACTCAGGTTGAGTGTATAGAGTAATACAAGCACCTCATAGACTTAAGGACATTGAAGTTCGAGTTGCTCAAGGAAACAAAGTAAGTGGTGGAGACTGAACCACTTGAAATGTTCCTTCCTTTGTGCAAACAGTGGTGGATTACCAGTTTCACTGACTTGCGAATATACAGTTGCTATGTCTACTATTTCTTTTGGAAAAGAAGATGGTGCACCTTCTGTGGCAAATATAAAGTTATTTTATTAGTTTGATGTTTTTACTGCAAGCAAATACAAACCCCAACACAAAGCAACTTAAACATTATTTTCACAAATCCAGAGGGAGGATGGCTATGTCAATGTTCCAACCATATCATTAGATTCTGGGTTTCCACATATCTACTTGGCCTTCCTCAGGCACTGGCCTCCCACTGAATTTACCTGTCTTCTTTATTGGAAACATCCATCAGGCCATCTGATTGTCCAGGATTGTGTCAGATGCTGAAGCCTAAACCCATCACTAGCAAGGGGACTGAGAACACTCATGAGTGACTTAAATGGAGGAGGTAGAGACATGCCTAGAAACATCAGGGTTCTCCTCTCAGGAAAGAAGGGGAAGGATGTCGGGCAGACATCTGCAGTAATGTTACAGTTCTCTACTTAAATGAATGTCTTTTTCTTTTCTTCCAAACAATAAATACTGATGTAATATTTTCAATGTATTTTCTTCTTACCTGGAAGTTTAACTTTGATTTAGGATTTTTCTGACCCTTGGAGATAAGGATGACAGAAGCCCTGGGGAGAATAATGCCGGCACCATAACGAACTGGAGCTTTGTAATCAGAGTAATTTCATCTCTGGGTTCGATTCTCAGTTAACGTGTGTGACTGCTATCTAAACTCCTCTTTCCACACGTCCCCCCGGGGCCTTTTCTGATTGCAGCAGTTGTTTTTCGTATTATGCCTGCATTAAACATGAAATTTCAGCTGCCGGAATTGAGCTTGCCTTTTTCTGACAAGATTGCAAACAGCTTAGCTGCAACCATTAGGATCAACATAAACAGTCTCGTGAAATGGGTAAATGAGTTCACGTGCACAGGGCAGAAACCTCTTCAAATGCGGAGGCCACTACAAGAGGAGAAGCTACTAGAGTGCCATCACTGTATACAAGAAAGGATGCGAGAAGAATGCCAGGATCTTCTTCAGAGAGGCTAGAACATGTCCATCGAAACACTGGTCATATCCTTGAGCTGGCATTATTCCCCACCCGCTTCTCAAGGGTTAAAACAGGCTTAGATGGAGCAATAAGGATGGGAAATAGTTTCGGTGACCCCATCAGTGAGGTCTTCTTGATCCTCTCTCAAATCTGTCTCAATACGATGTCACAGCTGCAAAGACTCAAATTTGACTTCCAAACACTTGAAAAGTAATATGCCTTAAGTAGTGAATTGGCAGAAAAAATAACATTGACTACCATGAAAGACTTCATTCGGATCCTCTTTGGAAACCCCTATCTTATTCCAGTCTATGTGGTAGCTACTCCAATCTCACTCTGCTGGCAAGCAGTTAAAACCTATAAGGACCTAGCCCACCACCTGCTGTTTGCTGAAAGCTCACCATCTCCTCATTCTCTCCCCACTTTGCCCCTGCAATTCTCCAGTCTGGGTTTCATAACATGAGTGCTGCTGACACGTGTCACCAGAGAATTCTTCATTGTCAGGGGCTCTCTTCATTGTAGGATGTTAATGAGCTTCTATGGCCTTTACCCACTAGACACAAGTAACATTTACCAAAAGTGCAGACAAAATGCAGACCCAAAAAGTCCAGGGTATATTGCCAAATATACCCTGGGGGACAAATCGCCCCTGATTAAGAACCATAGTTCTAAGTAATCTGTGCCTTCTTTGGGTTTCTGGATCTATCCTTTTCTGTAACCTGTCCCATTTATTTTCCCACATCCTATATTTATAACTCCCACATCCTCCAAGCAAAACAAACAAAAATAAATAATCAGAACACATCCTATTTAGAAGGTCATCAATGAAAGTTTATTTTTCTCCTTTTCCATGTGGAGTCAAATGGAAATCAAGACAAGACTTCCAGTGTGAATACCAGGGGAGCAGTATATTTGGATTTCCAAAACAAGGGGCCAGGAGAAGAACATCAGGTGTAAAGCAGGAGTTAAGGAGTCCAGGAAATTAGGAAAAGTGGAAGCAGAGAGCAAGATAGAATGAAACAGACGATTCAGGTCTAAGATCTGAAACAAAAAATGAATCATGGCAACTGCTTATTCTTTGTGAATGCTCCCCACAAGCAGTAGGGGCACTGGCTCATTCTGGAGGGGACTAGGGTGGCACAGAATGCAGAGAAGGCCAAGAATAAAGGTTATGTGGGCAAGGCTACAGGAGAAGCAGCGGGAGGAAGAACAGATGGGCTAGACTAAAAATGGAATTGGGTAAACTGCATTGGACACCACCCTAAGGCAATGTTTCAGGTGTGGTCAAAAATATACAAAAGTACACTAATAATTTTTTATACTTTGTGAATGTGTTACACTTAAGAAGTGTAACTTTTTTAAAAAAAACCTTTTACTAATTTAATTTTAGAGAAAGAAACTTGTACTCATGGGAGTAGGAAAATGTCTAGCTTCAGTTGGAAACAGCAAAGAACCTAAAAAGATTAAAAATAAAATAAAATAAAGAATATCACAAGTCAATAAATAGCTTACAGCAACAGCAGAGAAAGAGGAGTATGAGGAGTATGGTTTTGAGGGAAATGGTGGTCATCACCTGGCTTGGTGTGTAGGTTGCCTAGAGAATGAGGGAGGCGTCAGCTGAGCACCCATGCTATGTCAGGCTCTTGCTTAGCACATTGCATTGGATAGTTCACTTAATGCCCACAAAAGCCCCAGGAAAGATTATCTGCCCCATATTACAGACGAGGAAACTAATGATTCCTACTTGACTGAGGGGTTGCAATATAAAGCAGCAGAGCCAAGATGCAAATCTTCATCCCATTCTTCAAAGGAACACTCCATCCTTAACCACACCTTTTCCTTTCAGGAGGTTTTGTTGTTTACAAATATACCTGTATTTATTTTTCTGTATTTATTTATTTATTTTGAGACAGGGTCTCACTCTGTTGTCCAGGCCTCAACTTCCAGGGTTCAAGTGATCCTCCAACCTCAGCTTCCTGAGTAGCTGGGACTGCCAGCATACACCACCACACCCAGATAATTTTTGTATTTTTAGTAGAGATGGGGTTTCGCCATATTACCCAGGCTGGTCTTGAACTGGGTTTCAAGCAATCGAGCAAACAGCATCAAGCGATGCTCTTACCTGGCCTCCCAAAGTGCTGGGATTACAGATGTGAGCCACTGCACTCGGCCTCTCTGTATTTCTCTACTGCACAAAACTCTTCTCCTTTGGGATGACAGAGAAGATGTATGGATTAATCATACTATTTTCAACTTTAGTTTAATATACTTCCATAAAAAGTAGACAACTCCTAAGTACACAATTCAAGAAATAATATCCAAGTTATTACACTCACTAAACTACCACCAAGGTCAAGAAATAGAACATTATTAATACACCAAAATTTCCCACATTGTCTCATTTCTCTTCTCTTAGAAAGTACCCACTGTTCTGACTTCTAAAATCATAGATGATATTTCTTTTTAAAAATTGTAAGTATATATAGAATAATACAGTATCAATTCCTTTCTTTTTGTTTGGCTGAATTTGCTAAAAATTTTGTTTGTAAGATTTATCCATGATGCTATGTATATCCACCAGACAGTCCTCTGTTGTGTCAATATGCCACAATTTATGTTTCTGCTCGATTTTGGAAGGACATTTCATAAAATCAGTTTAGGCTTAATACATTTAGTCCTCCTATGAGCATTCTATGTTTTCTGTTTTATAAACTCACTTCCCCATTTCTGTTGGGAAGTAAAATTGCTGAATATGTACAGGCACAGTTTAAAGTAGAGACTGCTAATTTTCCAAAGAGCTTTCAAATTACACCAATGTAATGGTAGTTTATTTTATTTGCTGTATAGTTTTTTATTATATAATATTCCATGGATATATTAGGTTGGTGCAAGAGTAATTGTGTTTTTTGCCGTTACCTAATATCTATGCATTCTACTTTTCATGTTTTTTGTGCCCATGTACAATCATTTCATACAAACACACACATACACAAACACACATGCACATACGGAAATTTAATAGCTCACACCAACAGCATTCTAGAATAGCTGTACAACCATCTGTGTATGAGAGTGTCCAATTGTCCCTTATCTTACAAACTGTCTTGGAGACAATTTATTTTCAATTCATTGTCACAGATCCTCAACAATTGTCCTAGATGCAGCCTATTGTTGTGGTTACCATGGTAGACTTTGGGCCTAGAGTACTTGAGTTGAATTCAGGTTTTGCCACTTACCATAGGATCCAGCAATCTCATGATGGAGTATATATTCCCCAAAAAAGAAATCAGTATGCAAACAAATACTGAATACCAAATACTGAATATTATAGTATTGCAACACTATTCACAACTGTCAAGATACGGAATCAACTGACATGCCCATGAATGGATGAGTGAATAAAGAAAATGTAGCATAGAAGAGAATGAAATCCTCTCCTCCAGCATGGATGACCCTGGAGGACATTATGTAGAGTGAAATAAGCCAGGACCAGAAAGATAAACACTGTATGTTCTCACTCATATGTGGAATCACTTAGTTTTTTAGCACTTCCCTCTCAGTTTCTCCATATGAAAAATGGAAATGATGATAATAAAAACACCTCATAGAATTACTAGATCAACAAAAGAATTCATACCTGTAAGACATTTAGAATACTACTTGGCATGGTATAAATTATATGTTAAATATGAAGTTAAATTTTCTATCATTCTGATATGTGTCTCTATATAAATATAGTGGACATTATAAAGATGCATAATAAATGCTTACTTAATATGATTATACTGCTTTTTCTTAATTTATCAAGTTCAGTCATTATCTACAAAATGTATTTTATAATAGATAAAGATGTAGCAGTTTTACATCCCATGTATCTCTGCCAGCATTGTTATGTCATAATCTTTGTTTAAATTAATAAACATTAATTACATAATGTATTCATTTTTCTAGGGATATTTGCTGTAGCAAAGTACCACAAACTGCGTGGCTCCAAGCAACAGAAATGTATTAATTCATAATTCCGGGGGCTACAGTTCCAAAATCAAGGCATCAGCAGGGCTGTGGGCTGTCTGAGATCTCCTCCCACACGCTGGTGGATTACTGGCAATCCTTGGCATTTCTTGGCTTGCAGCTTTATAACTCCAATAACTGTGTCATTATCACATAGTGTTCTCTCTGTGTCTCTCTTTCCACCCATTTTGTAAAGACACTTATCACATTGGATTAGGACCCATCCTCATGTCCTTATCTTCACATGATTACAGCTCTAAAGACTCTATTTCCAAATACAGTCACATTCTAAAGTATTTTCAAGGTTAGGATTTTAACATATCTTTTGTGAGGACATAATTCAACTCATGACACGGTATTATGTAAATATTATTCATGGCAATAGCAGTAGAAATCTATGCCTATATCACTCTACCTATTTAAAGAAAAAAATTTTCCAATGATCCATCAGTTATGCAGTACTTTAAATCACTTTACTCCAAATAATCCATTATAGCAAATAATTGGTCACTTCATGTCCTGAATACTTCCTTTCCAGGGCTTTGTATTCTTTTCCAATTTGTACCTTTTTTTTTTTTTTTGTCTAGATCTACCATATAGCTGTCATGTAGAAACTTAGTTCATAATTCTTTTGTGTTAGAGTTAATGCTTCCTGTTTTCTGTATCTTACTTTTTCATGACTTACTTTCACCTTTCATGGAAATACATTCTTCCTTATATTACTAAGAAAGAAGACATGATGGTCAAATTTTCTGAATCCTTAAATTTTTGAAAATTCTCTTATTATTCTATTTCCATAGTTATTGTATAGCTTAGCTAGGTATAAAATTGCAAATTTTTTTTCTTCAAAATTCGAAGGTAAGGCTATGTTTATTATCTAGCATAATATATCTTCCTTAAAAAGGCCAATGTCTTTCTAATTCTTGATCTCTTGGATGGAGCTGATTGCTTTCCTCTCTGTATCTATGGTAGTCTTTTAAGAGTTCATCTTCTTACACTGTTCCCATTCATAGACATAGGTATTTAATATATATTTAATTTGACTTTCTATATTCCTAATTTTAATGTTTTTTCTTGTCTTCCGATTGTTTCTTTTCATAGCATACAGCTCTTATTTTATAGATACAATGTATTTTCTTAGTACTCTAAGCTTTAGAAACTTAAAATTTTTCTTTTCCTTAATGCATTATCTCTGTTCTCTTCATACCCAGTCATTGCACTTGTCTTAACTGCATTTTGTGTGTGTGTGTTGAAAACTGATTACAAGTGTAAAGAGATATCTGACTGTTTAGATTTGCACATAGTGTAGTGACAAGCTGATTAGGCTCTCTGAATGTCTGGGTAAGACTTGTCATTGCTTAGCATCATTGCAGATTGATCAGCCTGGAAGGCAAGCATTTCCTTTTAGGACTCTGAATGTACTTGGGTAAAATCGGGACTATTTAGTTTCTCCAGAGAATAATTATCTAATCTCTTGTTTGGATA
Organism: Homo sapiens; assembly: GCF_000001405.40. NCBI lineage: Eukaryota > Metazoa > Chordata > Mammalia > Primates > Hominidae > Homo > Homo sapiens. Next base: position 2,405,369 of record NC_000002.12, on the reverse strand, counting down.
TTATGTCTGGGGATATATGTTCTAGGAGTTGAATTGCTAATTCTTTTAGGGGCTGTCTTTAAAATCATATTTAAAAGACCACCATTTCCTCAGCCCCACATTTTACTTCCCTTTACTATAAAATAAAACTACATTCAATTTTCTAGCTGTGTGCATGGGGATTACATGGAGGCTGATTAGTATTATTCTGAATACACACAGTCAGGAAAATGTGGCATCTCCATTCACAGATGTGCAGTTGGTGCACCTGTTTCCATCTCTACACATCATCTCCTCACTTCACTGATACCAATACCAACAATTTCTGAGATTTTTCACATGATTTGCTTGGCAAATCAGTTTTCTCCTCTTTGATATCAGTCTATACAGATATTTTATTTGTAGCTTCATCCCCCTGCTTAAAAAAAATGACTTCTCCATCCATATTTTTTATCATTTTGGTTGCTATGGATTTAGGTAATTTTTTAAAAATTCCCCACTATTATAGAAAGAAAAATACGTAAATATATGTGGTCAATCTGTCATCATTGACCAGAAGACAATTTAGGGTTTTAATCCTGATGTTCCTTAAGAATTTTCTGTATATGATTTAACATGACTGGAGTGTGTTTTAGTGAATGGTGTGAGGGAAGTACTTACATATTGTTCAATAACCCAATTTTACTAGCAGCAATTATTGAATAATGCTTTTCTTTTCCAAAGATATGTGAGGCTTCTCTTAAGTTCTTAAAATATATGTTGAGTTCTGTTACAGAGCTTTCTCTGTTTCCTTTTTAATAGCATTGTTTTCTTTGATATTAAAAATTATACTTATTCATTTTAGAAAATTTGCAAAATAGATAGAAGTACAACATGAATACACAAACTACCCTCTCCCCACTGCGCTGTTTATTTCTTCAAGTATTATAAAGCATATGTGCATAATTTAAGCTTAAAATAGGAGCTTCTTTATGTTATTAGGCAACCTTCTTCAGTCACTTAACATTATGTAGTAAACAGTTTCTTATTGCATTAATTTTTTGTAGTATGATTTTTAATTGCTTAAGAGTATTTAATCTTATAGATATGTCATAATTTATTTCTTTATATAGTTTGCCAGCACTGGATATTATGCAAATTTTAAGCTGTCTATTTCCAGTTCTAAACCCATTCCTCCTCTTAGTTTGTGGTTCTTGGATACTTGTGAAATAATTTTTATCCCTCTCTGTTTACTAGGAAATAAAAACAATATATTATTAACAACAATATATTGTTGGTTTTTTTTCCTAAGATCTAGAATCTTTCTAACTAACTGAACAGTACATTCTATGTCAAAGAAATACTGATTTGTTTTTGGAGCTGTATACAATTTCTACCAGCATCTTTCAAGCAGCTGTTACTATGGGTCCCCTTGCTATTTGTAGAACCTGAGCCACAATCTCTGGCCTTTGGCCTTTGCAATGGCTGTTTTCTCCACCAGCACACTGCCCCTCCAGACACCCTCACCGTGAAGTCCCACCATCCCCTTCTGCCATCTTTGCTCACACATCACCATCCAGATGAAGTCTGCCCCAGTGACTCTAACCTCTGGCTCAGTACTCTTAATCTCCTTCTGCCTGCTTGACTTGTCTTTTTCCATAGCAGTCATCACATTTAAATGCATGATATAACTTGTTTATTATACCTATTTATAATTATTGCCTCTCCATACCAGAAGGTGACCTTCATGAGGACAGGTATCTTTACTTCAATCACTGATACCTCTGAGCACCTACAACAGTTCTTGACACCGGACAGATGCTCAATAAATCTGTTTTGAATGAAGGACATACATTCTATTCTTATTCAACATACACTTTATTTGTATTCTTTTATTCAGCCAGCACCAACTGGGCACCTGGAGCCAGGCCCTACACAGGGGATGAAATGACGTGAGCGGCCAACCCTCACTGTCACTGTCAAAGAGCTTCTAGTCAAGTGGGGATGATACCAGAGGGGTCCAGGGAAGGGGTCAGGGGAGAAGAAGCTTGGTCTGTATGCAAATGCGTGTAGCAGGAGTGGCTGAAAATCACAGCTTGTTAGAAAGCCCAAGTCATGAAGCCTTTGCTGGCGTAGGGCTGTTGCTGGCGTAGGGCTGTTGACTGGGATGTGGCAGGAGGGGTGGAAGGCACACGCCCCAGATCAGGGAGCATCTTCCGAATGGAGTGTGCACTGCTCTGGGTGATAGTTGAGAGTGGTTGAGGGATTTGAAGTTACATGATTAAATATACATTCTAAAGGTCACTTTGAGCCTCTGTGAGGATGAATTGGAAAGCAGGCAGACAAGGGACAGGAGAGCACTTTGTAAAGTATCACGGCAGTCAGGGTGAGAAACGATAAGGTGAGAATTCATAGCGGTGCAGATTGAGAGGAGGGAAATATTTCATAAACAGTTATGCAGTGCAGCGGGCAGGGCTTGATGGTGGAAGGATTAGAAAACAGCTTATAGGAAGAAGGAGAAAAGGTCTAGGACTTACTCCTGGATTTCTGATATTAGTGACAATTTAGACAGGGATGTTTATATTTATATGCAGGAGATAATGTGCAGGAAAATACTAGTTAACATTTTAATGTGCTTAATGTTAATACATATAGCATATATCCAGCTGGAGTTTTATTGTAAATAGCTAAGAAGGGGGTCTAAAATGTTAATATAAGAAGTTGGAATGAAAATAAATATTTGGGAATTGTAGCCTGTAGATGGTGGTTGAAGCTATGGATAAATAATATCACATAAGATATATATACACTGTGAGAAAACATGGGAACCCAGAAGAAATCCTGAGGATATCAGGAATTACTTCCCAGGTGGGGGGATGTGAAGAAACACGGAGGAAAACAGACATCCAATGAGAATTAGGACTTGGGAGGAAAAGGACACCAAGAAAGAGGGAAAGAGAAAATCCAGGGAGAAGGACCCCTCTGGAAGGAAGGTGTGGCCAGCTACCAGTGGGCTCACTGTCTAACATGGTTTGGATCTGTGTCCCCACCCAAATCTCACGTTGAATTGTAATCCCCAGTGTTGGGGGTGGGGCCTAGTGAGAGGTGATTGGATCATGGGGGTAAATTTCCTTCTTGCTGCTCTCATGATAGTGAGTGAGCTCTCATGAGATCTGGTTGTTTAAAAGTGTGTGTAGCAGCTCCCCCTTCTCTCTCTTGCTCCTGCTCCAGCCAGGTAAGATGTGCCTGTTTCCCCTTCTACCATAATTGTAAGTTTCCCGAGGCCTGCGAGCCATGCTTCCCATACAGCCTGTGGAACTGTGAGCCAGTTAAACCTGTTTTCTTTATAAATTACCCAGTGTCGGGTAGTTCCTTTTAGCAATGAGGGAACGGACTAATACAGCATTATTTAAGTTATCTGTGACTTAGGGAGAGTAAATTTCATGAAGTGTTCTTAATTTAATATTAAGTGACTTGGACATTCTTTAATAACAAGAAAGAGCAAATAGAACAGGAGAATCAGAAAGGAGTTTGTGACCCATTTGGTCACCTTGCCTCTATTAAAACAAACATTAAGTTTCAGCAGCATAAAGTGATCTACCCAAGACCATACAGGTGGAAGGCTCAGCTTCATGTCCTCTGCCTGCCTACCTGCTACTGGGTTTCTCCTTCTGATTAGGATGCTGAGAATACACTACTGCTTTCTGAAATTCATCTCAATTCACTTATTATAATTGTACTTTATCAACAAAATGCATCCAGGTTAGAGTAATCATATATGATTGGAAATCATTGTCTTGGTACCAGAGTTCTTCCATGGGATCCTACAGCATCCTGTGGATCAGCCATGCCTCTGGGGCACCTTCCTGTCTGTGGTTTGGAGGTCAGCTGCTGAGGCTGCCAGCGGGTGCCGGGGGATGGAAAAGAAGCTGTGTTGTGGTTGCTTCCAGGCATGGCCTAAATCCAGTTTTATGTAAGTTTTAAAAGAAGCTACTTTCCTAACGTTCTTGACAAGCTGGAGAAAACTTCAGCAGCTCTTTCTTTCTGGATTGCTGTCTCAGCAACGGTGCCTCTGATGGTGTCAGCACAGTCTCCTGCAAAAGCAGTGCTGACCGGGGTGGCGTTTTCTGCTTTCCTTCGCGTGAGGTCCCCACAGCCTCGTTCCTTTCAAGACTTGTCCTTCACTTCGATTCACTCATGTATGAGTCCATCATTTTTTTATTTTTTGCTGCTTCTTCCATGACTGTGTTCTGCTATTCCATAGGCAACCATTGTCAAGCTGGGTGTCTTGTTGTTTGTTGTTGCTTTTGGTCACTGAGATCCTGGAGGTGGCTGAGTACAACCCTGGACCACAAGAGGGAGGGAGGAGTGGCCCTGGCCTCCCTCAGTTAGGAGAAGCATCTGCAGCAAAATATGTAAAAACATTTCCAAAAGTGACTTACACGCCGTGTGTGGCACTGTCGTCCCTGGGTCCCACAGGAGCCGACCCAGCTAGCAGAGCTGTGACCACATTCCCACGTTTGCCGGGGAGGGTGGACGTGAGAGTCGCATCTGGCAGGCTCACTGGAGTCTGGCCTCTGAGCCTCAGTACCAGCCCCACCCTCAACATGAGAAAGAGTGTGGGAGGTGCACGCTCCGCTGGGGTATTTTAATTCCATTCAGATACTTGTTACCAGATCACCGGCCTCTCGGGAGAGCCTTTATTTCCACCCTCTTCTGATAAAAGTCATTACTTTTTTTACAACACTGATTAAAAAACCTTCTCTAGGTTTCCCTCCTTAACTGATTTTAGCAAAATTATCTCTAAGACTTTCCACATGGCGAGTGGCATTAACAGCACTTTAGTGACAGGTCTAGACCATTATTAACAAAAGCTTCGAAGAACGCAGCACTCATTTGAACAATGCAGAAGGTGCGAGGAATTTCAAATTCTAAATGACAAAACACCCCACACGCTCCCTCGTGCTCCTGGATTTTTACTGCATGACTTGAATGTCAAAATTCCAGCTTCTTGTCTGAATATTAATTAGTATTTAAGACTCATTATGCTGGTTTTAGTGATTTATTTCATTCTGTAATTAGATATTATAATTAGGTTATCTCTATCAGATTTTCAACTTTCCTTTAATAAGAAATTGTTCAATAAATACAGATATAAATTTATTAAATTATAACACATCATTTGAACTGGGTTATAAATCTTGTTTTGAAATAATTAAATAATAACCTAATCATCTCATAGTATTTTTGTTTTTATATGAATACATATTTTCTAGGTGGTCAATGTGTCCTAGTGGTATTTTGGGACCTTTGTTAAGTGACATAACTATCTCATGGTATTAAATTTTGACCTTCAGAATTCAGAGGAAAATTAATGGAATGGTACCATATATGCTATGCTATGTCATTTATGGCATTTCCAAAGAGTGGTTTCTTCCTGTAAGGGAATAACTCCTTACAGAAAACAACATAAAATACTATATATAATAAACTAGGACAAGGATCAATTATTATTCCTTATTTTTTATTTGTGTTACTGTGCAATGATGGGCACATGTGTGTCTAAACCATTCCAAAAAGCAGGAAACAATAGGAGATACTCAGATAATTGTCCTTTAAGAGCCATTAAATGTGTCTACTTTGCTACAAGTTAAGAAAAATTTCAGAGTTGGTTACATGAATCACAGAAGAATATTCAGGAAATGGTGACAGTGATTAGAATTATTTTGGTCTGGCTCCCAGAAGGGCTGGTGCACGGTCACCGCCTTCTAATTCCACGCCTGAGCACGTGCCTGAGTGTCGCCTCTGCATGACCCTGGCCCTGGCTCTGGAGATGCTGCTCTCTGCGTGGGCCCCAGGGGAACACTGAGAATTTACATTAGACCTTTAGCGGGGCAAGGAGGAGCCATTTAGATTCAGGAGTGGTTCTTCGAGATTTGGGCCTACTTTCTTGTTAAAGAAATGAATACTGTATTTTCTTAAACATAAATGTGGACATATGGTCTGAAACATGCTCTGAAAATGGGACAGAATATTTGATATCAGGTCTGTCCTAGACAATCTGGGACATATGGGCGCTGTACATAGTGATGATGAATCTGAATTTCGTATTAATTTTCTGAAGCCCAGTGGCCAGTCTGTCTTGGGCTGTACGTGTGAGCTCACTTGTCCACACAGACTCCCTGAGGCCTGCTCACTACCTACCAAGAGCCATCTTAGGCATTGGGAAAAACTTTAAAAAACTAGACAAAACCCCCTGCCCTGTGGACACCAGCCCAGCCTCTTTTTTAAGGCGAAAATATATGAAATTTAATTGTAATTATTACTTTCCCCATCTGATAGAGGCATTTCATGAGTTTCTTTGTGTGTATACTAAAACTTTCAATCTTGATTTGGGCAAGAAGTTACCAGTGAGAGCGCAGCTGATGCTCCTTTGGAGCTGAGGAAGGTGGGGAGGAGGGGCAGCAATACAGCCCCTGAGCCCGAGGCGTGGAGCACCCCTCCGCTATGGAGATGGGCGTGGGACGACCAGGCAGGGAGATACGGCGGGAGAAAAAATGTCCAGTTACGGAGTCAATTACTGGAAATGTGACGCAAGAAAGGGGGTGGGTGGGTGGCCTTACGTCAAAAGGAAGAGCCCAGCTTTCTGAACCAAGGAAACCATCAACGTAGGGCGGACCCCACACCAACACAGTGAGCCCTTTACCTGCAGGGTCTAGGGCAGGGTTTGTCCTCATGCCTGGGGAAGAAAGAAAAGCACAGCGAGGCTCAGAGACCTCCTCCCAAGATTGCGGAATTAAAAGGAACAGTGAGACGGACAGGCTCTTTGCGACTTTTGTTGGAATTTGAGACTGAGCCACGTGGGCTCTGCAGATTCGCCTTGGGGAAGGATCGCTCTGAGGCCAGAAACATCCTGGGTTTCACAGTCGTGGTTGACAGAACTTGGTTAATGTTTTTGCTATTTTAAAAGAGGCTTTTTTTTTCAATTTAATATGTTTTTCTGACCAAAATTTAATTGATTTTTATATATGGAACTTTATTTCAGCAACTTGCTCACCTAACATGTTAATTATTATAAACTAGGAATAGAATCGCTGAGACTTTATATGCATAAATTCAACCGCAAATAGTAATGTTTTGGATTTTGTTCATATAAATACCTTCTATTTGTTTTTCTTAATTTACTACCCTGGGCTAGAATTTCCAATAAGACGTTAAAAACATGTGGTGATAAGCAGAAAAAAATCTAATTTCTAATCCAAAATGTAAAGCTTTCAGGCTGGGCACGGTGGCTCACGCCTGTAATCCCAGCCCTTTGAGAATCCGAAGCGGGCAGATCACATGAGGTCAGGAGTTCAAGACCAGCCTGGCCAACATGGTGAAACCCCATCTCTACTAAAAGTACAAAAATTAGCAGGGTGTGGTGGTGTGTGCCTGTAATCTCAGCTACTCAGGAGGCTGAGGTAAAATAATCGCTTGAACCTGGGAGATGGAGGTTGCAGTGAGCCGAGATAGTGCCATTGCACTCCAGCTTGGGCGACAGAGTGAGACTCCGTTTCAAAAAAAAAAAAAATTACATTAGATTAAAAAATAAAGCTTTTGTTGACTTACCATGTAGTGTTACAAAAACAAATCCCCAGAGAAAGAAATTCAACTTCCAGCTATACAGCCTCAAACCACTCCCTACTAAAAGAAGGAAAGTCATGCCCATTTGCAGGTAAAAAAAAAAAAAAACCTATTCACCACAGGCTCTGCCGTTTTACACAAGATATCTGTAATTCAACAAAAAATACGGAGCATAAAAAACGCCAGGAAAATATTCATCCTGCAAAGAATCAAAACAAGCATCAGAATCATGCACAGAGATGATGCAGGTGCTACAGTCATCAGACCAGGAATGTAAAATAATTGTGCTTCTGTCTCTAGTCTAAAGGGTAGACAATATGCAAGATCACGTGGTTGAATTTTAGCAGGAAATCAAAAAGATAAGAATCCAGCAAAAATCCTAGACATAAACATGAAAATGCAGTAAGAGCAATGAGGAATGCTTCCTTCCCAGTGGACAGGCTGTAGACTTGAGAGGCTGAGGAAAGAATCAGTGAACTTGAGTATAGGTAAGCAGCAATCTCCCAACCAAAATACAGAGAGAAAGGCGTGACCAAGGAGAACAGAATAGCTGAGAACTGCAAGATGCCATCAGAAGGGCTACATATGCATAACTGAAATCCCAGTGTAAGGAGAGAATGATAATGGGACAAAAGACATATTTTCAGAAGGAATGGTTGAAAATTTTCAGAAACAATTATGGACACCAAACCACAGATTTAGAAGTTAAGAGAACACCATCAAGGTAACTACTAAAAACAAAAATTCCTGAAAACAGTTATAGACAAATTCACAGTCACAATGGAATATTTAATCACACTTTTGTTTCCGTTCTAACGGAACAGGAAAATTTTTTAAGCAGTGTTATAGATTCAGTGTTTATGAGCTCCCCCCACATCAAATTTTTATGGTTGAGCCCTAACTCCAAGTGGGGCAGTATTTGGAGATGGAGCCTTTAGGAGGTAATTAAGGTTATAGTAGGTCTTGAGGGTACCACTCTCAAGATGGGATTAGTGCCCTCATAAGAAGAAGAAGAGACAGCGGAGCCCTGTCTTCACAGTGGGAGGATGACTCAAGAAGACAGCTATCTGCGAGCCAGAAAGTGGGCCATCTCCAGACACTGGGTCTGCTGTCACCTTGATCTTGGACTTCCAGCCTTCCTCCAGAACTGTTAGAAATGAGTGTCTGTTGTTTAAAATCAGCCAGTCTATGATATTTTGTTATAGCAGCCTGAGGTAAGACTAGTAGGAATTTAGAAGATTACCACATAGATCAGTTGTAGAATGCACATGATCCTTAAGTGTTTGTGGAATGTTCACCAAAACATATGATATGTTGAGCTATCACATGACAGCTTACTCATATTTTATAAAAGTCCTATAGAATGCATATAGTAACTGAGTAGAATTAACTTGGGATATATTTTATTACTAACTTTAGCCTATTTATTCCATGCTCTGTAATTCTCCCATGTATCTTATTCACAGATTTTCTAGTTAACCACAAAATCTAGGATACATATAGGCTCCAAAACGGACAAATATTGCTGCCATTAACACAGAGTTTCTAATATAGTCCCTTTAATCATTAATCACTAAGAGGACCATCTTTCCAGAATACCCACCCACCCCCCCCCCAACAAAAATTTCTCACATCCTATTACTTTATTTGGTGCTGTATATCTTTTGAAATAGGCCGATTTTCATTTAAGGAGGGAGATCACCTCAATCTTGGTTTGCAGCTTCCTTGATTACATTTCTTCTGGCTCTTAGGAAGCACTGAAGTTACTGTTAACTGAGATCTCTGACTAGTTGCCTTGGACTTTGATGGGACTGCTTACATCTGTTGAGCATAAGTTGAGGGCTTGGCCAAATACTGTTGGCCATTGATTGACAGCAGTTGGCAAATATCCAAGTGACATTAGAAATTATCTCAAATAGTGCTGAGACACTGACAGTATCCAGACTTTAAGTATATCCTTTGTTCTAGAGGATGCACACAGCAACCCTGAGTTCCTGAGCCCTGCTGGGGGCCTACCTCCATTTACACATCACCCCACATTTTCCTGTCTTTTATCACATGAGGGAGTCTCTCCCCAGTTGGATATAGTCTGTAATTACATGTCCAACCTCCCCACAGAGGTAATAAAAGTGAGAACTATTATGCAAGAGGACCTCGTAAACTCAACCAGCCACTTCCTCTACACATTCTCCACCGCCCCTAAAGGTAAGGTTGGTGTGTTTCCAGCTTACACTGCCTTAGTGTGGTAGCCACCACACCAACCAGTGTCTCTTTGACAATTTGCACCCAAGAGGATGTACACTTTTCCTTAGACAACACCCCAGAATAGCCACTCCATTCTTCTTTTGTTTGTGGGTGCCCTCAGTTTTCTACAGTTTGGACTTTCACCCTCTTTTCTCCAAATTGACATTAATAACCTAGAGCATCCCAACAGCCTTCAGAATGTGGAGCAGTCTGACATTGGCAAGCAGAGCTCAGTCATAAATTGGTTCCTCCAGAACTTGCTTCTCCTTCCCCTGCCTCTCTGTTCTGTCTTCCCTCTACATTAACCAAATTATTATTTCAAATTTCATCTCCAAGTGGAAAGACATTTAATAGTCTCTTAGTCAACCACTTCTTGGCATCTAAGGACATAGCATTGCTTCCTCTGCGGCTTTGCTTTAGAGCCAACAGCCAGTCCACAGCAGGTGCAAAGCTAGCTTTTATGTCATTCTTCCTCAGCACTTCTAAGATGGGACCACCATGCACACATTCCATCACCTGTCTATGCTGCTTGTTCTCCAAGATGCCTTAATCTGGGTTTGAAGGTCTGTCTTCACCACCCTTCTATGACTTCTGCCAAGATGCTGAATTTTCAGCACAAGAAAGTGTCTTCATCTGTTTTGTATTGCTACAACAGACTACCCACAACTGGGAAATTTATGAAGAAAATAGGTTTATTAGGTTGATGATTCTAAAGGCTGGGAAGTCAAAGAAGCATGGTGCTGCCATCTGCTCAGCCTTTGGTGAGGGCTTCAAGCTGCTTCACAGAGAAGGGGAAGGGGAAGCAGGCGTGTGTGGGAAGGAACCAAACATGAGAGGCAGCCTTGCTTTCTAACAACCTGCTCTCATGGGGACTAATCCACTCCCACCGGAACTAACCCAGTCTCTGGAGACAGACATTAATCTATCTTAAAGACTCAATCACCTCTTGCAGGCACCATGACTGGTTACATTGACAATTAAATTTATTTAAAAAAACTATTTAAAAAAAATCCTCTGTTTTGTTTATGTTTTTGTTTTAAGATGCAGGGGGGGATTCTCACTCCATTGCCCAAGCTGGAGTGCAGTGGCATGATCATGGCTCACTGCAGCCTCGACCTCCTGGGCTCAAGTGATCCTCCTGCCTCAGCCTCCTGAGTAGCTGGGAGTACAGGTGCATACCACCACAGCTGGCTATCTTTTAATGTTTTTGCAGAGATGGGGCTTTTCTATGTTGCCCAAGCTGGTCTTGAACTTCTGGACTCAAGCAATCCTCCTGCCTCAGCCTCCTAAAACAATTAAAATTCAAAAAGAGTTTTGACAGGGAAAACCCACATCCAAACCACTTTGGATGTGCCCCTTACAAGCTGTTTTTCTCATTCAATTGCTTTTCTCAACATGAGCAGTGTTGTTTCTGTTGCTGGCTTAGGCCTTCTCAATTAAGCTGTCATAACATTCACAGATTACCCTACCTCAGCAGAGACTATCTTATTTTTGGTCAAAATTACATGTCCTGAAATTTAGAAGTATTTTATGAAACCTCAACAAATTACCTTCACTTTGATCTTTATAAGTAATCTTGGTTGATTCTCTAACTCCCCAAGCTTTCACCAGGGCAGCTAACAGAACACAGAGAGAAAGTCCCTACCACAGCCCTGAGTTCCTAGGGCACTCCATTTGGGAAGCATGCTCATGAATACATTGGTTGATACAACTTGGTCATGCAATTACATGTTATTACCCAAACCACCTTTACCACTAGGTCTACAATACCCAGAGCATCTTAGGTATTAATCAAGCTCAATTGACTCTTCTTTAAAGGAGGGAGTGAAGAAGAATTCATCTTTTCAGCCTACTTCTAGTTAAAATAACCATGAGACTAGAAACACTTCTTGTGCGCTAGGTAGCACAATCTGGTGTATTATTTATTCATTTATTTTTATTTTTATTTATTTATTTATTTATTTTTTTGAGATGGAGTCTTGCTCTGTCACCCAGGCTGGAGTGCAGTGGCACAATCTCTGCTCACTGCAAGCTCCGCCTCCCAGGTTCACACCATTCTCCTGCCTCATCCTCCCCAGTAGCTGGGACTAGAGGTGCCTGCCACCACGCCCAGCTAATTTTTTGTATTTTTAGTAGAGACGGGATTTCTCCATGTTAGCCAGGATGGTCTCAATCTCCTGATCTCGTGATCTGCCCGCCTTGGCCTCCCAAAGTGCTGGGATTACAGGCGTGAGCCACCACTATTTAATTTTTTTTGAGATGGAATCTTGCTCTGTTGCCCAGGCTGGAGTGCAGTGGTGCAATCTCAGCTCACTGCAACCTCCACTTCCTGGGTTCAAGAGATTCTCCTGCCTCAGCCTCCTGCGTAGCTGGGATTAAAGTTGCCCACCACCACACCCAGCTAATTTTTGTTTTTTTGGTAAAGACAGGATTTCACCATGTTGGCCAGGCTGATCTTGAACTCTTGACCTCAGGTGATCCGCCTGCCTCGGCCTCCCAAAGTGTTGGGATCACATGCGTCAAAGTGTTGGGATCACAGGGGTCAGCCACCGCGCCCAGCCAATCTGCTGCATAATTAAACAAAAGTCTCTGACTATTGTCTTCTTATCAGCCACTTCTCCTTTTTGCATTCTATTTAACATAAGCCTGGAATCCACAAGGAGAAAAGCAGTTGAGAAGCTAAGAAAGGCACTGCCTCCTAAGAATGGTTTGGGATGGGAAAAAAAACCACCTTGCTAAGAGCTGTGTTATTATTGACATTTGCCTCCATCCCTACACTATAAACTCCTTGAGAGCAGCTTCCCAGATTATACTCACCATTAGTACCTCAAAACCTACCTACTATGACCCATGGGAGATGTAAAAAATATTTGTTGAATGCATGAATTGGTACGTCAAGAATTCTAGAGAATTGTCATTCATTAAAGATAAATTTGTTGTCTCCATGGAAACTAATCCTCTTCTCCTATCCTCTTCCTCCTTCAATATCATTACATAAAGTGCATTGCTACAGTAAGACTGCACGCTCCCTGATAGCTGACAGCAGTCTTTCAGTTGCAGAATCTTTGCAGGATGACAGAAAGACTCCTCTCACTGTAAGAAGTCTATGTTGGGGTTCCCATATAATTTTTCTTTCCTTGAAACATATTCTAAATAAGAGATTTCATGAACATTGGATTATGATTTCTGGACACATAGAGTGTAATTATTATTCTCTGACAACTCACGCTATTGGCCTTAAAAAATAAGAAAATATTTCCAACTTTCTAGAAAATTCAGCCAGTTTGATTTTCTTCTATGAAGAAGCGTTCATAGAAAAACTGAGAAAGGTCAGCATTAATACAAACCATGCATGCACCGTGATGTGCCTGGGTGGAGAGCATTGAGCATTTACTGAGCAACTGATAAATCTTAGCCGCTTCCTCCTTCTTACCTGCCTCATCGAAACCACAGCAGTCTAGCAATGTTCCTCCATTCAGACAGCTAGAGACCTGGGAAAAGAATCAGTAAGTCAGTTCATTAGAAGGAAATAGAAATGTTAGTCACAAGGAGGCCAGACCCAACATCTGCCACTTTACTTTGGATTTCAATCTCTGTGAAAATCGGCTGATAAAAAGTGTACGATGTGGTTCAGGGCAAGTTCACTGGCTAATAAAGATTCCCGATCGGCCACGAATGAATTATAAAAAGAAGCCCTGGCGTGGCTTATTCTTCTGAGACCTCCTTGAAAGACAGATGAATTAGGGTATGCCCAGCTATTTGTTTGTGGGCAGTTCTCAATGGTGCCCTTGTGGACTTCAGTTTTTATAAAATAACCCAGTAAGTTCCGGGAAAGCCAAGGGTTACTGAGATGACTTCTAATTCTGTTCATAGTTTATTGCCTTTTGAAAACACAATCTTCATGCTGAAAGAAATGTTAAAGATCACACAATCTAAACCTCTCTCTTTATAGAAGAAGAAACTAAATACTGAGTTCAATGTACTTGCTCTAGTTTACACAGCTGACCTGAGACAGAGGAGAGCTGGAATTAAAGACACCTGACTTGTAGCTCCCTGTGGTATCCAGCATAAGTGCTGCCTTGGGTTCACAGTGAGGGAACCCCATCATGCAGAGAGAATGTGTCCCACAAATTTGTTTGGAAGCTCATGACTTGGTACTTACGAATGTATTATCCCATAAGCACCACGTTGAAAATGGAAAATACATTCCTCCAAGTTCGTCTACAAAATCTAATTTAAGCTGTAACGTGGACAGAGCAGCATAGACAGGCTGCGGTGCAGGAAGATGTGATCAGCAGAACCCTGTGGGACATATTATTCTGAAGAATTGGACTTTCCAGAGAGCCAAAGATTTACTAATTCTAAAATACATTTTCTAGCTGTATTCATTCATTCCACAGGAATGTTTTGAGTACCTATTATATGCTGGTCACTCATCTGGGTACTGGGATGTAGCAGTGAACAAAAGAGGCCAAAATACCTGCCTTCATCAACGTTCCGTTCTAATGTCGTGAGCAGAAGCAAAACCAAATTACATCATATGTTAGAATGTGAAAAGTGTTGTGAGGAAGGTAAAACAGGAGCAGTGACACAGATGAACTCACAAAGGAGAAAATATAATTGTAAATCAGATGAGGAGCATCTATCACTGCAGTGGGTGGATGATGGAGACATCCATCACTGTGAAGGCATCCGAGCAATGGCTTTGATATGGTTTGGATCTGTGTCCCCACCCAGATCTCATGTAGAATTGAAATCCCCAGCCGGGCATGGTGGCTCACACCTGTAATCCCAGCACTTTGGGAGGCTGAGGAGGGCAGATCACGAGGACAGGAGTTTGAGACCAGCCTGACCAAAATGGTGAAACCCTGTCTCTACTAAAAATACAAAAAAAAAAAAAAAAAAATTAGCCTGGGCATGGTGGCATGTGCCTTTAATCCCAGCTACTCAGGAGGCTCAGGCAGGAGAATCTCTTGAACCTGGGAGGTGGAGGTTGCAGTGAGCCTAGATTATGCCACTGCACTCCAGCCTGGGCAACAGAGTGAGACTCTGTCTCAAAAAAAAAAAAAAGAAAAGAAAAAAAGAAAGAAAAGAAATCCCCAGTATTGGGGGTGGAGCCTGGTGGGAGGTGACTGGATCATTGGGGTGGAGTTCTCAGTTCTCATGAGTCATTTAGCCCTATCCCCTTGGTGCTGCCCTTGCGATAGTGAGTTCTCACAAGACCTGATTGTTTAAAAGTGTGTGGCACCTTCCCTCTCTCTTGCTCCTGCTCTTGCCATGTGACATGGCTGCTTCCTTCACCTTCCACCATCACTGTGTTTCCTGAGGCCTCCCCAGAAGCTGAGCAGGTGCCAGCACTGTGTCTCCTGTGCAGCCTGCAGAACCATAAGCCAACTGAACCTCTTTTCTTTAAAATTACTCAGCCTCAGGTATGTCTTTATAGCAATGCCAGAATAGGTTAATACAGAAAATTGGTACTGTGGAGTGAGGCCTTGCTATGAAGATACCTGAAAATGTGGAAGCAGCTTTGGAATTGGGTAATGTGCAGAGGTTTGAAGAGTCTGGAGGACTCAGAAAACAGGAAGATGAGGGAAAGTTTGGAACTTCTTAGAGCCTTGTTACGTGGTTGTGACCAAAATGCTGATAAAACTATGGATAGTGAAGGCTAGAGTGATGAGGTCTCAGATGGAAATGAGGAAATTTTTAGGAACTGCAGCAAAGGTCATGCATGTTTGCCTCAGCAAAAAACTTGTCTCCATTTTGTTCATGTGATAAGAATCTGCGGAAAGTTTAACTTGAGGGTGATGACCTAGGGGATCTGGTGAAAGAAATTTCTAAGCAGCAAGTGTTCAAGAAGTGTCATGACTGCTTCTAAAAGCCTAGCTCAGATGCAGGAGCAGAGAAATAAGTTGGAACTCATATTTAAAAAGGAAAGCAGAGTGTAAAGCTTTGAAAAATTTGCAGCCTAGCCATGAGACAGAGAAAGAAAAAGCTTTTTCAGGAGAGGAATTCAAGCAGGTTACAGAGCAACAACTTGTTAGAGATACTTGAATAACAAAGAAGAGGCCAAGTGCTGATAGCCAAAACAATGGGAAGAAGGTCTCAAAGGCATTTCAGAGACTTTCACAGCACCTCCTCCCATCATAGACCCAGAGGCCTTAGAGGGAACTCAAAGGGCCCAGTTACAGCTTGAGCTGCTGCTTCAGAGGGTACAAACTATAAGCCTTGGAAACATCCACATGATGTTAAGCCCACAGGTGCACATAATGCAAGAGTAAATGAGGCCTGGGAGCCTCCACTTAGATTTCAGAGGATGTTTGGAAAAGCCTGGGTGTCCAGGCAAAAGCCTGTTGCAAGGACAGAGCCCTTATGGAGAACCTCTGCTAGGGCAGTGAAGAAGGGAAATGTGGGGTGGAGCCTCCACAGAGAGTCCCCACTGGGGCACTGCTTAGTGAAGCTGTAAGAAGGAGGCCATCTTCCTACAGACCCCAGAATGGTATGCCTGTGGATAGCTTGCACCCTGCACCTGGAAAAGCTGCAGAGACTCAGATCCAGCCTGTGAGAACAGCCATCGGGGCTGAACCCTGCAAAGTCACAGGGAAGAACTGCTCAAGGCCTTGGGAGCCCATCCTTTTTACCAGAGTGCCTGGATTTGGGACATGGAGTCAAAGGAGATTATTTTGGAGTTTTACAATTTAATGGCTGCCCTGCTGAGTTTCAACCATGCATGGGTCCTATAGCCCTTTATTTTTGCTGACTTCTCCCTTTTGGAATGGGAATGTTTACTCCCACTGCATCTTGGGAGTACTAACTTGTTTTGCATTTCATAGGTGGGAGAGACTTGCATCATGTCGGATGAAACTTTGGACTTTGGACTGTTGATTTAATGCTTGAAGGAGTTAAGACTTTGGGGGACAGTTGAGAAGGCATGATTGTATGTTGCAATGTGAGAAGGACATGAGATTTGGGAGGGACTGGGGCAGAATGACATAGTTAGGTTCTGTGTCCTCGCCCAAATCTCATGTAGAATTGTACTGGAGGTGGGGCCTGGTGGGAGGGTGATTGGATGCTGGAAGTGGATTTCTCGTGAATGGCCTAGCCCCATCCTCATGGTGCTGTCATGATAGTGAGTAGATTCTCACAAGATCTGACTGTTTAAAAGTGTGTGGCACCTTCTCCCCCTCTCTTGCTCCTGTTCTGGCCATGTGATGTGCCTAGTCCCCCTTCACTTTCTGCAGGATTGGAAGATTCCTGAGGCCTCCCTGGGAGCCAAGCAGATGACAACACCATGCTTGTTGTACAGCCTGCAAAACCATGAACCAATTAAACCATTTTCTTTATAAATTACTCAGACTTGTGTATCTCTTTATAATAATAAGAGAAAGGTCTAATACAGACGTGAAGGAAGGGTCATGCCATGTGTACACAGGTATGTGGATATCAGCAGGAAGAGCATTTCAGGAAGGGGGAACACAAGCTCCCATTCCACAAAACTCAGTTGTGTCAATGACTCACTGCTGGAGGAACATCAAAGAGACTGTAGTGCTGGAGTGAGCGGAGTGTGCACAAGAATATTTGGATGTGAAATAAGACAGGGAAAATGAAGCCAGCTCATGTGGGACCAACTTCTTTATTTGTAATAAAAAGAGAAGCCATTTTATAATCTTGAACAGAGTGTAACATGATATGATGTAAGATCTTCAAAGGATAGCTTTGGGTTTTTTGTTGAGAGTAGACTTTGTCAACCAAACAAACAAAGGTGGGAGACCCTTTACAAATCAATTGGAATAATCAGGTGAAAAATCATAGTAGTTTTTCTAGGCTGGTAGTAGCCGAGAAAGGATAAAGAAAATGTGGCACATATACACCATGAAATACTATGCAGCCGTGAAAAAGAATGAATTCATGTCCTTTGCAGGAACATGGATGAAGCTGGAAACCATTATCCTCAGCAAACTAACACAGGAACAGAAAACCAAACACTGCATGTTCTTTCCCATAAGTGGGAGTTGAATGATGAGAACACATGGACACAGGGAGGGGAACATCACACACCAGTGCTTGTCTGGGGGCAGGGGGAAAGGGGAGGGAGAGCATTAGGACAAATACCTAATACATGTGGGGATTAAAACCTAGATGATGGGTGGATAGGTGCAGCAAACCACCATGGCACATGTATACCTATGTAACAAACCTGCACCTTCTGCACATGTATCCCAGAACTTAAAGTAAATTAAAAAAAAAAAAAGGAAGGAAGGCATTGGGCTATGGATTTATTTTTGACACTATGTTTATTGATACGGATTATAAGAAAAAGAAGAGTTTTGCCTCTGAAATAGGAAAACATGGAGTTGCTATTTATGGAGGTGTGGAGGGCTGTGGAAGGGGCAGACTGTGGAAAAAGACAGAGTTCACTTTGGATGTGTTAATGTCATGTCTGCTAGACATCCAAGTCAAGGTGTCAGTCTGGCTATTGGGAAATGTGGATATTAAATGTAATTGATTGATATAAAAATCTCTTTAAAGCCCAATGCATTTGTTCCAGCCCTTCCAAATAGTGTCCATGATGTTCTACCTTTTCCATGATGACTCAAAGTGATCATTATCTACATCTGAAGTGTAGGAGGTCTTCAGAGGCTCTTGTTACTTTGAGGGCTCTTCATTCTGCAGATGGTGTAATACTGTAATTTTTAAGACATTGAATCACCTTTCATCTTTATTGTTCTTTGCTGGTTATTGCCATATGCTAGTGCTGCCAGAGCATGTCCTGCTGGAAATCCCAGAGCAATATTTTCAAGTGAGGATTAAAAACAAAACAAAACAGCCTGGCGCAGTGGCTCACGCCTATAATCCCAGCACTTTGGGAGGCCAAGACGGGTGGATCGCAAGGTCAGGAGATTGAGACCATCCAGTGAATGGTGAAACCCCATCTCTACTAAAAAAAATACAAAAATTAGCTGGGCATGGTGGCAGGCACCTGTAGTCCCAGCTACTCGGGAGGCTGAGGCAGGAGAATGGCGTGAACCCAGGAGGCAGAGCTTGCAGTGACCTGAGGTCAGGCCACTGCACTCCATCCAGCTTGGGCAACAGAGCGAGACTCCATCTCAAAAAAAAAAAAAAAAAAAGCAACAACAACAACAACAACAAACCTGTAAGAGTTCAACCATCAGGCACAATAATACTTTGTATTTGGAAGGAATAAGAGACTGAACAGAATTGTCAGAGAGGTCCCAGGAGAATAAAATGAGTGTGTCATCATTGAATGAGGGAAGGAAGAGTGTTCAGAAGGGTTAAATGCCAGGAAGAGCTCGTATGAGATGAGAAGGGCGGGGCCTTTGCTGGACTTGGCAATCAGGAAGTCATTGCTGATGTTTGCTGGAACACTTTTCTTCCTGGCATCATGGAATAATAATTTTCTAAATGGGAGCGATAGGCACACAAGGAATTCCAAACTGGAGTTGTAAGGACTTTCCAAGAAAATAAAAGACCTCACCAGGACCAGCCAAACTTCTGCACCATTCAAAAATCTTTCAATGTAAATTCCATTAAAATTCCAAGGAGGTCAGCTGGAGGCTCCCTGTAGAAGACAGCCAAGGTGTCTAAGTTCCACCTGTATTAAGGGAATGCTGGATATTTTCAACTGTAATCTTAAAGACCATCAGTGCCGAAACTTTTCCTTACAATACTAGGTCCCAGGTACAATATTAAATTTTTTTCTTTTTTGTCTTCTTTTCCTGGATGTTTCAGATTCTCTTGGCATGGCCTTTAGGTATCACAGTAACAATAATAAAAATTGTTTATTGCTGTGATATCTTAATGATTTCAAGTGGTAAATTAATTTGCAGCCCATCTTCTTGAGGCTGGGAATGTTCAATGACTTGCTAGAAACCAACACGCCAGGCTGGTCACTGAAGAGCTTGCTGTCCTTGTTTTGGCTTCTTCAGGCTTTTTTGCCTATTTTTTCTCCTCTCCTATTTTCCCATTTCCTTCCTCCTTATTCTCCTCATCTCATGGTCATTTTTCTACTTAATCTCTACTGGGGGAAGCGCAGGTAAAACATGAATTGTCTATTTAAATTGTTAGCCACACTTTATCAACGGCTTTCGTCTACTCAACTTCCCCTCCCAGGTATTTAAATGTGAGCATCTTCTGACCCTGTCCTCAATTTCTGACCAATTACCTATTCAACATCTCTATTTCAGTGTCCCAGAGTTGCTTCAAACTGAAATCCAAAACCGACCACATGGTCTTCCCTCTTGAACAGTTATTCCTGCCATGTTTCCCACCTCAGGAAGTGTTAGCTCCATCTCCACAACTGCGCAGGCTGGACATTTAGGAGTCACCTTTGAGGTCTCTCTCCTGCTGTATTGATTCAGTCTTCACATTCTGTTAATTTCACTTCCTTTGTATGTCTCTTCACATCTGCTTCTCTCCACTTAAACTCTATTCTAGCAGAGACTGTCATCTGTCACCTGGGCCACTGAATCAGGCTGCTGGAGGCTTCTCCAGTCCAGTCTCTACACTAAAGCCAGAGAAGTCTCAATAAAATGAAAGTACTATTGTTCTATTCCCTTCTTCAACTGTTAGGACTTCTCTTTGCTCTTATGTAAGGACCAAAATCTGTAATAAGGGCTGGAAGCTTATTATAGTCTGTGTTTCCACCTCTATCTCTAACTCTTTAAAGAAGACTCCAAGCCTCATGTGAGAATGCAACTTCGGCCTAGTGAGACCCTCAAGAGAAGACCCAACTAAATCAAGCCCAGAATCCTAACCCAGGACAGCTGCAAGATAATAAATTTGTATTGTTTAAGCTGCTAACTTTTGGTAATTTGCTAAACAGCTGTGGAGACTCTATGTGAAAATCTCTACTTGGCTGTCACCAGAATATTGGCTTTCAATCTCTGCTGGAGTTGAAGGTGGGCAGTGTTTGGGAAGGATTCTGGGGGTGTGGGAGGAGGCGATGATTTGTCTGCTTCTTGTTTAAATTTAATTCATTCCAAACATATATTTAAAATATTTGTTGGGTGTTTACTAAGTATCAGGCATTATTACAGACTCTTGAAATATAGCAGTGAGCAAAACAGAGATCCCAGCAGTCTCAGAACTTATACCACGACCAACGGAGATGGATCACAAATTATAAACATATTTTTAAAAATAAGTTACATATAGGGAACCAGGTTTTAAGTATAGGACAACAGAGGACAACAGGGAAAGGAGCATCAGCAGGGAAATGGGGATCAGGTGTTGTAGGTTGGGTAACAGGGTATAATTTTAAATAGGGTGGCCAGAGCATGACCAATTGAGAGGGTGACATTTGAGTAAACTCTTGAGTGAAGTAAGGGAGTGAGGTTTGTGTTTGGATTCTGGGGACAGAGCATGCTAAGCAGACAGAATATCTTTTGCAAAGACTCTGGGGTGGGAGCATGGCTGGAGTGTCACACAACGGAAGGAGGCCAGTGTATTTGGAGTGAAGTTAAGGTTAAGAAGGGTCAAAGTGCATGTGTATGTAGTTGCATGGATTACATAGGGCCCTAGAGATCATTGCAAGGATTTGAGCTCTTCCTGTAATTGAAATAAAGAAACATTTCCAGAATTTTCAGAAGATGAGGGACATGCTCTCACCGACATGCTATGAAGATCACAGTCAATTCTCTGCCGAGCATGGACTCTAGGGGGAAGGTGAAGTGGGCGACTGGATTGGAAGCCAGGTGATGATCCAGAGCAGAGGATGATGCAGCTCTGTTGGCTTGGTACAAGTGAAGAAGTGACTGATTTCTAAAAGTTTAGTCATCTCACTTCTGCCTTTTACAGTTAGCTGATGCTGCCATTGCCTGAGACCCTGGAGACTCAGAGGCGTAAATTAAGTTAATTTTCCTTCTTCGTCATTGCTGCTTGGAAGTTAGTTTTCTCAGATAAGATTCTTCATTTACTTACCTTAAATCTGCTTTCCAGCTAATACATTTATTTTCCCTAATCCTCATAACCCGTGAACAGCTAACACAGTTTTGTTTCGCCTAGGGATGATGCAGTAATTTATTATGCAGGCTAAAGCCCCAGTGATGGTGAAATGGACAGTGATTGGTAACTGGGCTAGGGCCACATTGATGTGTGCAGAGTGGGACAGATGGTCATGAACTGTGGTCTCCTCTCCTGCTGTCCCTGGAACTTTGTGTTTATGCCTATAAAAAAGACCCTTTAGGATTATTTTGTGGTATTTTAGGCAGAAGCAAAAAATGAATATATTTGATCGATTTACTTGTTTACTCTGCTAAGAGTATTCTGTTGTTTTAATTTTTTGAAAGATGATTAATATTAAATTTTCTTCATCATGTGACTTTTTTAGTTTAAAAATTATTTTGGCTAAGTATTTTATTTGATTCGTAAATGTTTAGACAAGGATCATAACCCTAGGAAACAGCCAACTTGACGTTAGTTTCTATATTAGTCAGAGTTCTCTAGAGGGACAGAACTAATAAAATGGATGAATCTATGAAAGGGAGTTTATTAGGAGAATTGACTCTCGATCACAAGGTGAAGTCCCACAATAGGCTGTCCTCAAGCTGAGGAGCCAGGAGGCCAGCCCGAGTCCCAAAACCTGAAAAGTAAGGAAACCAGCAGTGCAGCCTTCAGTCTGTGGACGAAGGCGTCAGAGCCCCTGGTAAACCCCTGGTGTAGATCCAAGAGTCCAAAAGCTGAAGAATTTGGGGTCTGATGTTCAAGGTCAGGAAGCATTCAGCACAGGAGAAAGATGGAGGCTGGAAGACTCAGCCAGTCTAGTCCTTCCACGTTCCTCTACCTGCTTTTATCCTAGCCATGCTGGCAGCAGATTGGATGGTGCCCACCCAGACTGGGTGTGGGTCTGCCTCTCCCAGTCCACTGACTCAAATGTTAATCTCCTTTGGCAACACCCTCACAGAGACAACCAAGAACAATACTTTGCATCTTTCGGTCCAATCAAGTTGACATTCAATATTAGCCATCACCGTTTCTGACACATAAACATATGCACAGAAGGATGTTGCTGGATCTTTTGCTAATATTTTATTTAAAATTTCTTACCTATTATCCTTAGCAAAATTGGATCTTTTCCTACTGCTCTTTCCAAGGTGTTTTTGTTGTTTTGGTTTTTGTTGTTGTTGTTGTTATTTTATGTTGTTTTTAATCAAGGATTTGACAGCTTCAAAAGTGATCTGAAATAATTCTTTCCTTTTACATGTTCTGGAATAGTTTGGGTAAATTTGAGATTATTTACTACTTGCAAGCTGAGTATAACTCACCTGTAAAACATTTGACCCTGGAATTTCTTTGTGGAAAGATATTTAGTGATTCAATTTTGTAATGGTTATAGGACTGTTTTAGTTTTCTGCTTCTATTTGAACCATTTTTGAGAAATTATGTTTCTCTAGGAGTTTAAATATTTCACTGAAGTTCTTAAATTTATAGGCATAGAGTTGTTCATAATGATTTCCCACCTCTGATTCTCTTTAGATTTAGTTGTTATGCACATTTTATCACTCCTAGTTCTATTTATCTGTGCCCTGTTTCTTTTTTCTTAACCAAAAAAAGTATTTTTTTTATTTTTTAGCATTTGGATCATAATAATTTCTATTACAGATTTTTTAAAATTGTGTTAATATTTGTCCATACCTTTAGTTCCTTTCTTTATCCTTTCTTTGTGTTTTTACCCTATTGTTTTTACTTTAATTTAGAATCTTAGCTCATCAATCTTAAGTCTTTCTTCTTTTCCAGCATTAGCATTTAAGGCTACAACTTTCCCCATGAACACTGCTAGGCCTGCAATCCCTGGACAGCCTCTGAGTTTGCTTCCTGTCCATCCTCTGTGTCCTGTGAGGCCATGAAAACCAAAACCCCAGGTCTGCCTCTCAGCACGTAAGAATGTCTGTCTCTGAATTACAGGCCTGTTTACTGAGTTTTTAATTTCTGCATATTTCTTACTCGTTTGCCAGCTCATTGACAGGGGAAAGAGGAGCTTTAAAATACATATTTGAGGTTTTTGGTTGATTGCAGTGATGGTCTGGTCAGTCAGGGCTGCAACCTCATAGTCACTGAGGGTGGTCTTTTGCCTGCACCTTTGCCATTTGGGAAGCTGGACCCACTCGGCATTCTGCTTTCATGGGAAAAGGAGAAGGGCCTTCTCTCTCTCTCTTTTTTGTTTGTTTGTTTTGTTTAATTTTTGAACCTAAAATATTACTTAATTTATTTCAAACATGAAGTTTAAGTGTTTGAGCAAAGATGTTTTCAGGGACACCCCACTGTCCCTGGCATGATTATAAATTTGTACCTCAGAATTTGTTATCAAGTCAACATTCAATGATAGGTTAGCCAATAAGCCAAGAAGACTTCTGTAACTCTGCAGCTGTGGTTCTTAGTGCTCACCAGTGACCCCAGCTAGATATAACTTACCATGATAAAAGCCCCAGAGTGGACAAGGTTTGAATTTTATAAAAGGAATCTGCCCCATGAACATTGGTGGATGAAAACAGATGGTAGAAAGGCAGAAACAAAGGCAGTAGTCCCTGCTGTTAACTATGTGTTTTCATTCCAGATGTTTATGAACCTGATTTCACCCAGCCAAGATGTGATGCTACATTTGGATAACAAGGCAACAACAAGAGCACAGTAGCAATAGTTATTCCATTGAGGGCCAAGTCTTGTAGCCTAGTATCAGGTGTTTTTTTCATGTATTAGTTCATTCTTACACTGCTATGAAGAAATACCATTTATAAATAATTGACTCACATTTCTGCATGGCTTGGGAGGCCTGAGGAAACTTACAATCATAGTGGAAGGCAAAGGACAAACAGGCACCTCTTCACAGGGCAGCAGGACAGTGAATGAGTGCAAGCAGAGGAAATGCCAGATGCTAATAAAACCATCAGATCTTGTGAGACTCACTCATTATCATGAGAACAGCATGGGAGAACCACCTCCATGATTCAATTATATCCACCTGGTCCCACCCTTCACACATGGGGATTATGGGGATTACAATTCAAGGTGAAATTTAGGTGGAGATACAGAACCAACCCATATAACTCTGCCCCTGCCCCTCCCAAATCTTATGTCCTCACATTTCAAAACACAGTTATGTCCTTCCAATAGTCCCCTAAAGTCTTAACTCATTTCAGCATTAACCCAAAAGTCCAAGTCCAAAGTCTCATCTAAGACAAGGCAAGTCCCTTCCACCTATGAGCCTGTAAAATCAAAAGCAAGTTAGTGCATCCTAGACACAATAGAGATTCAGGCATTGGGTAAATACATTTATTGCAAATGGGAGAAATTGGCCAAAACAAAGGGCAGTCACTAAGCCTTAAAGTTCCAAAATGATCTTCTTTGACTCCATATCTCACATCCAGGTTGTGCTGATGAAAGAGGTGTTCTCCTACGACCTTGGGCTCTTCCAATTCTGTGGCTTTGCAGGGTACAGCCTCCTTCCCAGCTGCTTTTGTGAGCTGGTGTTGAGTGTCTGTGGCTTTTCCAGGCCCGCAGTCCAAGCTGTCCGTGGATCTACCATTCTGGGATCTGGAGGATGCAGTGGCCCTCTTCTCACAGTTCCACTAGGCAGTGCCCCAGTGGGGACTCTGTGTGGGGGCTCCAACCCCACATTTCTGCTCTGCACTGCCCTAGCAGAGGTTCTCCATGAGGGCTTCACCCCTGAAGCAGACTTCTGCCTGGACATCCAGGCATTTTCATACATCTTCTGAAATCTAGGTGGAAGTTCCATATGTCAGTTCTTGACTTCTGTGCACCCACAGGCCCAAAACCAGATGTGAGCTGCTGAGGCTTGGGGCTTGCACTCTCTGAAACAACAGCCTGAGCTGTTCATTGGCCCCTTTAGCCATGACTGGGACTGAAACAGCTGGGACACAGGGCACTATGTCCTAAGGCTGCAGAGAACAGGGGAGCCCTAGGCCCAGCCCATGAAACCATTTTATTCTCCTAGGCCTCTGGGCCTTTGATGGGAGGGGCTGCCATGAAGGTCTCTGACATGCCCTGGAGACGTTTTCCACATTGTCTTGGTGATTAATATTTGGCTTTTTGTTACTTATGCAAATTTCTGAAGCAGGCTTGAATTTCTCCCCAGAAAATGGGTTTTTCTTGTCTGTTGCATTATCAGGCTAAAAATTTTCCAAACTTTTATGCTGTGCTCCCTTTTGAATGCTTTGCTGCTTAGAAATTTCTTCCACCAGATACCCTAAATCATCTCTCTCAAGTTCAAAGTTCCACAGATTTCTAGGGCAGGGACAAAATATTGCCATTCTCTTTGCTAAAGCACAGCAAGAGTCACCTTTGCTCCAGTTCCCAACAAGTTCCTCATCTTCCTCTGAGACCACCTCAGCCTGGGCTTCATTGTCTATATCACTATCAGCATTTCGGTCAAAACCATTCAACAAGTTTCTAGGAAGTTCCAAACATTCCCACATCTTCCTGTCTTCTTCTGAGTCCTCCAAACTGTTCCAAATCCTACCTGCTACCCAGTTCCAAAGTTGCATCCATATTTTCGGGTATCTTTAGAGCAGCACCCCATTCTTATTAATCTTGGAAAACTACCCCTATGATTCAATTACTTCCACCTATTCCTGCCAATGACACTAGTGGATTATGGAGATTGCACTTCAAGATAAGATTTGGATGGGGACACAGAGCCGAACCATATCAGCATACAGTACAGCTATTTTTCTCAACACAGGGAAGGAGATACCCTTTGCTTTTTAAAGAAAGGCTCAGAGAGTTTATGAGCAATTTAAGGTTATGAATGTGCTTTCAAAATCTTCATTTTTAGGACAATTCTGAGGAAATCAGGAGGTAATATTATTAATAGGTTGTAAAGGAAAAAAAAAAAACAAGGATAGAGACATGAAGAGACTTTTCCAAGATCATACAGCTATTAAACAGCAAAGATGACTTTCAGAGATCTGAATCTTGTTCACTTTTCTATACAGCAATTCACCTGGGACCTTTTTATGTCATAGTTTGACGCACATGGTTTCTATTTGTCTATGGTCATAGCAGTGGACATAGTCTCAGTGTTAAGTTGGATTCTGATAATGGGCTATCTGGTGAGAGCACCACTCATTCCACTGTGATTGGAGGTGGTGCACTTTGGAGGATGGAGCAGGGAACACACAGCAGATAGACGGCCACTGCCAGACCACTCATGGTAAGGATTCGGTCTTTACCCTAAAAGTGAGCAACAAGAAGCTGGCAAAGGCTTTGGATTGGACTGCATGTTAGTGTGCATTCAAATATAATTTTGATTTTCATGTGCAGAATGGCTTGAAGGACGTGGGAGATCTTGGGAATACTTTTGCAGGTCTCCCAATGAAAGACTATAGCAAAGGAGTGGCAGTGGAGATGGAGGAAAAACAGATGGAGAAAGATTTTGCTGGAAAAATGATTGAGAAGTTTATAGGGACTGAGGAAAAGAGGATTCAGGAAAGACACCTAGTTTTCTGCTTCACGCAACTGATGATGGTGAAGCTGTCCTCTGAGTTAAAGAATGGGCAGATGGGGACAAGGACCATTGATGGCTTCTGAACAAACAGATGTTGCCCCCCACCACCCTATTTGACTCGGTGGGTGTGGCCCACATGGAACCTGGATGGGCCTGGAAGCCTGAATTTCCAGTGCATTCCAGGTGACACTGAGTTGCTGGCCTGACAACCAGATTTTGAGCAGCACTGCAGAAGAGGACCAGCTTTTAGGAGAAAAATCTCAAGTTCCATTCTAGTCATGTGAAGTGTAATATAATTATACTCCCCTCCCCCTGGTTTTACTCTGAAATCGGTGGGCACCTCCCACCCCTTCTGTTTCCCTTTTGGGAGAGGCACCATTTTTAGTGGAAAGTGCATGGTGCGTGGTAAGGAGAGCCCTTGCCAGGTGGACTGGGTAGTGGGCGTCTGGCTGCTCTTGTGTCCCACGCTCCTTCCCACCAAGCGCTCTGCCTCCAATCCTAACATAATGGCTGGTGCTGGCAACAGTGAGCCTGTTACCAAGAACCAACTCAACACTGAGACTGAAGCCTGAGCTCTAATATCAGCTCTTTTAGTTTCTCTCAGGGTGACTTTATACTAGTTATATAACCTTCATAAATGTCAGTTTTTAATCTGTAAAATGCCTATACCCAAGGTATTTACCTAACAGAGTTGCTGTGGGGCAGAGGGTGGACAATGTGTGTATGGGAAAGTGTACTGGAAAGTTCCCTGTAAATATTGGTTACCATCTGTCTATCTTCTCTGCCAGAGGGTGGATAGCATTGCATGTCTGCTAGCCTCTGTTGTGCATCATGGAATTACCTGCATATTCCAGTGTGGAAGCTCCTAAGGGCAGTGTACTCACACCTGTCCACAGGTGGAGCTGGCTCAGGTTTTGCTCATTTTAGGGGATTGGTCAACAAACATTAATTTCATTTACCTAAACATAAAGTCTCTTAATACATTTAGTTCATGTTCTCATTTCTTCATTTCCAATCCTTCTCTAGGCCTTTAAAGAACAAAATGTTATCTAGCACACTTAAATGTCCCTGCCTGCTGGCTCTGTGCAGCAGATCTCCCAGCACAGTGCTCGAGCTCTGCTAAGGGTCAGACTGCCTCCTCAAGCAGGTCCCTGACCCCTGTGTCTCCTGACTGGGAGACACCTCCCAGCATGGGCCGACAGGCACCTCATACAGGAGAGCTCCAGCTGGCATCTGGTGGGTACCCATCTGGGACAAAGCTTCCAGAGGAAGGAGCAGGCAGCAATCTTTGTTGTTCTGCAGTCTCTGCTGGTGATACCCAGGAAAACAGGGTCTGGAGTGGACCTGCAGCAAACTCCAGCAGACTTGCAGCAGAGGGGCCTGACTGTTACAAGGAAAACTAACAAACAGAAAGGAATAGCATGAATATCAACAAAAAGGACGTCCACACAAAAACCCTACCTGAAGGTCACCAACATCAAAGACCAAAGGTAAACAAATCCACAAAGATGGGGAGAAATCAGCACAAAAATTCTGAAAATTCCAAGACCAGAATGTTTCTTCTCCTCCAAAGGATCACAACTCCTCTCCAGCAAGGGAACAAAACTGGTTGGAGAATCAATTTGACTAACTGTCAGAAGTAGGCTTCAGAAGGTGGGTAATAACAAACTCCTCCGAGCTAAAAGAGCATGTTCTAATCCAATGCAAGGAAGCTAAGAATGTTGAAAGAAAGTTAAAGGAATTGCTAACTAGAATAACCAGTTTAGAGAAGAACATAAATGACCTGATGGAGCTGAAAAACAGCACGAGAACTTCGTGAAACGTACAAAAGTATGAACAGCCGAATCAATCAAGTGGAAGAAAGGATATCAGAGATGGAAGATCAACTTAATGAAATGAAGCACGAAGACAAAATTAGAGAGAAAATAATGAAAAGGAATCAACAAAGCCTCCAAGAAATATGGGACTATGTGAAAAGACCAAACCTACGTTTGATTGGTGTACCTGAAAGTGACAGGGAGAATGGAACCAAGTTGGAAAACACTCTTCAGGATATTATCCAGGACAACTTCCCCACCCTAGCAAGACAGGCCAAAATTCAAATTCAGGAAAGACAGAGAACACCATAAAGATATTCCTCGAGAATAGCAAGACCAAGACACATAATTGTCAGATTCACCAAGACTGAAACAAAGAAAAAAATCTTAAGGGAAGCTAGAGAGAAAGGTTGGGTTACCCACAAAGGGAAACCCATCAGACTAACAGCGATCTCTCTGCAGAAACCCTACAAGCCAGAAGAGAGTGGGGGCCAATAGTCAACATTCTTAAAGAAAATAATTTTCAACCCAGAATTGCATATCCAGCAAAACTAAGCTTCATAAGCAAAGGAGAAATAAAATCCTTTACAGACAAGCAAATGCTGAGAGATTTTGTCACCACCAGGCCTGCCTTAGAAGAGCTCCTTAAGAAAGCACTAAAAATGGAAAAGAACAACTGGTACCAGCCACTGCAAACCATACCAAATTGTAAAGATCATCGACACTATGAAGAAACTGCATCAACTAACGGACAAAATTAAAAGCTAGCATCATAATGACAGGATCAAATTCACATATAACTGTATTAACCTTAAATGTAAATGGGCTAAATGCCCCAATTAAAAGACACAGACTGGCAAACTTGATAAAGAGTCAAGACCATTGGTGTGCTGTATTCAGGAGCCCCATTTCATGTGCAAAGACACACATAGGCTCAAAATAAAGGGGGAGGAATATTTACCAAGCAAATGGAAAACAAAAAAAAGCAGGGGTTGTAATTCTAGTCTCTGATAAAACAGACTTTAAACCAACAAAGATCAAAAGAGACAAAGAAGGTCATTACATAATGGTAAAGGGATCAATGCAACAAGAAGAGCTAACTATCCTAAACATATAGTCACCCAATGCAGAAGCACCCAGATCATAAAGCAAGTTCTTAGAGACCCACAATGAGACTTAGACTCCCACACAATAATAGTGGGAGACTTTAACACCCCATTGTCAATATTAGACAGATCAAGAAGACAGAAAATTAACAAGGATATTCAGGAATTGAACTCAGCTCTGGACCAAGGAGACCTAATAGACATCTACAGAACTCTTTACCCCATGTCAACAGAATATACATTTTTCTCAGGACCACATCACACTTATTCTAAAATTGACCACATAATTGGAGGTAAAACACTCCTCAGCAAATGTAAAAGAATGGAAATCATAACAGTCTCTCAGACCACAGTACAATCAAATTAGAACTCAGGATTAAGAAACTCACTCAAAACTGCACAACTACATGGAAACTGAACAACCTGCTCCTGAATGACTACTGGGTAAATAATGAAATTAAGGCAGAAATAAATAAGTTCTTTGAAACCAATGAGAACAAAGACACAACATACCAGAATCTCTGGGACACAGCTAAAGCAGTGTTTAGAGAGAAATTTATAGTACTAAATGTCCACAAGAGAAAGCAGGAAAGATCTAAAATCGAAACCTTACCATCACAATTAAAAGAACTAGAGAAGCAAGAGGAAACAAATTCAATAGCTAGCAAAAGAAAATAAATAACTAAGATTAGAGCAAAACTGAAGGAAATAGAGACACAAAATAATCCTTCAAAAATCAATGAATCCAGGAGCTGGTTTTGGAAAATATCAACAAAATAGGTACACCACTAGCCAGACTAATAAAGAAGAAAAGAGAGAAGAATCAAATAGATGCAATAAAAAATGATAAAAGGTATATCACCACTGATCCCACAGTGCAAACAAATTCAAAAGCTAGCAGAAGACAAGAAATAACTAAGATCAGAGCAGAACTGAAGGAGATAGAGACACAAAAAAACCCTTCAAAAGCAATGAATCCAGGAGCTGGTTTTTTGAGATCTAAAATACATAGACTGCTAGCAAGACTAATAAAGAAGAAAAGAAAGAAGAATCAAATAGATACAATAAAAAAATGATAAAGGGGATATCACCAATGATCCCACAGAAATACAAGCTACTATCAGAGAATACCATAAACATTCTATGCAAATAAACTAGAAAATCTAGAAGAAATGGATACATTCCTGGACACATACACCCTCCCAAGTCTAAACCAGGAAGAAGTTGAATCCGTGAATAGACCAATAACAAGTTCTGAAACTGAGGCAGCAATTAATAGCCTACCAACCAAAAAAAGTCCAGGACCAGATGGATTCACAGCTGAATTCTACCAGAGGTACAAAGAGGAGCTGGTACTATTCCTTCTGAAACTATTCCAAACAATGGAAAAAGAGGGACTCCTCCCTAACTCATTTTATGAGGCCAGCATCATCCTGATACCAAAATCTGGCAGAGACACAAGAAAAAAAGGAAATTTCAGGCCAATATCTCTGATGAACATCGATGCAAAAATCCTTAATAAAATACTAGCAAACCAAATCCAGCAGTACATCAGAAACTTATCCACCATGATCAAGTCGGCTTCATCCCTGGGATGCAAGGCTGGTTCAACATACACAAATCAATAAACTTAATCCATCACATAAACAGAACCAGTAACAAAAACCACATGATTATCTCAATAAATGCAGAGAAGGCCTTCGATAAAATTCAACACTGCATCATGGTAAAAACTCTCAATAAACTAGGTATTTATGGAACGTATCTCAAAATAGTAAGAGCTATTTATGACAAACCCACAGCCAATATCATAATGAATGGGCAAAAACTGGAAGCATTCCCTTTGAAAACCAGCCCAAGACAAGGATGCTCTCTCTCACCACTCCTATTCAACATAGTATTGGAAGTTCTGGCCAGGGCAATTAGGCAACAGAAAGGAATAAAGGATATTCAAATAGGAAGAGAGGAAGTCAAATTGTTTCTGTTTGCAGATGACATGATTCTATATTTAGAAAACCCCATTGTCAGGCCGAGTCAGGTGGATCACGAGGTCAGGAGATCAAGACCATCCTGTGGATCACGAGGTCAGGAGATTGAGACCAACACAGTGAAACCCCGTCTCTACTAAAAATACAAAATAAATTAGCCAGGCTTGGTGGCAGGCACCTGTAGTCCCAGCTACTCGGGAGGCTGAGGTGGAAGAATGGCGTGAACCTGGGAGGCGGAGCTTGCAGTGAGCAGAGATGGAGCCACTGCACTCCAGCCTAGGCGACTCCAGCCTAGGCGACAGAGCAAGACTCTGTCTCAAAAAGAAAAAAAAAAAAAGGAAAAAAGAAAAAAGAAAAAAGAAAACCCCATTGTCTCAGCTCAAAATTTCCTTAAGCTGATAAGCAACTTCAGCAAAGTCTCAGGATACAAAATCAATGTGCAAAAATCACAAGCATTCCTGTACACCAGTAATGGACAAACAGAGAGCCAAATCATGAGTGAACTCCCGCTCACAATTGCTACAAAGAGAATAAAATACCTAGGAATACAATTTACAAGGGATGTGAAGGACCTCTTCAAGGAGAACTACAAACCACTGCTCAAGGAAATAAGAGAGGACACAAACAAGTGGAAAAACATTCCATGCTCATGGATAGGAAGAATTGGTACTGTGAAAATGGCCATACTGTCCAAAGTAATTTATAGATTCAATGCTATCCCCATCAAACTACCATTGAATTTCTTCACAGAATTAGAAAAAACTACTTTAAATTTTATATGGAACCAAAAAAGAGCCTGCATTGCCAAGTCAATCCTAAGCCAAAAGAACAAAGCTGGAAGCATCACGCTACCTGACTTCAAACTATACTACAAGGCTACAGTAACCAAAACAGCATGGTACTGGTACCAAAACAGATATGTAGACCAATGGAACAGGACAAAGGCCTCAGAAATAATGCCACACATCTCCAACCATCTGATTTTTGAGAAACCTGACAAAAACAAGCAACGGGGAAAATAATCCCTATTTAATAAATAGTTTTGGGAAAACGGGCTAGCCATATGCAGAAAACTGAAACTGGACCCCTTCCTTACACCTTATGCAAAAATTAACTCAAGATAGATTAAAGACTGAAATGTAAGACCCAAAACCATAAAAACCCTAGAAGAAAACCTAGGCATTACCATTCAGGACATAGGTATGGGCAAAGACTTCATAACTAAAATATCAAAAGCAATGGCAACAAAAGCCAAAATTGACAAATGGGATATAATTAGATGAAAGAGTTTCTGCACAGCAAAAGAAACTATCATCAGAGTGAACAGGCAACCTACAGAATGGGAGAAAATTTTTGCAATCTATCCATCTGACAAAGGGCTAATGTTGAGAATCTACAAAGAACTTAACAAATTTACAAGAAAAAAACAAACAACCCCATCAAAAAGTGGGCGAAGGATATGAACAGACACTTCTCAAAATAAGACATTTATGCAGCCAACAAACATATGAAAAAATGCTCATCATCACTGGTCGTTAGAGAAATGCAGATCAAAACTACAATGAGATACTATCTCATGCCAGTTAGAATGGCGATTATTAAAAAGTCAGGAAACAACAGATGCTGGACAGGATGTGGAGAAATGAGAATGCTTTTACACTGTTACTGGGAGTGTAAATTAGTTCAACCATTGTGGAAGACAGTGTGGAGGTTTCTCAAGGATCTAGAAGTAGAAATACCATTTGACCCAGCAATCCCATCACTGGTATATACCCAGAGGATTATAAATTATTCTACTATAAAGACACATGCACACATATGTTTATTGCAGCACTGTTCACAATAGCAAAGACCATGCCCAACCTAAATGCCCATCAAGGATAGACTGGATAAAGAAAATGTGGCACATATATACCATAGAATACTATGCAGCCATAAAAAAGGATGAGTTCATGTCCTCTGCAGGGACATGGATGAAGCTGGAAACCATCCAGCTTTTCAGAAAGCTAACAAACTAGCATTCTTAGCAAACTAACACAAGAACAGAAACCCAAACACCACATGTTCTCACTCATATGTGGGAATTGAACACATGGACACAGGGAGGGGAACATCACGTACCGGGGTCTGTTGTGGGGTGGGGGGCTAGGGGAGGTATAGCATTAGGAGAAATATCTAATGTAGATGACAGGTTGATGGGTGGAGCAGACCACCAAGGCACGTATATACCTATGTAACAAACCTGCATGTTCTGCACATGTACCCCATAACTTAAAGTATAATTTAAAAAAAAGAACAAAAATCTTCTCATTCAGTTATAGAATATAATACTGCCTTGGAATTATCCTCATTTGAAGAGCAGCACAGGAGTTCAGCCTCCTGTTGTCAACCTTACCTATTTTCAATGGCTCCAAAATCTAGTGTTGAAAGTGTTACAAAAAACTAAAATTTTACCTTAATATTTAAGATTTCAGTAATATATATTCACATATGTGTGCAAAATAACATAAAATATGACTTTGGCTTTAATGGCTTTATTGGCACTGATTTTTATCTTTTTATATCTGATATTTTGTCTAGGTCTATGGTTCACCTGAAATACTGATTGTAATGCCAGAATCCTTCCAGATAATAATATTTGATTTCTGATATTGCAAACAGTTATTTTATTTGATCCAAGTTATAATACAGTGAAGTATGAAAAAATTCTGAAAGATTTGAAAAAGTTTGTGCTACCCATCTGAGTTTTCACGACCTATCAAAAATCAGGAGGTTGTGATGCTGTTTGCCTAGTAATCAGAAGACTACTGTTGACACGGGGCTTACTTTAAACTTCAGGACTCGGTGAAAAGCCTTGTTACTTGCTTAGGACTTTACCCAAATCAAAGGAAAATGAAATTAACATAGGATAGGATATGTTCCCACAAAAGCTGCACATGGACATTTAAGGCAGCTTTGTTCATAATTTCTAAAACTTAGAAGCAACCAAGACGTCCTTCAGTAGGTGAATGGATAAACAAACTGTGATGCATCCAGACAAGGCAATATTATTCAGCAGTAAAATGAAATAAGCTGTCGAGCCATGAAAAAACATGGAGGATCCTAAGATGCGTATTACCAAGTGAAAGAAGCCCAACTAAGAAAGCTACAATACTATCTCATTCCAACTATACAGTATTGTGGGAAAGGCAAAACTGTGGAGACAGTAAAACACTCAGTGTTTCTTTAGGGTTGGGTTAACGGCTAAGAATTTTTAGGGCAGTGAAAATATTCAGTATGACACTACAATGGTGGATACATGTATTAGTCTGTTCTCATGTTGCTAATAAAGACATACCCAAGACTGGGTAATTTATAAAGGAAAGAGGTTTAAGGGACCCACAGTTCCACATGGTTGGGGAGGCCTCACAAACGTGGTGGGAGGCGAATGAGGAGCAAAGACATCTTACATGGCAACAGGAGAGTGCAGGGAGGCTCCCCTTTATAAAACCATCAGATCTTGTGAGACTTATTCACTACCACAAGAACAGCATGGTAAAGACCTGCCCCCATGATTCAGTTACCTCCCACTGGGTCCCTTCCATGACACATGGGAATTATGGGAGCTACAATTCAATATGAGATTTGGGTAGGGACACAACCAAACATGTCAGTACATGTCACCATACATTTGTCTAAACCCACAGAATGTACAACACCAAGAATGAACCCTAAAGTGAACTTGGGACTCAGTCAATTTGGGTTCATTGATAGCAACAAGTGAGCCTTCTTGGTGGGACACGTTGATAATGGGGAGGGGATGAGAGTATATGGGTTATATCTGTATCTGCTTCTCAATTTTGCTCTGAACCTAAAACTACTCTAAAAAATAAAGTTTTTTTAATAAAAAATAGGATTTCTTTTTGGAGGGTTGCTTCTAATAGCCTACTGCCAATTGTGCATGCAAGATGATTGAAAATATGGCAGGTGACATTGAGCTGTAAAGTGCACCAGATGATATGGTTTTGCTTTCCCTTTATATGAGTGACAGACCCAACGTTGATAGGTAAAATTATTTAAGTAATTTGCAGACTAGTCTGAATCACATACATCCCAGAAGCATGAAAATTTCGTTATGGCAGTAATGAGAATTTCTTTGCCAGTGAGTACCTACTTCCTACATAAAGTCAAGCCACATACAGTATTGTTATGTGTGTGTGTGAGAGAGAGAGAGAAAGACAGAGACGGAGAGAGAGAGAGAGAGAAAAAGTTCTCTTTTGTCTGACTTCCTTTTGCATGTATTATTAGCACAGTGTCTTTCTTTATGAGAAGTTCAATGATTGAAGGTGTTTATCATCCCATATTCCCCTGGCCACCTGTCCCATCTCCGTACTGCAGGTCTACTACCCACTTCCCATTCCTTTGTCGTTCTCTCTTTTCTTTTTGCCCTTTGGATTTTCCAGATGGCATGTCTAGCACTTCCTTTAGTATTTTAAGCGGACCCTCGCTTGCAGCATTGCTTCCTAGTGCACTGTCTTTTATAACAGAGTTAAAAATAGTTTAAAAGCGGAGTAGAAGCCACAGGATTGGGCCAAAGCCAAAGCCTCTAAACTCACGGGAGCTCAGTTGTTGCTTTAAATTTTGATGTTCATGTTTGTATATGACTCAGACCTCTGTGAAATGACAAGTCTTGAGTTGAACCCCCTAATAATAAGCACAAGATAGATCTTGGTGCATAAACCTGGTAAGCTTCATTCACTCTCAAGCCTAAAATCCAAAAGGTCCATCGCAGCCCAGACATCCTGTCTATAACTTTTTGTCTGTAATTACTTAGGGATTTTTTTGTTTGTTTTCTTCTTTCCTATGGTCTATGATCACCAAGTCAGCTGATACTTAACAAATAGTTTGATGTAGAAATTGACAATTTTATTCACAAAAGTTTTGTGAAGGGAAGTAGTTTTGCTTCCCTCTCTTCCCCTATAATTACTTCTTCCCAATAATTTTTTGATTTTTTTATAAACAAAAAACTACATGATCTAAAAGCCCTGCCCTTGTTTGTTTGTTTATTTGTTTTGCTTTTGTCTGTACTGGTTTGATCTAGAAACAGCAGGTTCTGGGAGACACCAACACAACTCTAGCATCAATTGATTTATGTGACTATACCCCATTACAGCCTTCCTATTTATAGACTGACCATTGTACTATTTTTCTTTTGTTACGGTACCATTAATTTTGGTCAATAATTGTGAATATTCTTAAATATACTTTATTTTTCTAAGGTGGTTTTCACAAAGTTACTCTTTTTTTTTTTCCTATATGAACTGGCACAACTAGAGTGTATTTAGTTGATTTTTTTACATTTTATAATTATTCTCACTCCACGAACTCACGTGCTTCTCCTAGGTTGCTTTGGTCATTGTCCTTTGAGTAACAGTCCTTATAGGACCAATGTTGTGTGTGTGTGTGTGTGCATGTGTGTGTGCATGTGCTTGATTTCATCTGCTCTGCATCCTCCTCTCCTTTAGAACTGTTTCAGGAAGCTCATGAATACACACATTACTTTAATTTTTAAGTGCTCTCCCATACATAGTGATAATAAAAGTGTAGGTCTGCAATCTGCCGTCTGTGATTCAGAAGTCCAAAACACCTGAAAAACCATGTTTTGAGTATTTGTTTAGTTACTCATATGGGGGCAAACCTGCCCTGCCCTAAAGTTATGAGACAGCCAGGCCCGCCCCACAGATGGAGCACCACTGTCTTTATTTAAGCTTCTTCTTCTGGTTAGCCACACAGTTTAGGGCAGCAGTAGGGGGTGTTTGATCACCAGAAGCTGTCCTAGACCTTCCAGGGTGTCATAATGTATAGCACATGCACCCTATAACTTTTCTAAGATCTGAAAAATAAGTCTGAATTTGACACACATCTGATACAAAGGGTTTGGGGCAAGGGTTTGTAGGTCTGTATTTTGAAGTAAAATTGAATTTGGGATTTTCTGCACTGTGATACTGTTTGTTTCACTAGTTTCAGTATAAATGGTGAATTGTAAAAATTTAGCCAAGGCCAAAATCATTTATTGAGCTATGATAAAATCCTGACCTTAGTTTTTCACCATTTCAAAAAGCGTTAAATGATTTCAGGAATTTGGAAATTCTAAAGTAATTAAATATTCACTAAATAATATTTCCCCCACGAATTAGGGCTTTGTCTTTAATTGATAATCTGACCTCCATTCACATTAGACAGTGGATGGTGTCATTCCAGAAATAACTGAGCATTCCGAGTGGGAAAATAAAGAGGAAAACATTTGCCCAAGTGCTCAAAGTTCTACTTGATCATTGTTTCAGGATGACATATGTAGGGCTAGCCCTATATAAAACTGTGAAGGGGAAAGAATTCACTTTGATCCCTACTCCCAGATATTTGCCTCAGCAAGCCTCCGAAGCCCCATCTTGCTCCCAGAGTAATTTAATATTTCTTAGCTAGTGACGAATCACTCCTGAGGTTCATCTTCTAATGACGTTATCATAGAGTGAGGCTCCGTCTAGGGACATTTACAGTGTAAAAGTTGGCACCTGGATTTTAAAAATGAAGTCGTCAAAGAATTAATCTAGAATTGTGGAATGACCAAAGTTAGGGTGGGCACATAGGGAGGAACTTACGTCTGACGAGCCTTCATATGAACCTGCTTGGCGGCTTGCCTCCATTGGTCACTCAGTTGCTCCTTTGTATTCTGGATATAGGCTTGATTTCTCCAGATTTGTTTTCCCTTTCCAATACACTATACTTTGATAAAATGGAATAGGTGAAAAAATAGTGGCTTACAGCAGAATGTAATTGGCCTTGAAATCTAGGGTATAGGAGATTGGACAGGGGCTCTCTCCCAAGGTTAAAACATTATTCTGAAAATCATCTTTCACAGAAGGCCTGCCTTTGTGCTACTTCTAAGTTACATAATTAGAGGAAGAAGAGGTACTTAATGGTGGTCCAGGTGAATATTTGATTTCTGTCACTTTTAATATTCATTTCCATTTGTCTTTCACATGCTAACAGTTTGCCATCTGTATAGTAATAGCTGTAGTCCAACCCAGTGCCAGGGTTCACTGACAAGCTGGAGAGCCACTGCGAATCTGTGGGATGAAGATTACTTTAGAGAATGAAATGGCAACAAGTACACAAATGCAAAGAAGAGTTTTGGATTTGGATTAAGAAGTTTAAAAATGGTATCCTTAACCCAGTTTGAGCATACTTAAAGAATTCCTTTATATTTGTGTAATTATTTGTAATTAGAATGTTCATTTATTGGGAAATAGAGAAAGACATTTAACATCACTTTGCTTTAGTGACGTCCTGTAGGCAGCTATGAGAGTCTCATAATTCTAAATTGTTTTTATCTACATAGTAGATTCATATCATATGCATGATTAACTTGCAGGCTTTCATGTATCATCCACTACTTAGTAAAAGGAGAGACGGGAAATAATTGGAATGACGTAAGCACCTCAGCCAGTCATTGGTCCCAATGAGCACATGGCCCGAGTGAAGCATCAGGCTGGGAGTCCCACAAAAAGCCTGTGGAGTCTGGAAACCTCTAGGAGCAGAGATGGACCCGATGCAGAGACAGGAGCCTCAGCCTTGGAATGGTAAGGGCGTTCATTCAGCCAGCAAGGAGCTTGGAAACGAACTCATCCCAGAGTCCTCAGAAATGAATGCAGCCCTGTGGACACCCCAATTGTGCAACAAGCAAAATTAATAAAGCTTGTTTAAAATGGAGAAATTTGGGAAAAAATAACATGAAAGTCATTCCTGCAGTATTTTATACTGAGAATGTGTATGAATTTTGTTGTTTGCATGCATCTCAATGGGACTCTTTCCTACAAGTAAGCAAGCAATCCTGTAGTCATTTTCCATAGAAGTGCATATTCCATAATTGCACATATTTATTATGCTTCAAAAATGGCACATATTTTAGGTCAGAAAAACCACACTATTGAAATCTAATATTTTCTTTCTGTTTCTTTAATTTCATTCTTACTATTTATCACTAGGCTGGAAATATTATGCTAAAATGAAAGAAATGGGAATTAGAGATTGATGTAAACCATGGAGAAGAAAACAACCCTTACATGTTTTCAAGAAACTACTCAGGGTATTAGTATAAATCTAACTTCATCACTTGCAAAATATATTTCTTTGTTTTTGGCTTTATGAAAATTACACATTCACTTAGGTTAAAAAATCAAACCATTCTACAAGGGAGAAAAATAGCAGTCCTCCATCATGTGGTCCATCTTTAGAAGCAGCCACTTTCAAATATTGATTCTGATATTTAGCTATTATTCTGATAGTTGCTTCTATATCTCTGAATGAGATTTGCGTATTATTGTTTCTCTTTGTTTCTGGTTGGGATAGTGTCTAGTGAATTTCCATTTTGTAAGTTCAGAATTTAGATTTGTTGCCCGCATTCTACATACACCAGCAATTCTCCTACACCCAAACTCCAAACCCAGTTATATTACAGTTTTGAGAGAAAATATCAGTGTTTCCTTAATTGTGATCACACAGGTGATAGTCACAGTGGAGACTTATGGGTATAACGATTGCATTCTCTTCTTGTACGATATTTTTGTTTGTTTTCTCTGTTGTCTTATTTGGTTGTTACATAATTTGTTCCAATTTCTAATTTAGGTTCAAACTGTATTAGAAGGACAGTCTCCATCATGCAATGTCTGCATGCCCTCCTTTTCTTGAAACATCCCTTCTATAGCCCTTGGCCCTACTGATCCTACATGGGCCAGTTTCCCCCTCGTCCTGTTTCATTGCACTTAACCAGGGAGTCCCACTCATTACTGTGCTGGCAGGTCCCTTCTCTTGCAACCTGAGTTAAATCCCCTAAACCATTTCTATGTTGGTTTATCACTTAAATTGCGGTGGAGCCCATCCCTTAGCAGCTTTATAAGAAAGAATGCCATGTGGGAGGTAAATTATTGAGACATATGCATTAGGGTCACGCTAGGCTGATTGTAACTGATAATCTAACCTTCGTGGCATAGCCAAAGAGTTCTGCTTTTATTTTTGTTTCCACATGGCGAGAAGCATGAAGGCAGGAAATTCAGGTCTGGTGTGGTCACTAAGGTCTCAAGTCCATTCCATTCTTGCTTTACATCACCCTTGGTGTTACTTCTAAGTTCACATCTGCACTCCAAGAAGAAAGAGGGGAACAAAAACTTCTCCTTACATACCTGTATTTTTAAATAGGAGAAACAAAACCTTTCCAGCAGAATTCCACATATATCATATTGACTGGATTTATGTCACATAAATACTCCTGCATGTTACGATGCTTACTTTCTGAGCACTCTTCTGTGATAAGCAACATTGTGATGCTGTTAATAAGGAAGATGAGGGAGTAGAGAGTAGTATGTAATTTTAGTGGAATCCATCACACCATGTATGCCTATCTATCTATCATCTATCTATCTATCTATATTTTTTCTATTTATGCTTTCATACTTTATTATTTGTTTAACTGAACATAGAATTCTGGGTTGGAAACTACTTTTCCTCAGAATTTGAAAGCATTTCCTGTTGTGTTCTCACAGAGACTGCTGCTACGTAAAAGCTCACCAGACTTCAGGTTTCTTACACTACTGATGTAACCTCCCCCCACACCTTCGCCTGTGTTTTGCGATTTCAGGATTAAGTGTTCCTTTGTGACCACCAATGTGGGCTCTCACTGAAGTTTCTCCATCTGTCAATCCATGTCCTGCTGCTGTGGATGGACTCTAACTTTAGTTCTGTGATAATGTCCCAATTCTCTTTTTGTGGGTCTCCTATTATTCAGATGTTGGTCTACTGAATGGATTCTCTCATACTCTTACCCATTTTTCTCTTCCATCTTTTCTTTATTGTTGTTCTACTTTCTAGGAAATTTTCACAAGATTATGTCTCAGTCCTTCTATTGGAATGTTTGTACATCCCATCACATTTTAATATGAAGGGATATTTTGGCTCTGAATCTCCTTCCTTCTCATATAAACTCTCATTCTTATCTTCTCTTATTGTCCTGAAAATATCAGGTTTTTCTATTTTTTTCTATAACTTTTATTCTCTCCAAGTTTCTTAGTTTGTCTTTTGTTTGGTTTCTTCTTCTTTTTTTATATTAGGGGTTATTCTCATATGCCTGAAAATCCTTGACCCTCAAAAGCTAAATTCAAGGTTTCCTGCTTCCAAAATATTGTTGCTATAATCCTTGATTCTGATG
This sequence comes from Homo sapiens, assembly GCF_000001405.40. Lineage (NCBI taxonomy): Eukaryota > Metazoa > Chordata > Mammalia > Primates > Hominidae > Homo > Homo sapiens. The sequence goes on along the minus strand of NC_000002.12, from coordinate 2,362,911 downwards.
GGTTGGTCATACTTCCTTAGGCTTTTGCCTTCTTTTGATCCCTTTGCTATCACTTTGTGAGCATTGAGAGTAACCAGAAATGTACCATATTAATGAGGATGGCAAAGTTATTTGTCATCTTTAAAATGCACAGTTCTTATAGTTTCCTTTCTCTAATCCTTTTAGCAACCTCTGCCCACTTAACCAGTGGAAGAACAAATATTTAGAACTCCCTGAAGTAAGAAATAAGAAGCAATATTTCTTCCAACTCAAAATGTATCCAGGAAGTCTATGTATGAGATCAGCTTACAGTATTCACTTCAGACCCCAAATGACGATATGTTGCCTGACAAGTATACAGAAAAATTGTGCTGAATACTTAAAATATAGCTCACCTAAAACTTTATTTATGGTAGTCTGACTAATGACATCCTGACCTAGGAATTCAAGAAAGGGGTACTTTTCCAGGCTGTGTATTTGAGTCCTTCAGACTCTGCCCTAACCTCACCCTTGGAAACCACATAAAAGTTGCTATGATTGACACAGGGAGGGGAACATCACACATCAAAGCCTGTAGGGGGTAGAGAGGTAAGGGGAGGGAGAGCATTAGGGCAAATACCTATTGCATGCAGGGCTTAAAACCTAGTTGATGGGTTGACAGGTGCAGCAAACCACCATGGCACATGTATACCTATGTAACAAACCTGCACATTCTGCACGTGTATCCTAGAAATTAAAGTAAAATTTAAAAAAATAAAAAATAAAAGCAAACAAACAAAGTTGCTACAGCTATCTGTACCCCTGACTGGAAAAAACCTACCCCCTCTCCTTCTTTGCTCACGCTATATCCCAACTCCCGTGGTTCTAGATATACCTGGCTTCAGATATTTGCTCATACTATGGTTCCATGAAGTATTTTTCACCTAACAGTCATCTAGAAATTATTCACACATTTTTTATAGAGTTTAAAAAATTACATATGAATAATGATGATTGTCTCAAGCCTTAGACAAAGAACCTTTACAGGCTTAATATTTTCCATAACATACACAATAAATAAAATTTTTAAAGGCTGATTAATATTCATGTATGTCTACAAGTTCTGTAGAAATCATTTCAAGGAGCTGTAAATAATTTATTGAGGAGTGATAATCTCATACTTAAACAGAAAACCTGGGAAACGCAATAAAACCTCTAATAGTAAGGAACTCCCTATCAGTTAAACCAAACCTCCCAGCAGCAGTAGTAGTCCACTTGACTATAGCCAGCTCCCTAACAACTTCGCCTATTTGGAATTCAGCTGAGGACATAAATGCAAACATCAAAGTTCTCCAAATGGCCCCACGAGACTCTAAAACTCTTTTATCTTTAAACTTGTAATCATAAGAAGGTTTTTCCAACTCTCACTTGGAGTCAAATTTATTTTTCACAAAATTCAAACAAAAATATTGTCTTATTCTAAAGCTGTATGATGGAAAGACGAAAAGTGAGCTGGGATAGGTAAGTATTCTAATGAGAGAAAACTAAATAGCTAGCAAGATAGAAGACAGAAAATATATTCTAAAATGAAACTGAGAAATAGAATGAACCATGTGGTACTGAGTTAGATTTAGAGACATCAGTATGATCTCGTGTTTAACTTAATATAGAAACAGATGGATAGATACAGAAATAAGTGTATATATGTGTGCATTTATCAGTTAGTATACATACATATATTTCCTAGCTCTGTCTGCTAAGATAGTAGCAGTGACACCCAGCAGCAATAAGCTCACCCCAAATGCAGATCTTGGTTTCTAATACTATTCTCCTATAAAAGAATCCAGGGATCCTTGGATAAGTTACCAATTTCAGGGCTCTACAGGAAATACATAACATGATCCCAAAGCATCTTTTAGTTCCAGAAAGAAAGGAACTGCTGAAACAGCACAATTATGTGGACATGTTAAAGGGACAAAGGTGTCAACCTGCTAGAGCTCCCAAGGATGAAAGCTGAAAAACTTTGAGCAGCAAAATAAATAAGAGTATTGGATTAAAACCCAAAGTATAAAATAAATATTCATGAGTTCACACTGATATAAATAAATGATTGAATATGTAAATAAAAAAGATTTCTTAGCCTGTTTTCTGATGTTATTATTGAATACTAAAGACTAGGTAATTTATAAAAGGATAAATATATATTTCTCACTGTTCTGGAGACTGGAAAGTCCAAGAGCAAGACACTAGCATATGGTGACAGTCATCCCATGGTAAGAAACCAAGCAGGAGTGAGCATGGGAGACAGACAGTGAGGAAGCAGGGGGGAGAGAGACAGTGAGGAAGGGCGGCAAACATTAGGAGACCACTCCTGAAATTACTATCCCATTCTCCAGGAAATGGTATTAATTACTTCATGAGAGTGCAGCCATGATGACTTGATTCCCTCATAAAGGTTCTGCCTCTTTATACTGTTACAATGGCAATTAAACCTCAACATGGGTTTTGGAGGGGACATTCAGCCCGGAGCAGTGAGAGAAGGAACAAATCTGCCTCACAGATGAATTTCAAATAAATTATGTAGACACTCTACCCTCAAGGAGTTGGAGCATAAATTACCACCACTTAAGTATGGGCTGGTGACAGTGACTTCCTTCCAAAGAGTACAGTACAAAAAGGGATGAGGGGAAAGACCCTTATAGAGGAGCAACTTGGCCAACACTACCTCAGTCAGGTGATCAAGCCCAACATCAATAGCCCTAAATCATGTTGATGGCACTTACCTTTGATAGGATATTATGAGTGTTGAAATTTACCTCTATGGTCTTCCTCTCCAAAATATAGCCCTCCAGTCTAGCTTTGAGAGAAATGTCAGACAAATCCAGATTGAGAGACATTCTCCTAAATACCTGACCAGATCAAATCTGTCAAGGTCATCAAGAGCAAGGAAAGTCCGAGAAACTGCCACAGCAAGAGGAACCTAGGGAGACAGACATGATGACCAAATGAAATATGGGATTCTGGATGCAATTCTGGAACCAAAAAGATAACTTTAAGTAAAAATGAAGGAAACACAAAGCGTGAACTTTGGTTGTTAATAACATATCAATATGGTTCCTTAATTGCTTCAAATATAGAGTAGAAACTGGATGAAGAAGAAGAAACTGGATGAAGAGTACACAGAAATTCTCTTTACTAAAACATATTTTTAAAAATAAAAGGCAATAGAACTCCAAGTATTGCCAGTTTGAAGTAATTTAGTATACATGCAGCCAAATTTATATAATACAGTGGAATGTAAAAGTGGAAAAACCTATTTTTACAGACTGATACATCTGAGTTCAGTTTCTAGGTAAACACTTTCTAACCCTATATTTTTTTGGTGTACTTAACCTTTGCTGAGACTCAGTTTTCTCATCTGGAAAATTGAAATAATCATAGTATTTACATCATAGAGCTTTATGAACAATAAATTATTAATTAATATAAAGTACTTAGCACCATTCCTGGAAGATAAAGATCATTCAATAAATATTAGCTATTATTATAAAATATTAAAGCACAATACACTAATGTTCACAATAATGGTCTAAGATTTTTGTAACAGGTGAGATTACATATAGAACAACTTTATCAAGAACAAAGAAAAGTGATACATTATAGAAAGTCCTATCCAATGTGTTAAATGAAAAATGGACTCATTTAAGCACTGCAGAGAGAGAAGTGGACAGTAGGCGTTGCATATGTGGGGACAAAGTATCAGAGGTCTTCACAGGCTGTGATTGTTTTCCTGGTAGACATTCTACTGAACGTGGGCTGGAGAGCTACATGGTGGTGTGGGAGCCATAACGTTCAAGGCTGAAAGTTAGAGATGCTACAGTCATTGTAATAATGGGGCCTCCTGATATGAATGTGGAAGTGAGGACCTCTAACAAGAAAACTTGACTTCCTCAACTCAAAATACCCTTCTCTGATAATTTGAGTAACCAAAATATTCCTTCAGATAAATTAATCTTTTAATTAGAAGAAACAACAGTGTTAGAGGTAGTACATTCACCACCAATCTTTCCAATATTTTGATCATAGTTACTCAATGGAGTGGATGACTTGGAATGATAAAATGTAAATATTGGAGAAAGAGTCCCTGTTTACCTCTTATTGGATGAACATGCATGCTGTCAGGGATTCAAATGCATGCTTTCACTGGGTTACCTGTTAACTTGGCACTTCAACTGTCTCTTCTAAGTCTGGGAATAGATTTTGCAAATTCCCCTTCCAGGTGTGGCCGAGGGTTAGAGTTGGCCAAGGAGCAACTCCATGAATCTGGGGTATGAGTGAACTGGGAGCTTCTATGTCACTGGCTGGAATTTCTCTGACCAGATTTTCAGGAGTAAAAGTACTCGGAGACTGAGCCAACAAAAGCAGCAAACAGGCTCTTTGTTGTCTCTTTCATCTCTCTTTAATAATTCCTCAATTCCCTGGTTTTCTTTGTAATCTGTGGCATGAGTTCATTCAATCTTGCCATTTGCCCTTTGATGGCAAATGCTCAGAAGACAATGACCCTGCAAGCTCCTACAAGGTCAGAGGGTTTGTTGAGCCTTAAAGAGCCCCAGTACAATATCCCCTTTTGCCTGGAACAGTCCCGGTTTATTTCTTTTTATTTCAATCAAGAAAGAATGGTAAAAAGTCAATTTATTAACAAGAACTATTTATTTTGTGTATTTATTTTTATTTGCATAAATGTATGGGGTACAAGTGCAATTGTGTTATATGTATATATTACTAATAGCCATTCTGACCGGTCATTCTGACTGGTGTAAAGTGATATCTCATCTGTGAAGTCTGAGATTTTTGTGTATCCATCACCCAAATAATGTACATTATATTCACTAAATCATCTCTCATCGTCTACCTTCCTTCTAACCCATGACCTTCCAATTCTTCAGTGTCTATCAGTATGTTCATTTGTACAAATTATTCAGCTCCCACTTATAAGCAAGAACGTTTGTATTTGTCTTTCTGTTTCTGAGTTGTTTCACTTAAGACAGTGGCCTCCAGTTCTATTCATGTTGCTGCAAAAGGCATAATTTTATATATTTAATGCCCAATAGTATTTCATTGTGTATATATACCACATTTTTATTCAATAATTCGTTGATACACCCATGGGTTGATTCCATATCTTTGCTATTGTGATTACTGCTGCAGTAAATATACAAGTGCAGGTATCTTTCTGATATAATTATTTCTTTTTTTCTGGCTAGATACCCAGTAGTGGGATCACAGGATCAAATGGTAGTTCTGTTTTCAGTTCCCTGAGAAATTTCCACGCAATTTTCCATACAGTTTGTACTAATTTACATTCCCATCAACAATGTTTAATAAGTGTTCCCTTTTTTCCACATCCTCCCCAACATCTATTGTTTCTTGTCTTATTAATAATAGCCATTCTGACTGGTCATTCTGACTGGTGTAAAATGATATTTCATTGTGGTTTTTATTTGCACTTCGCTGATGATAAGTGATGTTGAACATTGTTTCATATGCTTCTTGGCCACTCGTGTGTCTTCTTTTGAAAAACATCTATTCGTGTCCTTTGCTCTCTTTTTAATGGGATTATTTGGAGAGTTTTGTTTAGTTGTTTTATTTCACTTTAAATTCTGGATTACTTTCCTATTGGATGCATAGTTTGCAAATATTTTCTCCTACTTTGCAGACTGTCTGTTCACTCTGTTGATTATTTCTTTTGTTGTGCAGAAGCTTTTTAGTATAATCAAGTCCTATTTGTCTTTTTTTGGTTGTTGTTTTTGCTTGTGCTTTTGAGGTCTTTGTCATGAATTCTTCACCTAGACCAATGTTCAGAAAAGTTTTCCATAGATTTTCTTCTGGTATTTCCATAGATTCAGGTCCTATATTTAAAGCTTTAATCCATCTTGGGGTTATTTTTGTATATGGTGAGAGATAAATCCAGTTTTATTGTTCTGCATATAGCAATCCAATTTTCCCAGCACCATTTATTGAAGAATGTTCTTTCTCCATTGCATGTTCTTGTCAACTTTGTCAAAGATCAGTTGATTGTAGATATGTGGCTTTATTTCTGGGTTCTCTATCTTGTTTCATTCACATATATGTCTATTTTTATACCAGTACTATGCTGTTTTATTTACTATAACTTTTAATATAATTTGAAGTCAAGTAATGTGATGCTTCCAACTTTGATCTTTTTGCTTAGGATTGCTTTGGCTATTCAGGCTCTTTTTTGGTTTCATATGAATTTTAGAATAGTTTTTCTCTAATTATGTGAAAAATTTTGTTGATATTTTGATTGATAAAGATTGCATTGAATCTGTAGATTTGTGGATGTTTTTCTGTTTGTGTCATCAACAATTTTCTATTTGTTTGTGTCATCAACAATTTTCTTTCAATAATCTTCTATTGTTTTTCTTGTAGAGATCTTTCACTGCCTTGGTTAAACATATTTCCAGATATTTTGTTTCAGTTTTCAGCTATTGTAAATGGAATTACCTTCTTGACTTAGTTCCCAGCTTAATAATTACTGGTATATAGAAATATTACTGATTTTGTACTTTATTTTGCATTCTGAAACTTCATTAAATTTATTTATTAAATTTAAGAGATTTTTGGTAGTGTGTTTAGGGTTTTCTAGATATAAGGTAATATCATCAGAAAATTGATAATTTGAATTGCTCTTTTCCAATTTGGATGCCTTTTCTTTCTTTCTTCTGCCTGATTGCTTTGGCTAGGACTTCCAGCACTATGTTGACTAGGCATGGTGAAAGTAGGCATCCTTGTTTTGTTCCAGTTTTAGAGGGAATACTTTCAAATTTTCCCCATGGTAGGATGTTGGATGAGGATTTGTCATAGATGGCCTTTATTATTTTGAGGTATGTTCCTTCTATACCTAGTTTGTTGAGGGTTTTTATCCTGAAAAAATGTTGAATTTTATCAAATGTTTTTCCTACGTCTATGAGATGATTATATTTCTTCCTTAATTCTATGTATATCATGTATCCTTTTTATTTATTTGTGTATTTTGGACCATCCCTGCATACCTGGAATAAAACCCACTTAATCATGGTGTATTATCATTTCGACATGCTGTTGCACTCAGTTTGCTAGTATTTTGCTGAGGATTTTTTCATCTATGCTCATCAGGGATATTCGTCTGTCATTTTCTTTTTTTGTTGTGTTCTTGTCTGGTTTTAGTATCAAGGTGATACTGGCTTCATAGAATGAGTTAGAAAGAATCCTTGCCTCCTTAATTTTTTGGAACTGTTTCAGGATGATTTATATTTCTTCTTTTTACATTTGGTAGAATTTGGCTATGAATTTATCCGGTCCTGGGATATTTTCGTTGGTGTTTAGGGGAGACTTTGTATTACTGATCAATCATGCCACTTGTTACTCTTGTTCCTGGTCAGTTCTGAATTTTTATTTCTTTCTGGTTCACTCTTGAAAGATTGTAAGTTTCCATAAACTTATCCATTTCTTCAAGGTTTTCTAGTTTGTGAGCTTATAATTATTCATAATAGTATCTGATGATCTTTTGTATTCCTATGGTATCAGTTGCAATGTCTTCTTTTTCATTTCTGATTTGTTTATTTGGATTTTCTCTCTCTGTTTTTCTTGGTTCATCTACCAAATGGTTTATAAATATTATCTTTTCAAATAATTAACTTTTCACTTTGTTGATCTTTTGTATTTTTTTGGTCTCTATTTCATTTAATTCTTTTCCAATCTTTGTTATTTATTTTTCTCTGCTAACTTTGAGATTAGTTTGTTTTTGTTTTTCTAGTTCCCTGAGGTGAGAAATTGGGTTGTTAATTTGTGATCTTTCTATCTTATTGATGTACGAATTTGATACCGTAAACTTCCCTCTCAGCACTGCTTTTTCTGTATCCCACAGGTTTAGTATGTTGTCTTTCCATTTTTATTTGTCTTAAAACACATTTAATTACCTCCTAATTTTTTTGTTGACCCAGCGATCATTCAGTAGCATGTTGTTAAATTTCCATGTATTTGTAGAGTTTCTGACATTCCTGTTGGTATTGATTTCTAGTTTTATTCCACAGTGTAATAAAACCAGTAGTTTGAGAAGATACTTGTTTTGATTTTTAAAAATGTATTGATATTTGTTTTGTGGCCTAACATATGGTGTCTTAAAAAATGTTCCACAGACATTGAGAACACATGGACACAGAGAGGGGAACAACACACACCAGGGCCTATTGGGGGATGGAGGTGAGGGGAGGGAACTTAGAGGACAGGTCAATGGGTGCAGCAAACTGCCATGGCACCCGTTTACCTATGTAACAAACCTGCACGTTCTGCACATGTATCCCAGTTTTTTTGTTTGTTTGTTTTTGTTTTGTTTTGTTTTGGAAGAATTTTTTTTAAAAAAGTTCCATGGGCTGATGAGGAGAATGTATGTTCTGCAGTTGTTGGGTTGAATGTTCTGTAAATGTCTGTTAAGTCCACTTGCTCAAAAGTCCAGTTTAAGTCCAAGTGTTTCTTTGCTGATTTTCCGTTTCAATGGTCTGTCTAGTCCTGTGAGTGAGGCATTGAAGTCCCCCACTATTACCCACTGTTGTTGTGTTGCTGTCGATCTCATTATTTCGATGTTGTAATATTTGTTTTATGAATGTGAGTGCTTTCATTTTGGGTGCACACATATTTAGGAATGTTATATTGTCTTGCTAAATTGATACTCATATATTTATATAATGACTTTCTTTGTCTTCTTTTAATGTTGTTGATTTAAAGTCTCTTTTATCTGATATTAGTATAGGAAGTCCTGCTCACTTTTGGTTTCCATTTGTGTGGAATATATTTTTCTATCCCCTTACTTTCATTCCGTATGTGTCTTTATGGATAAGGTGAGTTTTCCGTAAGTAGAACATGAGAGTTGGATCATGTCCTGTTTTCTCAATATCATTTTGCTTTATCTGGATTCCTGGAAACTTTCATCGTAGTGAGGTGTTATTATTCTTACTTGAATACAAGCAGGATGGATGGGGTGGCCATCCACTTTGTAACTACAGCTACCACCTTGGCCTCACAAGGAAATGTCTGTAGTGCATGCAAGATGGATAGATTTTCTATGTTCACATGTGGTTAAATCTGACAGATGACCAGCTGTAACCCATTCTCTTTGTTCAACACTCTCTAATACAGTAGAAATAATAGCTATTTTTCAAGGTCAGCATGCCCATGAATAAAACTAAGTGTTTTTAGATGAGAGAAGCTGGGGAAAGCTGGCCCTTTGGTCTGGGTGGTGGTTGAAGATGTGGTCAGAGATGCAGCCCTTGCTGACCACCTCCTGTTCCAGCTAGTGTCCTGGCAGTGGGAGGCCCTAAAACACCCAATGCCTACTACAAACTAAGTGGGGTGAGATTGTATTATGGTTGGGTAAATGTGAAGTATGCATAAAAAAATCAAAGTGCTGTACTAAATTTAGAGGGTGGTCTGGATAACTTTACTACAATTGTTCTGGCATTCATTTTGTTATGTAAATATTTAGCCATTTATTTCATATTTAATAATAATTTTTAAATTTTGCAATAGACCTGTTTTGCAGTTATTCTTTAACCAGAGAAAAGAAGAAAGAAGAAAGAAAGAAAGAAAGAAAGAAAGAAAGAAAGAAAGAAAGAAAGAAAGAAAGAAAGAAGAAAGGAAAGAAGAAAAATGAAAAGGGGGAAATATATCATATAGGAGTCTGTTTAATGAAAAAATAAACATTTTTCTCAAGAAGTTCAATGACAATTGTGTAACTTTTACACTATGTTTGCCAAAATTTCTATCTAATAAAGGAACGTCAGTGATGTCACTAAGCATATAAAATTCATAAGGCACAAATCTTCTAAGAAAACTGTTGTATCTCTTTGAAATATTCAGATGTTTTTAATTGCTTTTTATTTGAAATAAATTTTGATTTACAACAAAGTTGTAGAACTTGAGAGTGACCTTATGCCCTTCACCCATCTGTCCCTAATATTAACAAGTTGTATAATCATGAGTCAATTATCCAAGCCGGGAAGTTAACACGGTGTAATACTACTAACAGGCTTTATCCGTAATTTCCCGGTTCCCCCACAGCCCTTTTCTTGTTCTAACGCCCCACATACACTGTGTATACTTTTCATGTCTCCCATGCTTCCTCTAATCTGTGACAATTCCTCACTTTCTCTTTGTCTTCCATGAACTTGATGAACATGAAATCTGTGCCTAAAGACAATAATGTACTATGTGTGACTGCAGAAAGTGTGTGACATGTCACTCAGCGAAGCGGAACATTTCCTTTAGATCAAAAAAGTGTTATAAATTAATTTATCTCTCAGATTCCAAGCTTCCCTGTGCATGTACGAGAAGTGAAGCAATCACTGCCATTGTTCCAGTTTCATTAGCTGAAGAAACACTTTGCAAACGGCTGCAGGAAGCCAGTTTTACTTCAGTGTCATAGATGCCTCAAGTAGAGAAAGCAAGAAATCGGTAAATTTGGTGAAAAGGTTAAACATTGCAAAAAATTATTTATATTTTCAGTGATATTAATAGTGTACATGTTGATGGAGCCTGGCATAATACAACGTAGGTACTAAATTAAGAAATTTTGTTATACATAAACACACATAAATGTTGTCAATTAAACCATAACAAAGCTGAAGGGGGAGAAAAGAAGCCTATAGGACAGAAATGCATTTACAATTGGTTGTGGCGTATTGAAATGTAATTCATATTTCAATTGAAACAATCTTTTTTTTTTTTTTTTTTTAGATGGAGTCTCACTCCGTTGCCCAGGTGCAGTGGCGCAAACTCAGCTCACTGCAACCTCCACCTCCCAGGTTCAAACAATTCTCCTGTCTCAGCCTCCCGAGTAGCTGGGATTACAGGTGCAATCTGCGATAAATGATAGTCTAAGTTAGAAAAATAAGCTGTAGTTTTCAAATACACACACAGAGAACTCCAATTTTTTTGTGTCAATTATGACAATGAATTAAAAACAAAATTCAACATGAGGGTACACACTTTCTCTTCTTGCTGCAGTTATAATTAGATTTTTTAATAAAAATATTTAACTGTTTAGAAAATTACTTTGTAAATAAACTCAGGTCATTCTTTGGGTTGAATAATTTGAGAGATACCTGATTTTTACTTGGATAATTGTATATTCAGTGAAATATTTAAAATACTACACACAAAGTTTATTCCGTAGATCTTGTCTTAGAGAAATATCTATCCAAGGAATAAAATCTAAATGGGTTTGGTTTTAAACTAAATTATCAGTCAATTAACTTGTTTTTTTTAATTACACTTTAAGTTCTGGGATACATGTGCAGAATGTGCAGGTTTGTTACATAGGTATACACGTGCCATGGTGCTTTGCTGCACCCATCAACTGTGCACAGCAAAAGGGACTATCATCAGAGTGAACAGGCAACCTACAGAATGGGAGAAAATTTTTTCAATCTATCCATCTGACAAAGGGCTAATATCCAGAATCTACAAGGAACTTAAACAAATTTACAACAACAACAAAAAAAGCCATCAAATAGTGAGCAAATGATATGAACAGACACTTCTCCAAAGAAGACATTTATGTGCCCAAGAAACATGAAAAAAAGCTCATCATCACTTGTCATTAGAGAAATGCAAATCAAAACCACAATGAGACACCATCTCATGCCAGTTAGACTGGTGATCATTAAAAAGTCAGGAAACAACAGGTGCTGGAGAGGATGTGGAGAAATAACTTGTTTGCATTTTATGATTCCTCTTTATTTCCATTTTCTCAACTATTATATGGCTGTTACACTACACACCTCGCAGCTCTTATGTGAGGAGAAAATGAGACAATTAATAGATGTAAAGTGCCTACCACAATATATAGCACTTAAAACTATTCTATAAATGGTTGTTATTATTGTTTTTCCAGACTTTTTATATCTAAATATCTGGAATATTGCAGTGGCTCAATAAATCAATACTGTAAAGTAAGTTAGTTAAAAGTGCCCAGCTGGGATAAAACAACTTTGTGCTTTTATATTTGCCTAAGAATTTATATAAATTAAGAAATACTTTATTTCTTAATAAATCAGTGTGGCCTGTTTTATCTTCTGGCTTTTCTTATGATCGTTAGTGCATGGGGGAATTCTCATTTGCAATACCAGAACTTTCTCTCTGTAGGACTCCAGTTGACATCAACTAATGATTCTTGCAGACACGGGAACACATCATGTAAAAACAATGGAGGGACTGGACTGTCTTGTATATGTGATATTTATTATTACTATTGAAACACGTGAGCATGAGCATTCAATGAGCCACAGCTTTGGCAAAACTTGGCAGTGAGGTTAGAAGTTATGAAAGCAGAGAGAGGGGGTTTCGTAATTGGGTTCTGAGTTGTTCACATGCAGTAGAACAGGATGATTTTGCCTGACATATTTGACCCCAAGTGATTACAAGTTGTGATTGATCACTGAAGGAAAGTAGTTCAGAAGAGAAAGTGCTCATCTGCAGAGTACCTAGAGGCATGGATGAAGGCACCACTCTGCCTTCCCACTAACCCACAGAGGTGGTGCCTGTGATCCGCTCCCAGAGCCTGTCAGAGCCAGGCAGTCTGTCCCTGTCCACAGGGCCCCACTCTCACAGCAAAGACAGTGCCACATGTGGGAAATTTGGGTGTCAGGTGTCTATTGAGGAAGAAAAATCAAATTATCTGTAAGGAAGAAAGAAAATTTGTATTATAGTTTCCTTCCTATTATTCTTTAAAGGAAGCGACGCACGCTTGGAAGTTAAGCTTTCTGTAACTAAACAAGAAAGTCGCAATGACAATGCAGTGGACAAAGAAAATACAAAAAAGCAAGAAAAGATGCATGAAGTAAACTTTCTGGTAGAGAGAGAAGCTAATAAGGTGTAATAATGACAAAAAAAGAAACAAGCTAAAAGTAAGCATGAGAGGAGGATTTCGGGAGAGGTTACTGATGGTAATAGGCCTAGCTCAGGTGTACGCTGGCAATGAAGACCTCAGAGGCACAGAAGGAACAATGGAGGCACCCATGGGAATTTATTAATGGAGAGAATATTGTGACAACAAGAAAATTTCATTTTGTTCTAGTCCAGAGTAAATGAGGAAAAGAGAAAAGAGATACAGACATCAGAAGAAGAAATTGTGGTTAATAATAAAGACACTCTGTCCCATTCATGTTGTTGTCAGACAGGCTCTAGCCAAATTTTAAGAAACAGGAAAGTGATTAACACAGGTTTACAAAGTCATCATGCATGAAATATTTAGGGAACTCTCTTCATGTCCAGCAGGAGGCTACAGCTATATGAAATAAACTGTATAGTGGCTATAAACATAACACGAAAAACAGTTTTAATGCTTATATGAAGATAAATATTCATCAATATTGTTCAGAAAATTTACTAAATATAAGTGGAAGTTATTGCAAAAATAAAAACAAACTTGGAAAACCAAATTTATCCTCAGTGCTGAACATGACAGTAATTAAGAATTAGAGAAAAATTAGTACTAAGCACATTTGGAATAGAATCGAATGATAATTTAACTAAAAAGCATAAGGACTAAATTTCAATAAAAATTCCTGATAAGAGAGCAAATCTACTTTAAAAATATCCTATATGCACAGATGAGTTCCTTCTCTGTTCCCTTTCTCCACCAAAAATTGGTAAAATCCGTTGAAGAGAATTAGGGAAAATAAAAAATGGTATGTGTGTGTTAATATACAAAATATAAAATAAACATTAAAGGGCAGTGGATGCTTGTATTTAAAATGTTTTAGTTTTAGAGTTGAACAAAAAGTTAAACTTGAGCATAGGATAATCACATTTTATTCTTAATTTTAATAATTTAAAAATTGTTAAAATTTTAAAAATGTATTTTTGACATATTGTATGTATTTATTCCTCTGTCCTATTATTGGTGAAATAACCGTGACAAATAATAATTCACTGTAGGTCAACATTAGCAAAAGAATTATATTGTTCAAGACATCAGTCTTGACTGCTTAGTATGAGGACTTTCTTCTCTTTATATTCTTTAAATTGTTTCTTCGGTGTTCTAAATTGCCTTAGTTTTATTTTTTATAAATTTTTTCCATCTTCTCCTGAAATAAGTTAACCCCCAAGAGATCATTAATTCAATATGCCCAAGTGGAGTTTAGAGGATTGATAGTGACCTTTCTGTGTTCCAAAGATTAATATATTTTTCTCAAATCCCCATTTAAATTGCTTGATCATGAAAAAATTCCTCTCATTTCCGAGCTGGTGAGTGTGCAAGGAGAGTCTCAGTGTGTCTATTTTTTAAATATAAATGTATATAAGTACGTGAGGAGCCAGATTATCAGAACTTTTGGTCTGTGCCTCCTCTGCTTCTTCAAATATACTCCATGTTTCTAATGACAATGCGAACAATTATCAGGATTCAGCATTCTTCAACTCAATACACTTTGAGTACTTATTTTATAGAATATGTTATTCTTGGGTGTGCAAAGCATAGAAAGATAAATAATTCATTCTCTTTGGGGAAAATCAGCCATATGTCAAATCACTACAAAATAGAGTATTCCATGGTGAGGGTTAAACCAGAGGAAAACCCAAATAAGGTGACAGAAGAGGAGGGGAGCCATGGGAAACCCTCCTGAAATTCACCCAGTTCCTTGAAGGGTGGTGGATAAGTCCTTTTTTAATAGAGATTTCACTTTCCTCCTTGTTTTCTTTGAAGACAGCCAGAGGTGAAAAGAGGTGAAGTAATGAAGATGAATTGGAATGAAATTTAGGGTTCTAAAATCTACTTTTTTTTAACGGTACTTCTGCAGGTTCCTCCCTTTCTGGCATCAGCTTCTATCAATGTACGGCACCACACAGGCTGCTCGCTTTGAGGTAAGCCTTAGTTCTTAATTCCAGGGATCACTCTGACAATTACTTTTTCTTTCTTTCCCTCTTTTGAAACTGCTTTAGTTTTTCTTAGATTTTGCTTGTTGAACATCCTTATTCATTCATTCATTCATTCATTCATTCACTCATTTGTTCAATTAACACATTCAGTAGGCAGCTAACTATTGCCCCATGTGTTGCTGAGTATTAGTGTAACACGAGTGAACAAAGCAGGGCGGTTTCTCACCTCATTGGTTCTGTGAGCAAAGAGACAAGTCTCTTTGAGAGACTGGCGGGAGGATGGAGGAGAGCCACAGAATGTGCCAGGTGTCAGTCAAGGCAAGGAGAGTGGGAACACTCAAAGAAAATGTGGGGAATTTGGGAGATAGGTTTGTCCAGATAGACCTGGGAAGGAGGGCAGGCAGGTGGGTCCAGGACATGGAGGTTCAGGGGAGAGAGCTGAGGGAATCCCGGACAGCCTGGCTTGGTGGAAATTTGTACATAAAAGTGCAGTGAGCTTTGTAAGATCCTGAAAGAAATGTGAACCAAGGATTTTTATATCCAGCCAAAAAACACCCTCAAGCCTCAGGGAATGTGTTCCCATAAGTTTTTCTTGAGGAGCCTTCTAGACAGTGAGCTTCTGTGAATCAAAATCACAAAGCAGATTTGAATGGAAAGACTATATCATCATTAAACAGACAGCTCCTCATAGACATTACACTACATATGGGTAAAAGGTAGAAAGGATCATATTTAATGGTTATATCCTTTGACAATATAACTATAGTTCAACCATAAAAATGAAGGAAGAACCAGACAACCAATTGGAAAAATAATTTTGAAACTTCTCCGTAATCATATTGATGGTGGTAATATTTAGTACTGTCATTTTGAGACTAATACACTTTTTAGGGCTAAAGCAAAAAGAAAGTAATTATGGGATATTTTAAATAAATCATCTGCACAGTCCTTGATAGATTTTTTAAACAGAAGAAAGTAGATGTGAACTATATAAGTGATACAGTTTGGCTGTGTCCCCAGCCAAATCTCTTCTTGAATTGTAGCTTGCATAATTGCCACCTGTCATGGGAGGGACCCGGTAGGAGGTATTTAATCATGAGGGTGGGTTTTTCCCATGCTGTTCTCATGATAGTGAATAGTGGACTTCCCCTTGCACACATTCTCTTGCTTGCCACCATGTAAAACATGACTTTGCTCCTTATTCACCTTTAGCTGTAATCGTGAGGCCTCCCCAGCCATGTGGAACTGTGAGTCAATTAAACCTTTTTCCTTTATAAATTGCCCAGTCTTGTGGATGTCTCTATTAGCAGCATGAGAACAGGCTAGTACAATAAGAGACTACATGAAAAACCTGTGGTCCTGAATTTGATGGGAAGTATCAATAGGAACTTATAACTTGTTTGATCTTGTTTGATCTCCTGGCTGTGTTTACTGAAAAAGCCTAGAAACAATGCCAATGCAGCGGCAACATTCATCCCTAGCCCCAGATTGTGGTCCAGAAATATCATTCCTCAGGAAAACAAATTAGAACTTCTCAGGAAACTGGAGCAGAAGGGTACAAAATGAGCCCGGGACATCGTGACATACCAAATGGAAAGAAAGCTATCAAAGACTACTGGCGTCATCTTGAAGACACAAGGTTCACCCTGAAGAGGCCCCACCACCCAAAGATGGAACAGCTTGAGCTTCAATTAGGAAGATAATGATAATGCATAGAAACCTAATGAATATGTTTAAATCCACCTCATTAGAAAACTTTTTAAAAAATTAAACGGTCACCTTTGAAGGATGATAGGAAACTAATTATCTTGACAACAGTTAAAAAAAGGAAAGAACCAAGTACTTATTCTGCCTTTCCCACATGAAGTCTACCAGAGACCAAATCGTGCAGGTGAGGGAAGCTTCTCCTTGTAAAAATATTCCATCTAATAAGGAAAAATTAAGTGATTGAATTAGAACGTCAGCATTTTGTAATCTCCACAGAATCCATTTATCTAGTCACTGAGCAGCAACCACTGATAACACCACCAAAATATCCCAAACATGACGTGCTTCCTCATGGAAACACTTGGCCCCATGAAAGGCAGGCCTTAGGTGTGGGACGCAATCCTTCTGAAGCCTGGAGTCCAGGATGCCCTAGGCAGGAAACTCAGAGGACAGAAGAACATGTTGAACTGCACCATGCACATGAAGTTAAGAAAAATACAGGAGACTCCATGATCCAGGTGAATTTGTGGAGGAAGAAGGCCGCTGTGTTCAGGACTCAGCACGTGGAGAGCCTGGTGTGGGGGGCTGGAAAAGTCCTATTTTTTTACCTGAGTGGAGGTCAAGAGAGTGGTTTCCTTCAGAAGAATTTATTTTCTCTGCATCAGTTCTGTGTCATATTCCTGTATCTTTTTTTATTTTATAACTTAAAAAGGTTGAAAGACAAAATAGAAAAGGCCTATGATGTATCTATACTGTTATGTTTGGAGGAAATTAAGATAAAGATAAAATGGTCTTAGGCTATGCTGGCAAACATTATATATGTTTTAAAATATAAGCATTTTTAGATACTTAGAAAAATACGGGAAATATATAATACCAAGTACACAACATAAATTACCTAATGTTAACATGTTGTCATTTTTTTCATTTTTTAAAAAATAAATGCAACACTGAATATAAGTTAGGTCCTCTTATGCTCGCCCAAATTCTCATTTCCTTTATTCCCCAACATTCCTCCCTAGAGGGAACTAATGCCATGGTTTATAGTCACAAAAACAGGAACAATGTAGCCTCCAGCATTGATTGAACATATTAGGTGTGGACACACTTTGCTCACTTTATAGGAATCAACTCTTGGAATTGTCAGAACAACCTCATGAAGCAGGTGCTGCTGTTTTCCTCATTTTGCACAGGAGAAAACACAGGCACAAGGGTCATTCGCTGACGACCTCAGAGCTAGGAAGCCACGAAGCCAGTGCCCAGACCCAGGCAAGTGGCTGTGTGGGTTCAGGGTGTCTGTGCACAGAACCACCAGGGCCAGCATGACTGCATGGAGTAAGCGTGATAACGGAGTGATGATCTTGCATGCAGAAATCGCACCTTACCTCCTTATGGTTACAATTACATTGTCTGCATTGAAGTTATGTTAGTTAGGACCTCTAGCATTAAGCTGAATATAAAATCCTGGCCTAAAGGGCACCCATTGGGTGGAGACTGCTTTCCTCTCTTGTGATTTTTGGACTCCGTTAAATAATTAAATCATTGAATGTACTTGCTGGCAGTCACAACAAATAAAAAGGTCTTAGTGGAGGTAACATTCTTCATTTCTTGAGGCCTGTTTTCTCAACTATAAAGAGAAGTGGGTCTACCATATTTCTAAGTTTTTCTCTTATCTTCAATTTTTGCAGTTATTGTTGTATTGCATAAGCGACCACTCAGTTCTCATTATAAAATAGGGATATTCAAAATATAAAGATAGATGTCTTATATTTTTTAAAGAAGCTGCTGAGGAAAGGCCAAATGAATGGATTTTATTATTTTATGTTTAGTGTAACAAGTAGAAAACAATGTTTAAAAAATGTCTGAGCATAACATAACATTAATTGCATTAAAGCTGGCAGTGGAACTTTATGCTTTTTTTTTCTTATTCTTTATTTGCATTTTCTAATTGATGACAATAAATATGAAACTTGAAAAATAAAATGAGAACAAATCTAAGACCTTTAAGTACATACACTGTATTTTAATAAATGTGCCTTCTAACTTCCCTAATTGCCACGCCTGTGAAATCAGGCTTGCTGTTCTCCTGAGCTCTCCTCAGAACCTCACCCTGCCTCTCCACTCCACCCTTCCCCTGGGCCCCTTCCAGTTTCTGTGGCCCTTCTCTCCCTTTGCAGTCTGTCTCTTCCTGATCTCACAGTGCTCCTCAGTAGGAGTGGTAGAGAGGAGGCATTTGCTGCTGAGGACCTACTAAGTGTCCCCACTGAAGAAAAATGGGTCTTGCAGTACAAGGATTGACCTGACGGTTCTCTGCGCTTCCCGTTTTGATGCTCAGCCCCTGCTGGAGGTCATGCTGCAAGTTGACCCTTCACCTACCCTAGGGTCTAAGTCCCCACCCATTACAAAGCCCACGCTCTGGTTAGAACAACTGTTATTTTGTTTTTGCCTTCATGTTGGCTTTGCTGGATACTTTCAGATCTGACTCCTTTTTACATTATTGAATATGCTCAATCTGCCTTTGGTGTTCTTCACAATGTCAAGTGCCAGAGAAGCCAGGAGGCCTCAGGAGCAGATTCTAATCAGGGTTTCACGTGGCTGGGATTTTGAGGCTGTGACCAACATAGGTTTTTTATTTGAGACCCATCTTTCGGACCCAGATTTTAAGGCATACATTTAAAAATTTGCCTTGTTACCTTTTAAACACATTTTACTTTTTTGTCTGAACAGTATTAACAAATGGAGAATTTATTTTATTTACTAGAATTGATATTTTAACAATTTTGGCTCTTTCTAGACATTCGACTTCCAAGAATAAAGATTTTTCTGCAATGAAGAAATTACATAAGATATGCCAGATAACCTAAAGGTATCCCAAACTTATCTTGAAGAACTTAAGCCTTGTCTCAAACAATATAAAGCTCTGGAATAAATATGATCCTCATGAAAGAGAAAGAGTATTTTGAATGTCTTCAGTTTGAGTATTTTTTAAATCACTCATATTACTTTATAAGTATATCTTCTGACTTTCAAATTAAGTAAAATAATGTATGGAAGGTATTTTGTGAAGCCCCTCTGTCACTTAGATCTGGTTAAAGGAACACAGCAAATTCGATGAGACCTAGCTTGAAATCCACCATGCAGATAATGTATGGAAGGTATTTTGTGAAGCCCCTCTGTCACTTAGAACTGATTAAAGGAACACAGCAAATTCAAAGAGACCTAGCTTGAAATCCACCGTGCAGATACACGTATTCAAATTTGAGTTAATGTCCCAATTTGAGCTCTAGTGGCCTAGAAAAGAAGTTTTAATTTCCTGCTAACCAAACATTCTTAGATGTCTTTAAGATAGTATAATTTATTGGACAAACCACCAGGTTTATTCATGCAGGCCAGTACTCCATCCTGAGTGAGTGACTGTGGTAGCTTAAAGGATCTCTTTCTGTCTCTATCTGCCTGTCTCATCTCTCTTTGTCTCTCTGTCTCCCTCTGTCTCTATCTCTGTTTTCTCTCTGTCTCTCTCTCTCACTTTTTCTCTCATCAATGATATCAGACCAGTCACCACCTTTCTAGACTTCAGTTTTCTAAACTATAACGTAGATCATCTCTAAGGTAGCCTTTTCACTTCTAATTTCCTATAATTCTAACATCTGCTTGTGTTTTTATTATAAGTGAATTTGGAAAATGAGATTCCAATTCTACAAACTAAAGTAGATTGTCTGCATTAGGCAACTATTTAAGATAAATTTAAAGAGAGAGGTTCCAAACACCACTTCTCATGGCCTCCATAAAATAACATGGGAATTCAACTCCAGCCTTTGAAATTCTTTTCAGATGAGGGTGAAAGTAGGTTCAAGGAAAAACAGCACAGCTCATGAATGCATACATTCAGAAATAGTGCAGAAGAAGCATGTCTCAGGCACCCTGGTATAAAACTTGCCATCAATCACAGAATGTTGTCAGGAGAGGCCTCTGAAATTTACATTGGTAAAAGATCTAAAAGCCAATACAATATATGTTGTTGTCCACACTGGACTTTCAGAAAGGTTAGGGAATGAATAGCAGAGCAAGTCAAACAGAAACACAGGTCCAGAGCCCTGGGGAATGGACAGGCTTCCTAGGAAGGGCCTGTGGCAGTTATAGGACAGACAGGCCAACCCCGGAGATCCAGGGAAATGTGAGGCAGGAAGAGCAGATGTAGAATAAACAGCATTGACTGAGTTCCCAAACTCCAAAGCTGCAGAATATCCCATGCCTTTCTTTTTGTTACATACAACTAAAGGAATCTAAGTAGAACACAAGTTACAAGATTATACAGTAACAACCAGATGACAATTGAAGCAGGCAGAAGGGAAGGATCCACAAAGACATTCTTAAGGGCGGGGACAAGAGTCCAAGCACGTGTCCCAGTGTTGAGCAAACATTCATGTATTCAGTCAGTCAATGAATATTTATTAATATTTATGTCTATGTGTGAAAATGTGCTGGATCTTTGGTTATCGACAGTATTTCACATTGCCCCATAGGGTATTTCTATGGTTTCTGTAGACAGGGGGAAGTCCAGCAGACCTATCCCAGTGTGAAACTAGAGGAGAAATCTGGCAGTTTCTATCCGAGAATTCAATATGGTAGTCACCAGTGAAGTGTGGCAATTGAACCCTTGAAACGCTGCTGGTACAAATTCTGATGGGGTTTAAGTGCAGAACACACACCAGATTGTTTTTAAAAATGTAAAATAGGCCAGGCACAGTGGCTCACACCTGTAATCCCAATGCTTTGGGAGGCCAAGGCAGGCAGATCACGAGGTCAGGATCTCAGACCAGCCTGGCCAACATAGTGAAACCCCGTCTCTACTAAAAATACAAAACTTAGCGTGGCATGTTGGCACGTGCCTGTAATCCCAGCTACTCAGGTGGCCGAGGCAGGAGAATCACTTGAACCTGGGAAGTGGAGGTTGTGGTGAGCCAAGATTGCGCCATTGCACTCCAGCCTGGGCAACAGAGTGAGACTCCATCTCAAAAAAAAAGGCTGGGCACCATGGCTCACGCCTGTAATCCCAGCACGTTGGGAGGCTGAGGCGGGCGGATCACCTGAAGTCAGGAGTTCAAGACCAGCCTGGCCAACATGGAGAAACCCCATCTCTACTCAAAATACAAAATTAGCCGGGCATGGTGGTGCATGCCCGTAATCCCAGCTACTAAGGAGGCTGAGGCAGGAGAATCACTTGAACCCAGGAGGCGGGGGTTGCGGTGAGCAGAAATTGTGCCAGTGCACTCCAGCCTGGGCAACAAGAGCAAAACTCCTTCTCAAAAAAAAAGTAAAATATCTCATTAATAAATTGGATGCTGATTAACAATATTCTATGTGTATTAAGTAAAATGAATTATCAAAGCTTATTTCACCTGTTTCTGTTTCAAAATATGTAGCTATTAGAATAAATTTAATTAAACCTGAGGCTTAAAGTATATATCTTTTGGAAGGCACTGATCCAGTCCAGTGTTTCTCAAACTTTACTGTGCGTACAGTTCACAGAAGAGTTAGGTTAAAGGCAGATCCTACGTCAGTGGGTCCGAGAGGGGCCCAAGATGCTGCGTTTTCAACAAGCTCTCAGGAGACACCCATGGCTCCTACATCTATCACAAGAATAAGATGAAATAGAAGACAAAGGCCTTTCAGTCCATAATTGGGAAAGAGAACACCTGCTGTGTAGTGTATTAAAAGAAAAACAGGAATTGTCCTTTATTACAAATGAATAAGACCACACATCAAAGAAACATTGTTAAGATATTTCTCCTTGCAAAGTTTCTTCCAGCTTGATATCACAAAAGGGTTGGTAACTAACTATGCCATAAAGTTTGTGGGGTTTTTTAGCCTACTTACTTGTTTCATTTCTGATAGGATTTGGACTGTGGTGCAATTTATTTTGTTTCTGGAGTCTAGAGGATTTTGCATTTGCAGCTGAGAGAGAAACAAGTTTTGGAGCCAGAACTCATCGGATTTGTGCGGAGCAGGGCCACTCCACACAAAGGCTCAGAAGATGGTAATGAATGAACAAGACCACTTCTCAGAAAGCAAACAGGCCAGGGTTTGGGGTGAAGGGTGGCAGCAGATCCATGATGAGAGGTAGAAAAGGAGAAACTGTGCCGGAGCTTGGGCTCTTACCTTGAAAGACCCAGGGTTTAGGTATCTGTGTGTGTGTGTGCCTTTGTATTCTGTGTCTGTGTGTTGTATCAGTGAAAGCTCTGAGATATAAACAAAGGAAACCAACAGGCTCCTTTCAGCAGAAAAGGCCATTTATTAACAAGATACTGGCATCTTGCCGAATGCTCAGGAGTGGAAGATGAGGACAGAGGGCTGAGGCCATTTCTAATGTCCAGGCCGCTGAGGGGGTTCCCTCAGAACAGCTCCAGCGCCTCCTCCATTCTTGCACTCACCGGAGAAGCCTTCTCCACCTGCCCAGGCTCTCAGGGTGTGACCTTCCTCTGTGAAGCATCAACATGGAGTAAGTGTCTGCTATTTTCATCCCATGCTGCCCCACATCAGCACACATCCCTAAAAAGCACTTATGCATCTTAACTCAATCCTCTCCTGAACGAGATCATTCCCCCAGTTCTTAGAAAGGAATGGCTTGATTCTCTGTGCTCAGCTCCCAGTCCAGGATTCCTAGCTTGTGCCCACTTCTTCTCTATTCTGCTACAATTCCATGTCAACATGCTTCATACTATAGGCCACTATCACCTTAAAATGACAGGGGAAAGAGAGAAAAGCAGAAAATTAATTCAGTTATATAAAGATGTACATGACCCAGGAAGGAAGATAAATGCAGTTAAATATTCTAAGCCTTTTGTCTACAAGGTGAGCATGAGCATCTTCCTGGCTCTGTCCCAGGCTCTCTGCATCCAGCCGGCTCCTCAGCTGGTCAGAGGTGCTCACCTTGTAGGATGGCGTCTGCAGTGAGAGAGATGAGTTCTCAGTGTTGGAAGCTCTAGTCTTCCTTTGGCTGTTATGACTGAACCTGGCATTATTGAAAGATGCCCCAAGAATCTTCTTTTTGCTTTCAGGTTAGTCATTAGTCCACCAAGATGCCATATTTAAGATGAAAAAATGAGGGGCTTTCAGTTCATGGCCCTGAAGTTAGAGCGGGGCCCTCCCCGTGTAGCGACCCCTGTATTCCTTTGATAATCTGGGTCAATCCCTTTACTGAACACCTAACCCCTATGCAACCTGCTCCCACAGTAGCCTGAGCCTCCAAAAAGAGGAAACCAGGAGTGGAAGGCAACGCTTCTTGCCTTTCTGTTTAGAAACATAACCTGGCCATTCCCCAAACAATCAGATTCCAGTAACTTTATAAGGTGCAGACCCCTATATTTTTGTTGAATTCACTTTCTGATCTCTAGCAGGTCTCTATTTTGTCAAGAAATGTAGCGTGAACACTGGCCCCTGTTCTCCAGGTTCTTGCAGTGTTCTATCATTGCTGTAGTGGGGCCACCCTTATGTCCTCTGGGCAGAGAGAAATTGTATTTTCTGCAAAGATAAAGAATTAATATAACCTAGGATAGGACAGTGAAGATGTGTTGTTGTTCCTAAAATAGGAAGAAATACTAATCTTGGTCTAATCCTTTCATTGGGATAACATCCATTTCCTTGTGGTTGGAGCTATGAGGATTTGCTGGAGTAGAGAAGCTACATTTGGAACTTCGTCCTCTATCAGCTCACCACGGTTCTCCAGAATCCCGTCTTCTGTGCTAGCCCCACCAAAGAATGAAAGACCAGCATGCCTTCCGTTATCACCACTGGCAACTTTACAGCTATCATTTCCCCAGCAATGTCACAGTACTTGTTACATATGTAACAAACCTGCACGTTGTGCACATGTACCCTAAAACTTAAAGTATAATAATAATAAAATTATTATTTCGATTTACTATTTTGATAGTCCATTTATTAGGGATCCAGGGAGGGGATTCTGCTGGCTATTGAAAATATCTTTTTTTTATTATTATACTGTAAGTTTTAGGGTACATGTGCACAACGTGCAGGTTTGTTACATATGTATACATGTGCCATGTTGTTGTGCTGTACCCATTAACTCATCATTTAACATTAGGTATATCTCCTAATGCTATCCCTCCTCCCTCCCCCCACCCCACAACAAGCCCCGGTGTGTGATGTTCCCCTTCCTGTGTCCATGTGTTCTCATTGTTCAATTCCCACCTATGAGTGAGAACATGCGGTGTTTGGTTTTTTGTCCTTGCGATAGTTTTCTGAGAATGATGGTTTCCAGCTTCATCCATGTCCCTACAAAGGACATGAACTCATCATTTTTTATGGCTGCATAGTATTCCATGGTGTATATGTGCCACGTTTTCTTAATCCAGTCTATCATTGTATGTCACTGTGTCTGGAGTGCAGTGACATGATCATAGCTCCCTGCAGCCTTGAACTCTTGGGCTCCAGTGATACACCTATCTCAGCTTCCTGAGTAGCTAGGACTACATGTGGGCACCACTACACCCAGCTTATTGAATATATGGTTTTCATCTCTGCCCATAGGAATTTTGGGGAAATGAAGGGAGGGTTTAAGGCCCCACTGAGCATGCATCACCAGCCTCACTCCCTGTACATCTCTCTCAAGTGGACCACTTGGTATTCTGGGTTCCCAGAAGTTGAGGCAAGCCAAAGTCCAATGAAGCCCATGAGTTAGGGGCATTTCTGTTTTCAAATACAGAATTACTCTGACAAACGGCTGTAGGGCCATCTGGGAAAGGACATTTATGTTCACGATGTTACTGCAAGATCATTCTTTAAAGGCATGTCTTCATTTTAGATATCCTGAGTCTAGAAGCCAACTTATTTCCGAGATTGGGTGAGGATCCTCAAATCTTTATGGTAGGACTCAGGTCCGACACCTGTGCACAGATACCAAATTTCTTCAGTTCCGTAAATCAAGTAGGAACTTTGTAGAACACCCATCTATTTCAGCAAATTATTCCATACGGTCAGGGCTGGCCATTTAATTGGTTTTCTACCATGTATCATGAGCTGACAAATTCCTGTCTTATGAGATGTTTTCTACCAGGAAAGATAACAAAACTGCTGTTTCTCAGAGATTGAGTTGTCTGCATTCTTAGTAAACACATGTGCCTCATTTCGTGTACTTAGTTACAAGTAAATATTCTGACTGAATTAAGCACACAAGTCAGATCTACTAGGATGGTTGAAATCTCAAACTTGGAGATTAGCACATTAGTGATAATATCTAAAAGTATATAGCACAGCTGGTTTTCTCAGGATGCTGCTACAACCACCATAAACCCTACACACTGCCACTCTTTCTCAATTATACTGCACAACCACCATTGCCATAGGAGAATCTTTAAGGAATATGGTTTTCTGTGGGATCAACACACAATTCAAAATCTAAATTGGGCATGTCATAATGGTGAATCGTAGGCCATGTGTCCATGTCTTTGCTGAAAGAGAAGTTGGAAAAATAAATAGCTTGTTATTTTAGTATCTAGAGTGAGAGGCAGTCCCTACCTACTAAGGAGGCTCAAATATTGGGGAGGGTTGGGATGTAGGAAGGAGGTTCCAATGCTGGAAATTCAGAAAGAGTGAAACAATTACTACAGTGTGGACCGGGCTGTACATCTTTCTCCTTTTGTTGAACCCCATCGTCTTCTCTGCCTCCATGTTTTTTTCTAGATTCTCTTTTCTGAATGATTTTCAGCACCAAAACTCTTCTAAATGAGCATGATAATTATTACTGTTTTCTGTACAGTGAAGAAAAATATAATTTTGAATAAAGTAAGTGGCTTTTTTTTTTAACTTCAGGGATGAGACCCATAAGCTAATTATAAAAATAAATAAAAATATTCTTATTGAGAACCTGATTTAGACCAGCACTATTCCTATGTACTCATAAGCTAAAAGGCATAAGTCCCTTTCTTCAAATAGCTTGAATCATTGCAGATACTAACCTGATAGCACAAAGAAATGAAATGCGATATAAAAACCCCAGATGCAAAATAGTTCAGAGACTGAGTCTCAAGGGTGTGCAGGTAATGTGGAAAGTTTTGTTGCAATATGCGTATTTTTGAATTTATTGGGCCACTGAGGGTGAAATGAAAGGTATTTACTTTCACAAAATTGCAGACATTTTATAAAATTATAGACTTTGAGTAGAATAAATACCTTCTATAGATTATCTTAGTTTGCTGGTTATAATAATCTAAACCAGCAGTACCCAACCTTTTTGGCATCAGGGACTGGTTTCATTCATGGAAGACAATTTTTCCACAGAACGTGTCGGGGTGGGGAGGTGTTTCACCTCAGATCATCAGGCATTAGATTTTCATAAGGAGCACACAACCTAGATCCCTCACACACACAGTTCACTATAGGGATCACACTCTCATGAGAGTCTAATGTCGCCACTGACTTGTCGGAGCTCAGGCAATAATGCTCACTTCCCCACCATTCACCTCCTGTGGTGCGGCCCAGTCCCTAAGAGACATGGACTGGGGTTGGGCACCCCTTACCTACATCTTAAATTCTCAATGCTCTTTTAGATCTCAGAATTATATTTCATATTTATATCTATATATTTTGCCAATAAATAACCAGTTCTATAAAATCAGGCCAAGTGATCTGAATACAGATGTTTTCAACTCTACCTGCTCCAGACTCCCCTAATATGGGTTTATACTGAATAGAATGGTCAGCCTGGGATAGCTGCAAAAATAACGCATGAGCTCTGAGGTTCATGGTCTACCCCTTGTGGTCCAGTCATTTCACCGAGATTACACAACCAAATTCTATCTGACCACAACTATTCTTGATACCTCAGCTCTTCTTCATGATATGTCTCCTAAATTTCTTTCTCATTATTCTATTTAGCAAATTAACCACCAACACCTTATTTCTTTTATCTATTTGCTATTGAGTCACTCTATAGATGTTTTGATTAGTTGAAGCTAATTCCCTGTAATGAAAATGGGTTCCCCATCCTTATCATTGATAAATTAATAAACCACCCCCTCTCTGATATATAGCTAACTTGGAAAGTTGTTCCCCAATACAGTGGCGGAGGGCTATGTTAGTGCCTGATTTTGCATAGTGTACACTCTGATATAGTAATATCTGGATTCCAGGTTTTACCAATTTACTACCCAACTATAGCAATTCTATGCTGTTTGCTCCAGACCTAAATTAATCTCAGACTCCCTTTAGATGTCACAGCTCTCCATCACTGGTGCAGACATAATTCTGAAGAAAAGGTCATGAAGTCATCGTCATGCTTTCCATGAAGGTCTAGTTCCCGGCTCCTCACCTGGTGTGCAACATGGCACCTGAAGAAACGTCACGGCTCCTTTTTGTTTCTGGTCTCATGATGAGACCAGAGTCCAGAGAACAGAAAGGAAAGAGATTGAACTTTCTATACTATGAGAGATCAATCTATCGTTTGTTAAAGTGATCAGCATATGTATCCTACAGTTGGAAATACATCCTAGGTTATAACTTGTGTGTATTTCCACACAAAAAATTATATGGGCTTTTTTTCTTTGTACTAAATTGGAGGACATACCCATTAGAAGTGGCAATATGTTCCAATTTCTTTTCTCTTACAAATAAATAAATACATACATAAATAAACAAAATTAATGACATATGTATTTCCTAATACCAAGGGCTTTAACATGTGGAATAAACTAATACATGAAGTACAAAATATATTAGAAATAATTTAAGGAGGCAGGTGACAGATACTTAGAGACAAAACATTTGGTTATACGGTTTAATCGCAAACTACAGATTTTTAATCTAAATGGTCATTTGAGTATTCCCCAGTTCTTCTACATCATAAAGGATTTTATGGTACCTTACTGCAGAGTACTCGATATCATTTTTGAAGAAATCATACTGTATCAAGTGAGCTACAATGTAACTGCAAAATGCAGACTGCAGTGTTGCTCTGCTGTGGCTCTGTGGCTTCATGATTCATTCATTTTTCCTCTTCTCTTGAGCCATTTGAGGGCTGGTATCTCAGCTCTAAAAGTCATGCAGAGAATGGGTGGAAAGAATACAAATGCTTCACTGGAGCCCGATTCAGGCTGGGGCAGTTGTTGTCAACACGATGAGGTTGAATGAAATGCAGTGACAGTGTGGTAAGGGAAGACGTGTTCTTTAATGCTGCTGGGTCCAGGGATGCCTTACCTTAAGGGTAAAACATTAGATACTATGCTTATCAACACAGCAGCCTGTCATTGCAGTGAGTTACACCTACAGCTTAAGGTAACCAAAGCTGTTGAAAGAATATTGTGCCTGCGTGTGTGTGTGCAGGTGCCCCATATCAAATATACATTCTGTTTTCATAGACATGCACAAATGTGTAAGAAAAACATATACATGTATAAATCTGTGATTTAAAATATTGTGTCAGTATTATTTACAGATTTCTTTCTTCTTAATGTAAGGTAAGGTATGTGGGGGTGAATTTTAACTAAGAATTTATTATTAACACAACTATGATAAACTCATAGGGAATGATTACATGAATATGTGTGTATATATGTGTGTGTACATACATATATATTCATTTAATTTGAACTTTATTTTTTTAAGTACATTTGGAATTCCTTGGAAGTAATAATATAATGTATATGTAAACGCCTAAATAATACCCAGGAGGTCACGATTTGACCTAAACACTCGCATTTGCGTGGGAATTTTATTGTGCTCACTTTTTTTTTAGAGGAATGCTTTGTCCTTTACAAAATGGACAAATACTCCCACTGTACTGCAGTTCCAGTTCTATAATCATTTTGGAGGCGCTCTTTACCCCGTGGTGACCACAACACGAAGAACCGTCCTTACCCACATGCTGCTTGCCTGGGGAGCTCAGGATCAGTGTCTTACACACAGAAGGATATATGCTCCCATTTTTTTTCCGCCGACTGTAAATGACTCCTATTCTTTGCTCCACAGAACATCCGATGTGGTGCCCAATCAGCTGAAAAAGCTGCACAGACGTCATTAGTTCCGTGTGTGTGTGTGTGTGTGTGTGTGCAAGAGAGAGAGAGAAAGAGAGAGAGGAGACTGCAGCTGCCTTGCCGCGTGCCGAGTGGAGTCTCCATTAGGGCAGCGCTATTGATTTCTGATTCACACTGCAGCAACAGGGCTAGAGCTCAGAAGAAAAAAAAATCACGTCTCAGAAACAGGAATTACAAAGACAAAAATAAGTAGATAGATAGTTTTATACAAAAATCAAGCATCTGTTACCAAAGGAAAGCAAAACTGACAATTTAGCAAAATTTAAAGACTGTTTATAACATAGAATAAGATGTATAGGAGAAGTAGAGTAAAATGAGTTTAGAAAAATTATTCGTTCTAATTTTTCAACCATTTTTTTGAGAGGTGATAATGGTCTAATTTCCAGAATGCCTTGAAAAACCCTGGAATACTCGGCAGAGGTGCTGCAAAGTAAAGCTTATTTGAGGGCAATCTTGAAGCTATGCCTGAGAATTTTAAACAACAAAATATCCAAGATTTATTTTTTCAATTGTGTTCGATTATTTTATTAGCTAGTAGCTTTCTCTGTTTTAATTCTCTGTGTTGCATAATATCTAGGATACAGTAACAGGCTGGTTGCAAATGCTCGAAACAGAAATAGGTTTCTTCATAGGCTGTGTTTCAGCATGTCCAACTGTGAGCCTGTGAAGCAGAGCATCGGAGTTCTCTCGAGGTCTGTTGCTTCAGATTTGGTTAGAAATTATTGAATCTGGAGTGTAAAAATCTTGTCTGGGCCTTTTAGGCAGCTTGATTTTAAAACTAGCCCTTCTGCCCCAAGACTTATCAACCGCCCCCCCACCCTGTCCCAAAAGAAAAGCTGAAGTAAGTTCAGTGTTAAAATAATGGTGCTGTCAGGCAGGCAGTCTGCATGTGAGCAGCAGAAAATTAGAAGAATAGAACCATCCATTCTCGTTTCCCCCCGCGACATGCACGCACACATACGTGCACACACACACACACACCACACACACACACACAGACAACACCAGTCAGTGAAGGGGGAAAAGGGTGATACCTTTTTAAAAAATGAAAGGCAGTAAGCCATTATTAGCAAGAGCTATATTGAGCATGCTTGCCAGACAAGCAGCAAAGCTGAGCTCCAGTTCCGCCCAGACATGTGCCTTGCCATTTTCATTTTAATCAGCCTGCTCAGGATGGCTGCTGATTCATTTTGCAGGATGTCCCCCTGGGAGCCAAGGTGGAAGCCTGAGGCGAGCTGCTATTGCATCAATGCAGCACATCAGAGCGAGAGCGCGGAGGCAGAGGGAGGAGAGAAAGCCTTCAGCACCGCATCCCGATTTCAATATGGCTAGTTAGAAGGTCCTGCATGAAACCGAGTCTATTGCAGAAAACATAATGAAAGGAAAGGAAAAGAAAAAAGTCACATTGTCATTTCATTATCCAACTATTCTCTCCCCCAACCCCTTCTTGCCACCAACAGACACACACACGTACACATTTTACAGTGACCATGAAAGATTTCAAGCCACTCTGTGGAAGTGTGTGTGTGTGTGTGTGTGTGTGTGTGTGTGTGTACTATTTACCTGGTAACTAGCTGGGGTGGTATACCTGATTTAGCTGGAGACTTTGATTTGTAGGACTGACAACCTTATTATGCAGTGAGTTTATTATTGATATTATTCTGCTCTCGGTTGCCATGGCCACCTTGTGAGAGACATTCAATTTTCTCTCTTCCATCATCATTATCTATGAGGCCATCTGTTGTGGAAAATGAATTCAGCCTCATTTGCATGACTGATAAGCAATTTTTTTTTTTATCTATTTAACAGAAGGTCATATGCCGGGGATTTGGAGCTTGTGAAAAAAAAATGTGGAAAAAAAAAAAAGCCTAGGAGAGGATGAGTGGGAGCGTGTGCATGGGGGTGTGTGGAAGTCAAACAGATCCCTGAGGCCTGCGAGCCTATCGCGCTGCATTTGTCATTCCTGCCCGGGCGACATTTTTTTTTTCCCTAAGCTACTGCACACTAAACAGTGAGAGAGCTTTTCCCTGCAGTCTTGTTGAAGCACCCCGGGTTTTTTGCTCATTGTTGGTGGGTGCATTTTAATTTTTTCATTCCCTGGACTATGGGTTATGATATCCATACTCACTGAAGACAAAAAGCCACCTTTTCTGCGTCTTGGTGGCATGCATGTGTCTCATCATCCTTTCAAACTTGTGGTGGAACAGGGTTTTCTTCCCTGTCTGTGTATTTTGAGCCAGCACAGTTACCAAAATTGAACTTGTCTTTCGCTTGTGAGCGGTTGTGGTCATTGTGAGGTACGTGATGTTCGTTAGGTTAATTTTTCGGGGAACTTAGTGAGCAGGATGTGTTTTACCGTAGCTCAAGGGCTGAGGCTGCTATTCCATTGTCTGCTCCTTTTTAAAGTTATTTTTACAGCATGGCTGGTAGCTGAAATGTTCCTGGACTGGAGGCTTTGTAATCCACAAAAAAATCTGTCTTTAAACTAAAATGGGTATTAGGTTGCATGACTTAACTGTGATGTTGTTTATTAAGAAAAAAAGAAACAAAAACAAAACGGGGTGCATGTATGGTGTTTGGAGGATAAGAGGATACTGAAACAAAAACTTCCCAGAGACTTTACTGGATTACTTTACATTACAAATGAAGCACATCATTTTATGCAAAGGCAATTAAAATGTTAGCTATTTTGGATGAATTTACCTGATGGTAAGAAGAAAGTTGATTTATATTGTTTAAGTGGAGAAACTCAAATAAAGATTTTTAAATTTAACTTAAATGTTTGAAGTTCATAATAATGAAAGAAAATGTTATTTATAACAGAAATATGTCTTTTTGTAACACCTAAATTAATAAACTAAAAGATTAAACTCTACACTTTAGTTTTAAGATAGATCTGAATAAAGCAAAAATATATATGTAAATATTTATATGAAAGTTAGCTATATAAAATATAGAGAACAGATTTTGAATTTAGTATTAACCATGACAATTTCTTGTACCATCAAAGCTATATAAGCTAAATAATTTCTAAGTTACTTAGAGTAAAACTATTTTATATAAGAGCCTTTTTGTTCAAATGTTTATATTTTCTACTAAACAAAATTAACGTCATAGACCAAAGCATCCCAAAACCACCCTTACTGGCATATGAGGGTCTTTCTAATTGTTCATCTTCATTTAGTGTCATGTAGCTTTAAAAATAATAAAGTCATGTCTCCCATACAGATAAAAATGTAATTATTTTTAAAAGAAAAGAGTTTTATAAAATATTCCTTTTCAAAAAAAAAAACAGCATTGCATTCCTATAAGTTTTCACCTCTCAAGAACTTTGAATCCAAAGTGTTGATTGTAAGTTATAAATGCTACTAAGAGAAACATTCCAGAAAAAAAGGAAGTTTGTTTTTTCTGATTGACCTAAAAGAACATGTATGATTCTATCACCTCAAATGCAGTAAGTTAATTGCTTAAAAGTCTCCTTAAAGTTATACTTGAGTGATAAATTTTCTTTATTAACTAACATAGACCACTACTGATGTGTGTGTGTGATGGTACTTTACTTGATTGCACTTTGAAAACTCTTACCATACTATCATACACTTTTCATAAACAATAACAGTTGTTATATAATCCTTCTGCTTTTAATCAGCCATATTTCTTTATATTTTAGCTTGATTTTCAGAGAAATAAGTTTATTTTAAATATTAATTGTGCATTTAAAGAATTTAAAACAATAAAATTCTGATAGATTATGAAGATTATTTAAAGTGACATCAGCTTTCTCAGAGGACTATAAGAATCAGTAATATGAGATCTGGATCTATATTATAATATGAAGGATTATGTTGTTGTCTTTTGATCTGTACATATAGTCTTCAGATTCGTGAATCAAAATTATCAACATCTAAAAAAACCTATGAGATAGCACAGTTGATTTTTCTCTCCTCCCCACCCCCACCCACAAAAAGTTAATTACCAATCTTGGTTGGATTCTTCCTTGCCTCCCTGACATTTGACTGCTGCTAATTCACTGATTAATCTCATTAATGTGATTATAGTAGGATTTAGAGTTGGCTGCCATTGTTCTGTAGACAGTGCTATTCAGGCTGAGCACTTGCCACCTCATTCAGTTTTGCTGTGATTTTTCAAAGGCTGGTGGAGTGAGCTATTGTGAGCAGGCTTCTCTGCCTTCCCTTTCAGCACCAGGAGCTGTCCGCAGCTGATAGCGATTGCATTCAACAGTGACTGACTTCCTCCTAGTTTATTGGCAATGTGAAAATGGCTCACTTTCATCACCTTAATGATTGTGCTAGTTGAGGTAGAAGTAGGAGAAGCCTTCATGGTCACATTTGGATGTTTTGAAGATGGTGGCAGCAAAGATATCTATACTTGAACATTTTTATTTAGTAAAGACTTTCCATCTGCCATTATACACATATTTTACTCTATTTCCAAATATTCAAACATATCAATATGTTAAAAATTACTTGTATATATGTATAGTTGTGGGTTGGAAAATTGTAAACATTATTACTTTTCAACTGGAAAATTTTATCCAAATACATGTAATTATTAATAAAATTCATCTTTGAAAAGATGCACCAGGACTATCTGGTGTCACAGTAAGGTAGAAAGTATGCATGACACACAAATTTCAACTTCTCTTGAGTTAAACTTGCATCCAACAGCAGAACTTATGCCAATTTCACAAATTTGTGTTAGAAGCTGAGATCAAGGTAAAGGCCCAATGATTTGTGACCACATATGAGTGGTGTACAAAAATTATTAAAGGAATATGAGTACCTAGTCTTCTTCGGGGTTATAAAAGCTGTCAAAGCATGACCTTAGGACTATGTGGATAGTTTCAGAGAATGAGACTTCTTTAATATGCTGTTTTCACTGTCCCTGTTATGTTTTTCACCTAATTTATTTATTTATTTTTTACTCTCTTGAAAATGTTTCTATTTTGTACCTTACTCTTGAATATACCCAATTATTTCACTGTCTGATGTTTTCTGTCTGCTTTCTGTGTCAATGTTTAATAGATTAGGGAAAAGAAATAAGTGATTATGCAATTTCAAAGATTTGTAAAGTTTTTCTATTTGTTACAATTATACTTAAAATTAAAAAATTGAGTTAATAATCTGATTATTTGTTCAGCTGCTTTTATAAATACTTTACATTTATAATTTTTAAAAGCCAATTACTTCTCTGTGAAAAATTAATTTTGTCAAGTAAATAATGTTTTCAAAGTCACATGCATAAACTAGATTTCCAACTCTACCTGTAAGCCAATTTAATTTGAGGGAGAGACATTATTTTAGAAATACATAATATACAATCTGAAAGACTTTGTTTACTTGTTATATATTTTAGTGGATACATTTTAACTTCAAACAACTTAAAGGTTTATTTACCCTTAAATATTTTATATTAAAAAAAACTCCTCTGTGGAATTAGAGGGACTAGTCAGATGCTCTTTGATAATGACCACTCTGCTTTGCACTTACAGTTTGGTTTGGCTGGGTGTCCCTTTTAGACCAGGGCTATAATTTTCAATCAATAACCAGTGTTTCCAATGCATGTTGTCCTTTGCCAGGAAGTCTACCTTGATGCAAAGTCTCACCAGAACTCTGTTCAGGAGGCAAATGAATGGTAGACTCAGAAAGAGAGATCTACAGTTTTGGTAAATTTTTATAATCTAATTACTCCATAGCGTAATTTGAGCGCAATGATGTTATGCATTTTCCTATTTCAAGTTTTTAAGAGTTCTTTTTTTGAATATCTTCTTTTTTATTTGAAAAGTTGTGTAGTATTCTTTAGAAAGGAGTAACTGAGGATAAACTTGAACAAAAACTTGCAAATAACATATTTTTCACCAAGCTAAGTTTCATCATACTGTATTCTGTACCACAACACAACACCTGACATTGATCTGCATTTCTTCCAAACAAAACTGAAGACAAAAGATACCACAAACTTGAAGAAGTAAATAGATGTAGGTTTGTGTTTGTGTGTGTGTGGTTGGGGGCAGTGTCATATCTACATATCATGGTTGCTGGTATGAAAAAGATATTTTAAATTGACATACCACCCCAATATTTAAAATATTGCCTATAGTGACCATAACTCATATGAAATAATACAAATATTCTACTTTTATAGTATTTTATTGCATGATTTTTTCTGATATTAGATTATTTAAAGGCAACAGCTATCCATTTTTTCCATCAGTGGGCTATTTCAATGCAATGTGGTTCTGTTTGTAATATCTTTGTGTCTTGTCTCTTCTCTCTCTTTCTCTCCACTTTCCTTTCTCTCTCTTCTGCCCCCTCTCTCTTTAACTTGGTCCCTGTTTGTCTGTTTTGCCACCCTCTCTTCTCTCTGTGTTTCTTTCACACCTGCATTGTTCAAGCATACACAGTGATTTTTCTATGCATGTTTCTACAATGGAAGTGTTTTTGGCTTTGACATCATAATGAGTCCTCAGGGTATCTGTAGAAGTAATCAGAGATGGCAGAGAAAATGTAAGCCAGGTGTTATAAAACTAGAAAGAATGCATGAATGCTTATTTATTAGATAGAGAAAGAGTGATAAGCATTGCTGTATTAGGCTGTTCTGCTAGGAAAATTTTCCTACCATGTACCTCTTTTAAAATAATCTCTGCTCCCCACGTGGTGATTATTGGAAAAGTTGGCGGGGGGGAATATTTTAGTCTTACTGTAAGGAGTATTGTGTTGTGAGAAGATGGAATGGTACAGGACATTCTCTTAAAGCTTTCCTTGCTTTCAGACTGCAGTGGTGTCTAGCAGGGCTCGATGGGAAGGGAATTGCAGCCTCTATAGTAACCAGTAAGTCTGGTCCCAACACATCAGGGAAGAGCTCGGTCTTCAGAGGAATTACCTCTGAGAGCTGGAAGAGGGTGTTCCTGGTAACTTGGGGCTTCTCTGTCAGTCTCCCCACGGAAACCACAGTCAGAGCTGTGCTCTGTGGAAAGCCTGCAGTGGCTGCTCCCTCGTGCTGTTCTGCTCTCGACTCTCACTCACTGTGGATAGTGGGCTGGTGGAGTGCGGGCGCCAGAGGGTAGGGGTGAATGGAATGGAAACACAGAGGGAACTGTGACCAGCACGTGCGATGGTCTCTCCACGGCAGACAGAGCCCTGCGTGGGTGAGAAGCAGACTGCGGAACAGGATTTGGCTTGATGGCCACCAGCTCTTCCACAAAAAGGTACCTCTTTCCTTTTATTGTAAAGGTTACATAGGATTTCTTTTTTTCTTAATTTGCCTGGTGGTTGCAGCTCCCAGTTCTTCTCTTAAGTACTTCAAAAATAGTTGTTTCTCCACCTGCCTGCCTATCTCCAGCTCTCATTTGATTGCATACACAACACTTCCTAAAGTCTCTTGGTTAGGCGTGTGAACGCGCCAACAATGGACCCTCTCTCAAAAGAGCTTCTCCTTCAGTGTAATGCCATTGTGGGCACTGCTATGTCTGCATGCTGCCCGGAGTTGTTGTTAAACATGAGTCTGTGTATTCAAGGCTAGTTTCCTGGGGCGAGGGTGGGAGGTGCTAAAGTAGCCTTTATGATTTAACGTAGCCTTTCATAGCGGTGAGTGTTATAGGAGAGAGGTTTGCAGAGAGTGAAACGGTATGGTCACCACCAGAGTAAAACATCTGTGGCTTGACTCAAGAAGCCATTTATAAAATCAGCACTTTTTTAAGCCAGAAAAAAATGCTAATGAACATCAGGTATCTATGTTCCCTTAGCTATTTTAAAAACCATATTAGGACTTGTCTTTTCAAAGAAAACTTTTTCTATATTTTTTTCTTCAAACAATAATAAAAGGTGAAAAATGTTTTAACTTTCTTAGACAAGTAGTTTCATAGCTTTTGTTTTAAAAGAAAACGATGCAAGAAGCTCATACTGAAACAGAATAATATAGTGAGGTTGGCAACCCGAAAACGATTTTAAGAATTGGTTAGAGTTAACTCTTGTGTCACCATTCTTTTATTTTAAGAAGTGACAGGTTTTGGAACCTCTTTTTGTTTTGCTTGGATGTTAACCAGCAATGCCATCTAAAATACTGTAGGTTCAGCTTACTTCTGTGAGGTTTCTTTGGCCACAGCATGAATTTACCATAACATCAATGATACGAGAGATATTTTTAGATATATTGCCTAGCTGGTAGCTGCTAACAGCCTGACTCCGGTATTTACAGTTCTCATCTATTACATTAAATACAGCACTGCTCATGATACACATTCTGCTCTAGAGATTTAGGGGCCTGTGGGTACAAGGCAAGCAGCATACTGCACACATCTCCACTCGTGTCTGACTGTGTTGCAAGCTTGATACACAGGAAGGTTAGAAATTACTGGTTTAATCCACAGCTGTAGCTTGAAAAATATCTAGATCAGCAGTGAAGTTCCCTCCCACCTTAGGATTTGGGGAAGTGGATATGTTTTGTGTTGCTTCAAGGAGGCAGCCTGAGACAGGGTAAGTCAGCAGGATGCTTCCGAGGCTCTTCTGCTGCAGCGATGTGGTCTCTAAGGGAGCGTGAGCCTGATGCACGCAGCACAGGCGGGACTCGCAGCCCGGCGCTGTCTGTCTGCTGCCTTTTGATGGAGGCTGCACTTCACCCGCCCGGCAGAGCGCTGTACGCATGCCCGTCTTCCCTGTCGTTTAGTGGTGTCAACTTATTAATTTCCATCTTCGACTTCAGGCCTGTTAGTTTCCTGTCTGAAAGCATTATTACTTTTGTCCATGTGGCAAAATAATTAGCATACAGATGAGAAGTGGCCCCTTGCCTGGGCGCCGGTAGAGAGAGAAGATGTGCAGTGGAAAGTTGATTGGATGAATGGAGAACAAATGGTGGGCGTTCAAAAGCATTAGAAGAGTTTTGTAGTCGTGGAGCAGGTTGGAGAATTTTCTGGGTGAGTCCCTAAGATGGAAGGCAGGGGTGGCTGCCGTGGGAACAACTGCTTGTCAGACGCTGGCTTAGCCGAAGGTGCCAAGTGCGGCTGTAGGCACAGATAATTCATTGGGACGACTTTGTTTTGCAAGTCTTGAGGCTGCTCTTTGATATCCCCTCCAGGTAAATATGTCCTGTGCTCCCTGTCTTCACCAGAGCATTTGTTCCACTTCCCAAAGTGGAGCAAAGTTGAACTCCTGATGGTCAGTAACAAAAGAATAGTCATTTGCTGCCGGTTTGGGGTAGCGGCTTGATCCGTCTTCGTGTGCATGTGCCTGAAGTGGAAATTAACTGTTTAGAGATGACTGTTTTTAGAAACTTACAGCAGCCATTATTCAATGTGTTTAATTAATATTTTCTGAAACCGTGCATCGAGACCAGCAAAATTAGCAAATGTTGTTTCAATTAAAGCCCAGACATAATTAGTTTTGACTAGTATGTATTTTTCCTAGCTGGAAGATGATTTTAGCTAATTTAACCAGCAACTTACTGGAGATTGTGAAAATTGAACTGAAGTTTCTATTGATCTGTAGAATCTACAACTAGGAAATGTGGAAATTAGCACACAGTGATACTCTGAGTTCTTTTCAGAAAAATGGAGATCATTTTTGCAAATCAGTCTTCTGAGTTGAGAAGTAAGAATAAAGAGCCTGCTGGAATCCTAATTTTCTATTGTCATCAGTGACACATTTCTTATATAATTCTGTGACTGTACTACTGCAATATGGGTGTTTTAATATTTAGTTAATTATACTTCCATGGTAGGAATTCACTGATAAATAGTTCTATCCTGTTTTAATAATTCCTATTCTCCCGAAAAGGCAAGGTTTTTCATTTTAACTGACCTAATTATTTCACCTGCTTTTTAGGTAGAACTCAAGTAGAAATTGTTATTCTTTAACTGTCTTTTTATAGATTCCTGAATATTTTAGATCACTTGATTTTATTTTGCTTTCATTTTAAGCTTTTTTTCTAAAGAGTTGCTTTACTTTAGCTGTTTGCTTTAAACAATAACAGTGAATATTTGACAGAAAATACAACTTTTGGGGGGAGGGGAAAATTTTCTGTTTAAAAAAATATATCTTTTCAAAAAAGAAAGAAACCACCTTTAATGAATCTAAACCTCAAACACAAGATATTTAAAAACATATTAACCCTTCATGTGAAGCTGCTGAAACTTGCTTTTGATCATTTTCCCTCTCATTCTGCAAGTTTCTTAGTACTCACATTGAGCTTTTTCTGCATAATAGGTAAATTATCTATTGTTTTTTCAATGTGTGTGTGTTTATACACACAGACACATTTCTTTTTCTATTTCATTTTTAAATTTGCTGGTAAACTAGAATGAAGAAAAAAATTGAGTTTTTAAAAATTTAACTCAAGCAGTTTTAAATATCAGATTGTTTTCAAGCAGATTCATGAAATCTTACCTAGAGAAAAGTCATAAAGTCATAGTTCCATTATTTTCTCATTGCTACATTTCATTTTAGAGTTGAACCAAGCTTTATATGATTAATATAGCTGCTTTTAGCTTTATGATGGTGGTTTATAACTTTCTTGGGGCAAAATATCAGCATTTACTTTTTAACCTCACCTTGTGCATTTCTATGCAGAGATCCCTGAAAGCCCCTTCTCCACGATGCTCTTTGTGCCTGGCTGCCTTCAAAGGTGGAGCCCAGCTATTTTGTTTTTTTTTTTTTAGGGTCAAAATTGTGTCATATTAGTCTCCACTTCACGGAGCCCCGCGTGCCACTCTCCGTCACATTTGTTCTCAGGCTGTGGAGCAGGCTCACGGGCAAAGACAATGAAAGGTCCCAGGACTGGAAACAGGGTGATGTGCACCTGTCTGAAAAGGTGATTTCTAAGGGAATTTTTCCCTGTCTAGTTGCACTTTAAGGTTGAGTGTCAACTTTGGAAAGAAAAGCAGCCTTTCATGGCAAAATTTTTAATCAATTGTTGTGATTCCAAGATATTAGTCCAAAGATGAAGTGCTCTTTGACTTAAGTACCCTGTGTAGGCAACATTGGACAGTGTGGGGCGTCTGCTGTCTCAGTGGGCCTGCTCTGCTCACCGAAGCCATAGAGGGCATTGCTTTGGTGGGGTTTCCACTGATTGTGAAAGAAAAAAAAAAAACAGGTAAATATTTTTTATTCAAAAGGTTATTTGACTCTATTCCTTTTAAAATTCAGTACTGTCATGTATTTTCACACTCTTAGGAGTACTATAATTCCCCTCTTCCATGATTTTGTGAGTGCGTGTATATGTGTATTTTTTAAATGCCAGTGTGAAAATGTGTGTAAGCTGACAATATTTGAGCCATAGGGTTAGTATGTGTGCCATGTAAACCTGCTTTAGATGTGTTTGTGCACTCATTAATATAGTTGAAAGAACTTTAGGACTCAATATTACATACTGACTGCTTTTTACTGAAGTCTGACTGTTTACATAGAACACTCCAATTTCTTTAAAGAAAATTACCTCAAGGATATCGGGCACTTGCTTGAGAAATTTTCAAGTGTGGAATGTCAGGTTTAGGACTCTAAATCAAACAACTCATGAATTAATAATTTATGGGGGTCTTTTTTTTTAGTACATTGACAAAGATTTTCATTATAGGATTTCTAGCTCAAACACTGTTCTGAGTGGTGCCTTCATGCCGTTATCTCAACCTAAATGCATAGTGTGTTTTAATGGCCCTCAACAGAATGGTTTTTCAAAAGTCGGCATCACCTCTTGACTCCAGGGGCTACCACACCACTGAACCCTAAAAGCAATAAACCATTCTTAAGGGCTTACTTTAAATTCGGCCCAACCTCCCCTCCCTGGTGCACGAATTCCACCAGCCTGTGCCATCTGAACAGAAGCTGAAAGCACAGAGCATTGTCGCCATGAAACAATGCTAGCCAGACTGGTTGTAGAAATAAGCGAGTCTGCAGGGCACCCCATAGAGAGCCATCAAACCGAGTCTGCTCTGGAGCTGCCTGGTAGATTGTGAACATTCGGAAATCAGTGCCGCATCTGCCGGTGGACCCTGTGCTTCTCTGAAACTCCCACCTGCCCTAATGCATCTGGGCAAGAGCTTTTCAGAATCCAGTTTCCTCCAGGATAAATTTAATATGTCTTGAGGGCCAGGCACAGGCAAATTGATTCTATCTCTGCACCAGAAGAACTCATCAACATCTGTAAGAACACAGATTTTCAACAACCCCAGGATTAGGGGATGCTATTTTGTAAAATATATTCCAAGCCTACTCCCTTCATACCTCATGCCAGCATGGCATTTTTTAATTAGGAAGTTGATTAAAAAGGGCATGGTAGACCACGGATGTATGGTCTCCTGGCATCCATCCAGCTGTTTGTTGTCTGGGTCGTGGAAAGCGTTGCTCATCACCAGTTGCAGGAGCGAGGGGGAAATGATTATAAGGGATGGCAAGAATGAAACTGTTCTGCTGTATGTGCTAATGGCAGCTGATTGTGGCTTCCTGTGAACCAGCCTTTCCTACAGATAGACTTGCTGACTTCCTTCATGAGACAGAGACCACTTGTACTTGGAAATAACTTGGAAATGTAGAAACTAGGTGTATTATTCAGTGGTTCTGATTTTTCAGTGATCAACAGGATAAGTCATAATGACTTGTATTTTCTGTATTCAAACCTGTTTTTGGCCTCATATCCTGTAGGCTGGCGTCAATGATGGTAGTTGTTCTAACAGTGTTGTGCTGTTTCTCTTCAAGAGTAACTGGTTTTTGCTTGTCTCCCCCACCCTCCAAGGGAAATTCCTTTCTTTGCTGGCTTTTTTTTTCTTTTTTTTTTTTCTAGGACTTAGAGTATATTTCACAGAAATAAAATTTTATGCCTAATTGTAGTGTTCCTATGGCTAGTGTGGTGTGAATGAGCACCATGTCATGAATTTAACCCTGTCCATCCCTCTCATCCTCTTACTGTATGAGCACTTTCGCAAGACAAAGCACACTAAAGAAAGTAGGAAAAAGACAGCCATGGATGAGGCTTGACACACTGCCAACACCAAGACCCTCATCCCCAGGGCAGAGGCTCTGGGGCTTTTACACGTCACTCTGGGAAGACACTCAGTGCTCAAGATCAGGGGACTATGTCTGCACCCCAGTGGGACTTTCCAGCCACTGGGGTAGCAGTTCTCCCTTTTGTTCTCCTTCCCTCTGAACCTACTTGCACATATATTAATTATTTTTAGATTCTGCATTTTAAAGTTTTCAGTGACAGACAAGCTGGAGTTAGCAACAATGGTTGGCAGGCAGGGGCTCTCCTCACTGTCCTCTTCTAGAAAGAAAATATCAAAGTCAATGCTGAAGAGAAAAGGCGAGACCCCTTAAGGTCAGCACCTCCCTTCCCTCTTAGTGCCATAACTGAATAATTAATACAATGTGCATATATTGAGTACCTACTATGTGCAGAGCCAAATGA
The DNA here is from genome assembly GCF_000001405.40 of Homo sapiens. NCBI lineage: Eukaryota > Metazoa > Chordata > Mammalia > Primates > Hominidae > Homo > Homo sapiens. Next base: position 2,319,850 of record NC_000002.12, on the reverse strand, counting down.
GATAGAACTGAGTAACAAATTTCTGCCCCACAAAAAGTCAGGTAATGTGTGTACTTGTGTGTGTGTGTGTGCATATATATATATATATATATGCATATTTCTGATAAAGGGTAATCATAAATACTTCTAGGTTTACTTTTCTTGAATGCATTTTGAAATAGATTAAAGCATTCTTATGACTTAAGAAGAAGAGTTGAGTGAAGCCTGAGGCCCCTTTCCTGGGTAATCAGCACTTCAGGAATCCAGGTGACCATTCCAAAACTCAGTACTCAACAGCATGGCATTGTATCACCATATTCTCTATTCAACGGCACGTATGATTTCAGTGTATTGACTTCTTACAAAATCAAGAGTCACACATTCTTGAAGGTTCTGGATAGTTAGCCCTCATCCATCATGGTTTCTAAGTACACGTTCCCTGTCCCCTTCCATTATGCAGAGTTCCAACGCAGCAAGCCTTTGCTTACCTGAGAATACATGAAACAGTAAACAGAATGCTGTTTGGAGGAAAGTGTTGGTAACTGTCAGGGGTCTGTTCTGCAGTTTCTGAGCTGTTGATACCAGAGATCAACAACAGAACATTTTGGATTTGGCATGGTGAAGCCCTAGGTTATTGACTGAGGGCCAACCTTCCAAGCAAACAGGAAGATCCCCTGTGTCATATTCACTTGTCTCTGCCTTCTCTGTGACATAAGCAGTCCTGCCCCAGTGCAGACAGCTGAAAGGGGCTGCCAACCTGGTTATCCACCGGCTCACCATTGGCTGCAGAAACATCAAAACAAGGAGGAGAGGAGAATTCAAATTAGAAACTGGTCATGTATTTCAGACAATTCCAATGACTATTTGCCACATTTCCCTTGAGTCAGACCTGATTGCATATACCTGCCTATTTAGAATTAAGAATTTTGCCATTACTCCCTGTAAAAGACAAGTTAGGTTAGAATTAGCATTTTATAGTCTCTCAGAGTATGGAAATTTAAGTAGCTCAGGCATCAAAAAGCCACATGTCTTTGCTTAAAAATGGAATTCTGAGATTATATAAAGTGAGAAGGGTTGGTTGATGCTAGGTTCTTGTATATAATAGGAAATAAAATCTTAATAATTTGCTCAGATAAATTTCAGATCAATTTCTTACTCGTCCTTTGTTTAATGTGGCACATTTGGTACTGAATTAACATGTGAAATTTTCCACTGAATTTGTATTCTGAATCTTCCAAGATGTTTTGCAATTCTTTTCACAGTCCTGAGAACAAGAATGGAGATAGTTTTGCTGCCCAAGTGTTTTTTTAGCTAATATGCTGTTCCTGGGATTATATTAGCTCAAAAACAATCCTTTTTCCTAAGAGATCCACATCCATGGTGCCAGCCAAGAAATGATGTATCTGCTCTCCAGGGACAAGTTAACACACCTGTTTACAAATGGGCAAAGCCACCTGTTCATCTAGTTTTAAAGTTAATGATCAAAACAGTATCTGATCCTAGGGGTTAGTAAGAGTGGAAAGGCAAATTTGTGAGACAACAGGTAACATCTCATTTTTATTACCTAACATTTCAATATATGTATATTAAATGTGGAATTAGTTAGAAAATACACTAAGCCTAAGATACATATTCCAAATGGTAAATATCAACATTCCAAGGATTAGATGCAGAAGTTGTGTAAGGAGTAGTAGAGTCAATGATAGTGTAAATTTCATGCTTTACATTTTCAAAATCCAACATGTGCAAATTGAATCATGTATTTTAGCCTCAAAGGCATAACTGAAGTGTGAGGCTTGCTGATTGGGCAGTCAGCATTGCAAAAACGGCCTCTATCAATAAAAAATCAGTAAACGATTTTCACACATCTCGTCCTTCCTCCTACAAGATCGAGTCTCTTTCCCTTCCTCCTTTGACTGGGGAGCATGTGGCTTGGGCCCTTATAACAACATGGCCTCCAATTTTTTGGCTTGCATTAGAGTCCCTCTTGGCACCTGCTCTTAGATTTTTAACTAAGGGCACGGTCAGGAGGATGATTACAAAATCATTTTACTGATTATTTTGGTCTCTTCCAAGAGTCAGAGAGACTTTACTCTGCCTGGTTTGGTTATATCAGCTAGGTTGCACATGTGCTATAAGTTTCTGACTAACTCTCCAAAATATTAAAAATGACCCATGACACAGGGAAACTTCATTTTTCCATTACTTTCCAGGAGGATATTTTTACCTAATATTAAACATTTTTTCATTTTTTATTTTTATTTTTTGTCTTTTTTAATTTTCTAAGTGAGATTTTCCACACATAGTCAACCTAGACAATGACATAAAGTCCCTATGAAGGAGCCCTGCATTGAGAAGACCTTCCTCCTAGGTAGCTCTCTAGAGAATTCGGAGATGACTTGAAACAAATGATTGCAGTTTTCTGCCTCTCGGTGCCCTTGTTTAAAGTGAGGGAGTCCCAGTTCTAACACTTGCTGACTGCGTGTTTGGCATCTTCACATGGACAGCAATCTCAAAGGCATTACTGTGTAACAGTAGCTGTCATGCTATCAGCAGGACCACACCGACGGGCCCCTTGTTTGTCACCATTTTGCAGAGACGTGCAAATGCAAACCCAACACCAGGAACCTGAGTATTTAGAGTAGATGCTATTGTTTGATTGATGAGTCTAATCTGGGACTACCAAGGTCAGGCAGGTTGACGTGAAATTCATCTCATCAAATGTTTCATGGTCATCCAGAAAAATCACTGGACTGGCCGGGCATGGTGGCTCGCACCTATAACCTCAGCACTTTGGGAGGCCAAGATGGGCGGATCACGAGGTCAGGAGATGGAGGCCATCCTGGCTAACACGGTTAAACTCCGTCTCTATTAAAAATCCAAAAAAAAAAAAATTGGCTGGGCATGGTGGTGGATGCCTGTAGTTCCAGCTACTTGGGAGGCTGAGGCAGGAGAATTGCTGGAACCCTGGAGGCGGAGATTGTAGTAAGCCGAGATCACGCCACTGCACTCCATCCTCGGTGACAGAGCGAGACTCTGTCTCGAAAAAAAAATAAATAAATAAAAGGAAAGAAAAGAAAAATCACTGGACCATGTGACACTCAGACACGTAACTGAAACCTAACTTTCCCTTAAGTTATTTTCTCTATTGATTTTATACATTTTGTAACCAGAATTTTATCTTACTTTACACAGAAATAATGCCAGCTGTAGGTGGTGGGTTGCCTTGACAATTCACAGAAACGTACGTGCCGTGGCAGCTCTGCAGTTACTACTTGGTTTCTCTCGAACCACCCTGGTGACTACATGAGTCTTCCTAACTTCTCAGGACGTAGGCCAGGGAGATATATGCCATTAACATGGCTTGGCATGATCCTTAAGGAAATAGCCCCATTGGCTTTATGTCTTACCTTTCTTTTTAAAGGCAGTATTTAGGGTATGCACAGGTTAAGCAGGAATGCATTTTTAGCAGCTAAAATCTATTATACAATCCATGTCCTACTTCTGGTCTCCTAGAGCAGAAGGCACCCAAAATGACAAGCAAGAACTCGTGGGTACAAATAAACACTAGGTTTTTACCATGGTAGCCGATGGCATGTTCTCACCAACTCAAAAGAGTGGGCCTGAATATTGTCCCCAAAATATCCCAGCGAAATAGAGAAGAACATCAGGCCCACAGTGGGAAAAGGAAAGGAGTCTGAGAAATCAAGCTCATGTTGAGGTTGGGCAGTGGTCTCTCTCCACGCCTGAATCTCAGACTCTTGACCGGAGTCAAAGGAGCCTTTCCAGGTCACTATTACCAAGGAGGCTCCACTGAGAAAATTCAAACACAGATATGTTTTATTTAACACAGCAACCCACTATTTCAAAAGTGCAAATTTCTACATGTGGAACTTTTCTCTAAGTATTGGGAAATGCTTCTCATATGAAAATAAATGGAGAGGTGTAATAAAAGAAAGGTAACTATGTATAGAATGAATGGGGCTGGAAAGAAAACAAATGCAGAAACATTTTTATCCATTTGAAATTAAAAACAGTAAAAAAATTTACAGGCAATAGAAATATGCTTAAGACATACAATTTGGCTATTTCTGATTCTTACTTAGAGTGAGATGTTGTAAACATAGACCCACTAGAAAACTCATACTTTTGGAAGATCATAAAATGAGTAATGTTAAGTGCCAAGGACCCATACTCTCTTGTACACAAATTCAAACTGTTGATAAATTATATTGAGAAACTAATAAAAACAGACTATCAGGAAGGCACCCTGAAAACAATAATAACAATGGCTAATACTTAGTGGGTACAGTAAATTTAGTGCTTTCCTCATGGGTTATATCACATAAAGCCCACAAAAATCTATAGGATTGTTATAGGCACCAGTATTATCTTCATAATCATAAAATAAGTAAACATATTCATTAAAGAGTTCAGGCTATCTAGGATATATACTGTTTAAGAAACCAAACCCCCAATACAAAGCTTTTCATAGACAGAGAATATATTGATGATTTTCTACATCCTCTATTTAATGCTTACTTTGGCTGCCGACAATGATTTTCAATAGACCAAACACTTATTTACTGAATGTCTGTAGGTGCAAATCTTAAGCCAGTGTAAGGCATAATCCTTGCCTTTAAGAACTGAAAATCCAGCTGAGGACCCAAGACATAACCAGAGAAAAGGTTATAATATCAACAATTCCCCCAAAAGTTTTCAGGGACAGTTGACACACTAACAGAAAAGTGCTGTGTGCTCTGGAGTTCCCCATGTGAGTCTCTGAAGTGTCCCTGAGATAGAAAGCACAGAGAAGCTTTACATTTAAGTCTTTAATCCATATTGAGTTAATTTTTGAATAAGATATAAGGAAGGGGTCCAGTTTCAATTTTCTGCATATGGCTAGCCAGTTTTCCTAGCACCATTTACTAAGTAGGGAATCCTTTCTCCATTGCTTGTTTTTGTCAGGTTTGTTGAAGATCAGATGGTTGTAGATGTGCAGTCTTATTTCTGAGATCTCTATTTTGTTCCATTGCTCTATGTGTCTGTTTCTGTACCAGTACCATACTGTTTTCATTACTGTAGCCTGGTAGTATAGTTTGAAGTTGGGTAGCATGATACCCCCAGCTTTGTTCTTTTTGCTTAGGATTGTCTTGAGGGAGGGAGAACATTGTGATAAATAGCTAATACATGTGGAGCTTAATACTTAGGTGATGGGTTGATAGGTTCAACAAACCATCATGGCACATGTTTACCTATGTAACAAATCTGCACATCCTGCACATGTATCCCAGAACTTAAAATTAAATTAAATTAAATTTTAAAAAAAGAAATCACAGAAGGGAAAGCCATTTGTCAGGGCCAGTGGCCACTAGAACTGGTGAACATGTGGAATCTGGGATGAGCCCTGAAAACCAGTTTAATTTGGATACATGGGGAAAAAGGACCAGGCCTTCTATATTACTATGAACATGGTATGTGTGGTAAATAGATGTAGTGTTCTGAATGGTCATTATTTAATGATATTTGATAGTGTGTAATTAAGTATTCATTCTGTTATATTACCTATGATTTGTATATGATTCACAGTGACATGGGGGGAGTTATACATAAATATATATGGCAGGCAGTTTCATTTGGAAAACTATTAATGGTTTGCTTTTTAAAAAGTTTCCAAAAATGCATATCATTTCATTCTATGATCTGAACATATGACAGTCCAGAAGTTTATTGGTTGGTGGAGTTTTGTTTCTTATTGAATGATTTACAAGATGATTAAAGAGTTACTTGATCTCATGGTACGCAAAAATAACTATAAGAACTGTCATAAAACAGCTAAAAACATTTAAGAAAATAATGAGAATAGTTATTTCTCCTTTGCTATGAAAATCACTATGTCCAAATAAGAACTTTTTTCTTTCTTCTTCACAGAGAGAGGTATGTTAGAAAAATAAACATATAATGGTCTCTAAACTAGAGTGAGGGTTGGGCCCCAGCGTTATTTATAAACGTATGTATCGAGATAAGTAAGCTATTTAATTCAGGTTTCAACATGGCTTTGGATTTAGTAAGAGCTCATGCTTCTAGACTAAGATCAAATTTAAACATGACTTGCAGAATGTATAGTGTCTCTAAAAGTAAGAGTATAAATCATATTTTACTTAAATTTTTTAGGAGAAGACCAAGACAGTATTATATGGTATATAGTATATAGCCACACCCTTGGCACTTTACTATAGTAGTGAATTCATCCCCCATTTCCTGTGTGATATCAAGTAGGGTCTTTCCCTATATTGAGTCTTTGAAGAGAAATGTTCTATCTTCCTCCTTATACCATTTCCATTAAAAAAAAAAACAGGTATTTTAAACTAATTTCAAACTAAGTAAAGCCTATTCAGAATGTGAGATTTGTTATCTGCTTTCAGATCCCACTTAAATTAACCAGGCATTATCTCTACTGAGCCCCAGTTCCTCTCCAGAGACTGACTCCTGAAGCCCTTGCTATACCCACCTCTGAGCATGGGTTAAGACAACCGGTAGTGGAGACAGCACATTTTAAGGGCCAGTGAACCGCTGATTGCACTTGATTTTCCAAGATTTTTTTTTTTTATCAGCTGAGATCTTCAGAAAGCAATGTACTGAATTTTATCAGCTTTACTTTTTATAAAGATGCTGTTACTATGCCAAGGACATGGAGAAAAAGCTCCTTCTTTCACCCTGCCTTAATTGATGTATTGAAGGTAGTGAATACACGATATGAATCCTTCAGTCATATATATTCTGAAAAGAACACAAATTGTAATTTCTTCAGCTCTAAGTTCATTGCTATTTTCATTCTTTTCTTCTTCTCCTCTGCCCAGGACACTGACAATTTTTGAATCCTCTGCTTCACTCATTCTTCAAACAATAGCCACTCAACCATCAGCTAATTCATCAAGTAGCCAAAGATACATTCCTCTCTCTCTGTGACAGCCTGCTGTTCTTCCTCTCTGCTTGCTTCTGGCCAGAACCCCCCTTTCTTCCCATTTCTCCACACCCCAGCTTACAATAGTCTTCTACCACCTCTTTTGAGTGAAATGTCCTTGATGCAGCAATGAATATGTTCTCCTCTGTCCTTGGTTAGCCTAATGCCGACTTTGTCTCTATCTCCATGGGATCCAAACATAAGAAGAGTGGGAATGGGGTAGAAAGCATAGAATGAAACTGTCAAAAAAGCTACTAGTGATGAAAATACTTAGTAAACCTCAGAAGTGTTATATTCTTTTTTTTCTCACTCTGTCACCCAGGCTGGAGTGCCATGGTGCAATCACAGCTCACTGCAAGCTCTTCCTCCCACGTTCAAGTAATCCTCCCACCTCAGCCTCCTGAGTAGCTGGGACTGCAGGTGCATGTCACCCCACCTGGCTAATTTTTGAATTTTTTTTATAGAGATGGGGTTTCACCATGTTGCCCAGGCTGGTCTTGAACTCCTGAGCTCGAGCGATCCACCTGTCTCGGCCTCTCAAAGTGCTAGGATTACAGTCATGAGCCACTACCCTGGGCCATAGAAGTGCATGCAGGTGAAAGAGAAAGGGAGAGATAGAGAATAAATTGTTTCTCAGTCACTAAGGAAAGGAAACAACCTCATCAGAAGCCAAAGACAGAGACACTGGGAAGGGAGGTGAACAGTCTGGTACCAAACATAAGCGGAACAGAATGGGGAGGGCTGGCCAAGGGAGCATGAGGAGCATCACACAGGCGACTTTGTTCTCCTTTCCACAAGTCCCCTTTCCAAACCCCAGTAGCTAGAGGTGCTGTGTAAAGTCTACAGCTGCAGTCTCTCTTCACTGTCACCCACAAATCTAGGCTTGTTTCCCCAACAGCAGCATTGCTGCACACACAATGTGACCTACAATGCTTGTCATTGAGTGTTATGATTCATTTGCACTCTGTGAGGTAGGTGGAGGACCTAAATGTGGCAAAGAAATGTATTTGGAATCCCAAACTGTTTGTGCATAACTTGTTAATACATTGAAGCCAGTGACACTACCTCATTTATGTTCCAGACAGCTGAAGTGACTGTTTCAAGTCACCGTAGGCCAAATATACAAGGTTTTGGGGTAAAACGAGGGCCTGGCGTGGGTGGGAACAGAGGCCTTGCATGCTCCCTTATTTGTTCCTGCTCCCCTATCTTGCAGCAATGTACATCTGTCCAAGAGCCAGCCATAGTTTGAGAAGAGAGATGGGGGGAGGACCGACCTTCTCTCCAAGCATGCACAACACTCCTGTTCACACGGAGGCCAACCTGAATGGTGCCCCCCAAAGTCGTGTGACAGAAGAGATCATTCTCATTCTTTAGATCACAGCCTCCGGTGCTTCATTTAATAACAGGAAGGTAGCTCCAGGGCTCTCAGCTTATATACCCATCTGAGACCAACATTATTGTACATCTCACATCTTGGGATCTCTTTCCAAGTTAGATAAGGAGAACTGGAGAATGTTTATTAGATAAGGCAGAGCAGTAGCCTGATCCAGGCCGCTCAGCTGCATCCTTGTCTAGATACATCAGCATAGAATATCCAAGTTGGACACACACATCTGTGTGATTTGGTCTGGAGGAAGATACAACATGGTTCGTGTCTTAATTCTCATGCATTGTCAGCTTGGGTTTGACATCAGCCTCCTTTTCTGACTCTTATGTGGTCTTGGTTATCAAACCTTTAAGTTTCTTACATGTCATTTGTAGTTTTGAAATCAAATCCTTGCCTGTGTTCAGATCCGGGGTCTGGAGGGACCACAAGAAACAGCTGAGACCTTGGGGTGTGGGGAATGGGTACAGTATCAAATGCCAGCACTTCAGGGTTGACCCAATTGGGGAAAGGCAGTCACAGATCCATGAAGCAGAATATTTCTTCATTTTTCTATTTGTTTGTTTTATATTTTCTTTGGTTGGATAGTTGGGTAAAGGAATGTTGTTGTGAGCCCTCTTTCTGCTGAAAGATATTTATGGAATTTTTCTTTCATTCATTTTTTCAACCAACTCTTTACCTTGTTAGATGCTAGGGATTATAAGAAAGTGAGTCACAACCGCCCGTGGGTCTCAGATATTTTATAGACCAACAGGGAAGGAAAGACAAATTTATAGATAACTGTATAATTGTTTGGACTTTGATAGAAGTGGTAAATATAAGTTAGGTGTTAAAATTTTCTGAAAGGAGGGAGACACAATGTCAAGCCAGGCTGGAGTGGGGATAACATATAAAAGATATTGTTTAAAATAATCTTTGAAGAAAACGTAGGGTTCTAGCAGCTAATTATAGTACAAAAGCTCATAGAAGAGAATACACATGGCTTCTCTAGGGAATGATTTAGAGGAAGTTTTTGATTAGACAACAGAGCATCAATAGAGATGTAGTAGAGAGTAGTATAGTGTACTGAAGTGTAGATGGAGTATAGATAAAGTATACTGAAGTGTAGATGGAGTATAGATAAAGTATACTGAAGTGTAGGTGGAGTTTAGATAGAGTATACTGAAGTGTAAGTGGAGTATGGGTAGAGTGTACTAAAGTATAAGTGGAGTATAGATAAAGAACAGAAAAGTGTAGGTGGAGTCTACATAGAGTGTTCTGATGTGTCAGTGAAGTATAGGTAGAGTATGCTGAAATGTAACTGGAGTATGGGTACAGTATACCAATGTATAGGTGGAGTATAGATAGAGTATACTGAAGTGTAGGTGGAGTATAGATAAAGTAAACTGAAGTGTAAGTGGAATATAGATAGAGTGTACTAAAGTGTAAGTGGAGTCTAGGTAGAGAACATAAAAGTGTAGGTGGAGTCTACATACAGTGTACTAACATGCCAGTGAAGTATACATAGAGTATATTGAAGTGTGAGTGGAGTATGGGTACAGTATACCAATGTGTAGGTGGAGTATAGATAGAGTATACTGAAGTGTAGGTGGAGTATAGATACAGTATACTGAAGTGTAAGTGGAGTATGGGTAGAGTGTGCTAAAGTGTAGGTGGAGTATAGGTAGAGAGCAGTAAAGCATAGGTGGAGTCTATATAGAGTATGCCGAAGTGCAAGTGGAGCATAGATAGGGTATACTAAAGTGTAGGTGGAGTATAGACAGAGCATACTGAAGTTGTATGTAGAGTATAGATAGAGTATACTGAAGTGTAGATGGAGTATAGGTAGAGAAGAGTAAAGTTTAGGTGAAGTAGAATGTACTGAAGTACAGGTGGAGTATGGGTAGAGTATATCAAAGTGTAGGTGGAGTGTAGATGATAGAGTACACTGAAGGTGGAGTATAGATAAAGTATACTGAAGTGTGGGTAGAGTATAGGTAGAGTATAATGAAGTGTAAGTGGAGTATGAGTAGAGTGTACTAAAGTGTAGATTGAGTATAGGTAGAGAACAGTAAAGTGTAGGTGGAGTCTATGTAGAGTATACCAAAGTGCAGATGAAGCATAGAGAAGGTATACTAAAGTGTAGGTGGAGGATAGACAGAGTATACTGAAGTGTAGATGGAGAATAGATAGAGTATACTGAAGTGTAGATAGAGTATAGATAGAGTATACTGAAGTGTAGGTGGAGTATAGGTAAAGTATACTGAAGTGTAGATGGAGTATAGATAGAGAACAGTAAAGTTTAGGTGGCATAGAATGTACTGAAGTGCAGGTGGAGTATGGGTAGAGTATACCTAAGTGTAGGTGGAGTATGGATAGAGTATGCTGAAGTGTAGGCAGAGTATGGTTAGAGTATATTGAAGTGGGTGGAGTATGAGTAGAGTACACTGAAGTGTAGATGGAGTACAGGTAGAGAAAAGTAATGTGTAGGTGAGGTCTACATAGAATGTACTGAAGGACAGGGGTAGTATAGGTAGAGTGTACTGAAGTGTAGGTGAAGTATAGGTAGAATATAATAAAGTGTAGGTGGAGTAAGGATAGAATGTACTGAAGTATAGGTGGGGTGCAGGTAGAGTATCCTGAAGCACAGGGAGAGTATAGATAGAATATGCTGAAGTGTAGGTGGGATATAGGTCGAATGTACTGAAGCATAGCTGGAGTAAAGGTAGAATATAGTAAAGTGTAGGTGAAATAGGGATACAATGTACTGAAGGTATGGGTAGAGTGTACTGAAGTGTAGGTAGAGTGTAGGTAGAATATAGTGAAGTGTAGGTAAGGTATAGATAGAGTATACTAAAGAGTAGGTAAGATATAGGTAGAGTGTACTGAAGTGTAGGTGAAGTATAGGTAGGTTATACGGAAGTATAAGTGGAGTATGGGTATAATGTACTGAAGTGTAAGTTAAGTATAGGTAGAGTATAGTGAAGTGTAGGTGGAGTATGGGTAGAATATACTGAAGTGTAGGCAAGGTATATGTAGAGTGTACTGAAGCATAGTTGGAGTATAGATAGAGTATATCAACTAAAGCATAGGTGGAATATAGGTAGAGTATACTGAAGTGTAGGTGAAGTATAGGTAGTTTATAGTGAAGTATAGGTGGAGTATGGGTACAATATACTGAAATGTAGGTGAAGTATAGGTAGAGTATAGTGAAGTGTAGGTGGAGTATGGGTAGAACGTACTGAAGTGTAGGCAAGGTATAGGTAGAGTGTACTGAAGCATAGGTGGAGTGTAGATAGAGTATACCGAAGCGTAGGTGGAGTATAGGTAGAGTGTACTGAAGTGTAGGTGAAGCATAGGTAGATTATAGTGAAGAGTAGGTGGAGTATGGGTAGAATGTGCTGAAGTGTAGGTAAAGTATACGTAGAGTGTACTGAAGTGTAGGTGGAGTATAGGTAGAGTGTACAGAAGTATAGATGAAGCATAGGTGGAGTATAGAGTATACTAAGGCATAGGTGGAGCATAGGTAGTGTACTGAAGCGTAGGTGGAGTGTAGGTAGAGTGTGCTGAAGCATAGGTGGAGTATAGGTGGAGTGTACTGAAGTGTACATGAAGTATAGGTGGAGTATAGATAGAGTGTACTGAAACATGGGTGGAGTATAGATAGAGTATACTGAAGCATAGGTGGAATATAGAGAGAGTACTGAAGTATAGGTGGAGTATAGATAGAGTGTACTGAAACATGGGTGGAGTATAGATAGAGTGTACTGAAGCATAGGTGGAATATAGAGAGAGTACTGAAGTGTAGGTAAGGTATAGATAGAATGTACTGAAACATGGGTGGAGTATAGATACAGTATGCTGAAGCATAGGTGGAGTATAGGTAGAGTGTACTGAAGTGTAGGTCCTGGAGATCACGAGTGTCATACTTACAATAGTCTCTATGCGATAAGTTTATGACTTTGTTCTCTCAATAATGTGAAATTACTGAAGGTTTTTGTATAGTTGAATGGCAAGGTCAGAGCTCTTCTTTGGGATAATTAGTCTGGCAGCCAATCAGTGGCTACTTCCTGCCAATTCTATCTCTAAAATTGTCCTCCCAAATGTTTTATCCCTGCCATTTCTTCCATCATTACTTTAGAGTAGCCTGTCATTATCTTCATTCTGGACTTTTAATAGTAGCCATGACGCCACACACCCCCACTATCACCCACACTCTTATAAATGAATTCTATATTCTGTTTTCAGATCAATTATTGCAAAGTACAGCTTTGGCGTTTTTCTGCTCAAACAATACCAGAGTCTTTCTATTTCATACAGAAATAAACCCAACACCTTACCCCACTCTTTGAGGTAATTCCCCGCCCATTCTCAAGCATGCTTTCTATCCCTGCATTATGCTCATCTATTTCAAATATTGCCGTGAGGACTGGGCCAAACACTATTCATTGTCTGTGCTTCGATGACTCACACTGTTACTTCTGCAATGTCTTTCTCTGGTGTCTATGCAAACACACCCTATTCACTCTTCAAAGTCTGGTTAAAATGCCACTTTTCCACATAGCCCTCTCTGTTCCTTCCAGATGAATTCTAGCCCTTTTCTTTTGAACTTTAGCAAGGTGTATTTTTATGATCCTTATCATTGTCTACCTTGCATTGATAGCTATTTATATAATGGTGTAACCTACCCTATGAGGCTATGAAACACTGTTCTTCATAGATGTATATTCCTATCAGAAATGTTGGACATAGTTGGTTCTCAGTAAATCTCTGTTGGTGTGAAGAGAGAATAGGGTCAGGACTGAATGTGGAACTCTCTTTAGTGCTGTTGCTGTGACCAGAGCACCATCATTTGAGGGACCTTCTGTCCTGGGTTTTCCAGGCATTCTGATTCACAGTGAGGTTACCTCTTCTGAAACTGGTGATCACCTCTCTTTGATCTGTGTTATGTAGGGTACCTCGATATTTGGAAATAGGCATGTTGCATTGCATGGAAAGATATTCCCAAGGCCCTTAGGACACATGAGTGCATGTGACCAGCTGTTTTGCTGCGTTTCTGGGAGACTTACTGTGACAATGATGTGGAATAAAGATTCCAGGAGCCAGACGTCCAGACTCCTATTTGAAAACCTTGGGATTCTACACACAGCATTTTACTTTACCTACTTATGTATGTTCTGTCTCATTCTATTTCCTTTGGACCATTTGATACCACTTAAAAAACAATAGTTGTGCATCTGCCTCTTGAGTTCAAGCAACTGAGAAGGACCCTTGAAAACACAAACTCCTGCAGCTTATTCACAGCAATCAATGTTAATGATGAGAGTGGAAGTTGAATTGAAATACTGGAGAGGAAGTCTTCCTTTTTCTCAATACTTTGTCCCACCAGGGCAAAACCTGGGATGAGGAAAAGAGTCTGGGCACAAAATTCCAGGAGTCTTCACACTCGGGTTCATGGCAAAGAAAGAAGCCTTTGACCTTGCTCCTGTTCCAGGATCAGAAATGTCACCATTCAGATTTTAAAATGAAGGGGTCATTGACATTAAGTGGGACAGATGAACACTGGCTCCCGAAGATGCCATTGTCCAGAAATAGGCAGCCATTTGGTATGTAATACGGTTTGGCTCTGTGTCCCCACCCAACTCTCATGTTGAACTGGAATCATCAGTGTTGGAGAGGGAGGTGATTGGATCATGGGGGCAGTTTCTCCCTTGCTGTTATTGTAAGTGAGTTCTCATGAGATCTGGTTGTTTGAAAGTGGGCCACACTTCCCACTTCACTCTTTCTCCCCTTCCACCACGTGAAGATGCACCTGCTTCCCCTTCACTCTTCCACCATGATAGTAAGTTTCTTGAGTCCTCCCCAGTCATGTATCCTGTACAGCCTGTGGAGCTGTGGTTCAATTAAACCTCTTTTCTTTATAAATTTCCCAGTCTCAGGTAGTTCTTTATAGCAGTGTGAGAATGGACTAACACAAGATTTTTGCTAGTTCTTTCTACAACAGTGATCTTAGTAGCAGGGCAGTCTCAGTGAAGTGCCTGCTTCTAAGGTAATAAGGAATCCTCCCTGTTTAATGATAATTTTTAAAACTAAAAGTTACTTTAGTATTTAATACAAGTTAACTTTTTTAGGGAAAAGAGATATTTAGATGTTGCACTTCATTTCTGTGTATTTTAAACCAAGTGTTGGTTCAGGGCACACATTTCAGCCATCAACTGTAGGAATGAATATAATCACCTTGGTCCAATATATTCCACTGTGAAATGTTCTTTGCATACACTGCCTGAAGTTTTTAACTGGAATTTGTAGTATCCTTTACATTAAATGCCTGGGCTTTTCTTCAATTGTGGTGAGTTATATAGGCTTTGCAGAGATTTGTGATGTAAGTGTGCCTCCTTCATAATCAATTTTACCTTATCTCCAAAGCAAGTCCAAATTCCCAGTATCAAAAAAATAAACTTAAAAAATGTTTTATTTAGCCCAATATAGTAAATAATAATCATTTTAATATATAAACAGTACAGGATAATTTTAATGAGATATCTTATACTTCTATGCAAACTTCAAATCTAAGTATGTATTGTACACTGAAAGTACATCTCAACTCAAACTGGCCACATTCCAGGGCTCAAGAGCCCATGTGGCTAGTGGCACCCACAAGACAGTTCATTCTTAGTGATCGTTTCTTCCTAATGCCATGCCTGCTCTTTCAGTATCTAGAAAGTACACTAGAGGGTACCCATATAAATATTTTAGTGAGATGCATTTTCCAGGGTTGGCAAACTATGGTCTGTATGCCAAATCCAGACAACTTGCTGTTTTTGTAAAGTTTTTCTGAAGCAGCCATGGCCATTCATTTGTGTGTTGCCTATGACTGGGCTTGAGTTGCAGAATACATATTTCCAAGGCTGCTAGACTTCCAGTGATACAGACAGAGCAGCAACCTGCTCCCTGAAACTTCACCACAAGCAAGCTAAAAAGCATTAAAAGATTAAGGAAGAAAAGAAAAGTTACCTAGTGCTCATTATTAAATAAAAATGAAGAGGATGATGAGGATCATTAGCACAGACAAGACACTTGGTGTGGACTATAGAGAGAGGTTTAAGTCATCGTCCTCACTTCAGAGTACAACTGATGTTACTCTTCCCCTGCTAAGCCCTGCCTATCCTTCAGAGGTCTGCCTCTTCTTATCCCAATAGCTAGCCTTATCTACACCACTCACTTACCTACCATAGTTACATAACTTTTCAGGCTACTCGCTAATGAATTTATTACTTTACCCAACACCAGACTGTATCCCCTGGAGAATGTGTATTATGAGTTCAGTGTGTTACGTTCCACCATATGGATTTTTCTGGTGATCTGTAGATACTTGTTTAATTTTTAGACGGATTTGGAATTTAAATAGTGAATTTGTTAATATTTTGTTAAATCCTGTACAGCTATAGCGTCTCACTTTATTTTTCAGTGTCTTTTTTGTTTCTTGTTTCCACATAATCCTTATTCAAATATTTGTTCTGGAATAAAGGGGTCTTCAAGAGACACTTCTAATGAGAAATACAAAACAGAAATCTTGGGATTGCTGACAACTACCCGCAGCTGGGACAACTGTGGTTAAGTCAGGACACTTCGATGTGACGTGTTGCTCGATGTTTTTCAATGTGTGCAGCAGAAGTCGGGGAAGATTCTTCCTTGAATGTCGCGTTACATACGTTGTCCTCTGAGAAGGAAGGTGGCTATCCTTGGCAATGGTTTCTATTATAACACAACTATGAACTGTGGTCATTTTCAGACAAGCTGCTTCCCTCCTCCCGGCCCTTGGTTTGTTTGGTGTTAAACGTCTCCTCTTGGTTTCTGTGGGTAAATGAATTGTTCTTAACACGGTGTCCTCTAAGATGTGTGCTCTATCCAGTGGGGCCTGCTGAGAACTGCCTGAACACAGTCCGTACGCTGCCTAAGTGCACTCCTGTGGCTAAAATAAATCTCAGCCCTAATGACTAGATCCCTCATCCTGACCCAAGCCTGATTAAGAGAGCAGGGAGACTCTGTAACAGTGACATGTGATTTTAAGATGTTTTGACTACATTGTCTTTGTATATGTTTGGAAAATAAGCATCAGTTGGTAGGAACTGGCTGACTCCTGGTCTGTACTGATAATGGTGCTGGGTGCCCTTGGGGTATAAAGGAAGAAGAGGGCATGACCTCAGTAAGAAGTAAAGGTGCCCCCGCGGAAGACAAGAGTTACAGGGCTCGGCCCGCCAAGCCGAGCATGCCGTGGAACCACGGCCACTCAAAGTTGAGCGATCCGCTTTTTCAACAAGTCTTTTGATACTGGACATTGCATCTCCACCTGTGATGCTGAACATTATGTTGATGAAGGTGATCGCCAGGATACAAGAAGATAATGTTTGTGAAACATAAAGAGTATCTGCAAACTATTACTATGATGACTACTATTATTCTTGTTGTTTTTTTTCCCATTTTTAACCTAGAATTAAAAATGGAGCCTGATTGACTACTCCCTGGCAAATAGTAGATGATGAGTAAATGTAAGTTGAATAATTTATTGAATGACTAAAAATAAATACATGTATTTATGCAAAAGGGACTCAATGTTGATTATGATCAAACATCATTCACAAATAGTACTAAAAGCCAAAAGTGCCTTGGCTTCTTCATTATAACAAAAATACTACTCCTTACCACAGTCAACTGGCCCCTCTCAAGGACTTTGTTCACGCATCAAACCATTACTGCACATTACCACGTCTACAATCTAATTAATAATTTGGGTTTCAGCAAAGTTTTAAATGAGACAAAAGAGCCCATTTAAATTCTCTAAGAGTTACAAGAATTTGATCAGGTTTCCACTTTTTGTTCGATCCCAGCCATTTGAGCGCACAAAGCTGTCTATCTTTCTAGGGACGGAAAGAACTCATTGTTCATTGTAAGCAGACATCCGCCACAGGAATGTGCATATATCAGCATATTTAGTGGCAGGCATAGTCATTGCAATTTGACATCTCAGTCAAGTTTTTCTTGAGATCTGGCAAAAATAGAAGTATAGCAACCCCTCCTCCTCACCATTTCAAAGGAAAAGTGGCCCCACATTTTCAAAGCTCACCTTATATAGATGAACAAACTCACATAAAAGAACAAACCAAAATCATACGATCACTTCTGTGCATTTTTAAATCGATTGGTCCAAAAATTTCTGAATATTTAGACAGCATTCACTGACTAATAAGTTAGGTAATTACTCATCTATCTACTAAAATTTTAGTCCAGAAGTTGAGCACCTGTTTGCAGAATGAATTTCTATTTCAATATTCTGCCATGTTTCACATTTGAGGAAATAATGGATGGATAATGGATATCAGTTTATTTTATTCTCTGTGTGTGCATTTTCTGCACCAGTGGTGAAGTGGACTTATTTTAATGTATTTTAAAGGTAATTGATCATGGCAATATTAGCCCATTGTGGATATCAATTTTGGAATAGAAAGAGGGCCATTGATGAGCCTGCCCTCCTTTATAGAGGTTGAATCATGCTTTCTTTATAGTTGTATCAACAAACTCTAACTTAGTGCCTGACACATAATATACAGCTAAAATTTTAGGTTTGATCAAATTCACATGAACTTAATATTTGGGCCCAGTAGTGAATCTCTATGATATGACCATATGTAAATTTTCTTCTTTTTTTTTTTTTTTTTTTTAGACAGACAGGGTCTCTGTTGCTCAGGCTGGAATGCAGTGATGCAAACGTAGCTCACTGCAGCCCTGATCTCCTGGGCTCAAGCAATTAGCCTCAGCCTCCTGAGTAGCTGGGACTACAGGCAGGTGCCATCATGCCTGGCTAACTTTTTAAATTTTTTAGTAGAGATGGGGTCTCACTATAATGCCCAGGCTGGTCTCGAACTCCTGGCCTCAAGTGATCCTACTGCCTCAGCCTCCCAAGTGCTAAGACTACAAGCATGAGCCATTGTGCCAGGCCCATATTTAAATTTTTAATTAAAGAAAACTTTTAGAATGGCTATATTGACCAATCCTTCCATTTTTGTTTTATTTTCTCTTATAACGAAATGCTGAGGGCAGTGCCTGACACATAATAAGGCTGAAAAAGGTGAGTTGAATGCTTTCTAATAAAGTGATGAAAAAATGAATGTGTCTACCTACGTATGTGAACTAAGGTATATAGGAGAGCAAAGAGAGTTTTCACCATGTCTGTTTCAAATAAAGTTTTCTTATATAGAGAGGAAATGAAACACAGAGAGAGGAAAAAAGACAGAGACAGAGGCAGGGAGAGTCTTGGAAACAAAGAAAAGAGAGAAGGTAGGGGAGGGTGAAACACTGAGCTGCACAAGGGCGAAGAGAAAAGTGCAAGGCTGGCACGGAGCGAAAGGTCTGGGTTTACAGAACACTCTTTGGATTAATGTGAACGTAGGCTTCCATGTTGTCTGCTGAGTGCAAGGCTGGCACAGAGCAAAAGGTCTGGGTTTACAGAACACTCGCTGGATTCATGTAAATGTAGGCTTCCATGTTGTCTACTGAGGATTGGAACAGAGAATGGGCCACAGCCAAGAGTGCTTGCTGTGACCAGTAGCTCCTGCAGGAGAGTGGGCGTTTTATGGCACAGCAAAAATCAGGACTTAGTTTTCCTGGTAGAGTAGAAGACGAGCACACAGCCTTCTTGATCTCTGCTCTGATGTCCACTAAGATGTGAAGAGAGATGCCCAGCTCCAGGCGGCTCTGTGAGTGTGTGAATCAAAGAAAGCTTGCACAGCCAACTCTATGAATCCGCTAAGAATCATCGCGTGGATTTGAGAACGTCCACTTCCCCTCTCCTCCCACACCACCAGAGGTTAGACAACTCAAAATGCGCATGGGACAAAGTTCTTTTAAAGCATCACCTTGCTGAGAAAAACGATACTTCAGTGTTACTATTATCATTGGGAAAACTGTGCTTCATTTATGGAGTATTGTTCAAGCTGGGAGAATGTGACTATGTAAATTACCTCAAGAAATTTGTGCCTCACACTAATGAGATGTAAAGAGAGAGATTCTCGCCATGTTCACAGTTTGTTGGACTTTGATAGGATCAGTTTGTGAACAATTGTGAATCACCTAAAACTGATTATACAAGCCTGAAAGCTGAGTATTAGAAACAATATACTGCTTTGCTTCCACTGTTTTCTATGAAACAAAGATATTAAAGTTATTTAGGTTACATGAGCATGCGATCTTCTCCATAGTAAGTAAAAGGAACTCCAGAGGCAATCAGAAGTCAAATGCCTCTACTCACATGTATCCAATTATATGTGTTTTCATAAACATATATTTATTTGAATGTCTTTAGGTTAGAACACATCAGTTTTACTTCCAGTAACTTATAAGTCATCATTAGGCACAAAGAAGACACATTTTCACAGGAGAATTTTGAGTTTATGTGTTTATGGAATCTTGTTTTGTGTTTTTTCCTGATATAAAGCCTTACTGCTCCATCCTAGTGTTTCATAATAATAAGCGAACTTGAGGCCAGGTTAAACAGCTTGGGAATGACTTCTAAGCCATTGATATACCAAATGGTATTGATTTTTTTTCCCTTTGCTTTAAAGTTAATTAAAAGGACACAATACATCAGTAGGCTGCCGGAAGATGATCTAGTGCCAAAGTAAGATTTGGGGATTGACAAGTGAAAGATTATGATGACATGGAAAAAGTTTGTAATGGGACTGGATGTTTCAAACAATCATTTTGGATAAAACTCTCCTCTCCTTTGTGAGTAAGAGTCTCTCACTGTCATTTTTAAGGATGGATCAGTCAGCACTAAGCAGAGCTGAAGAAAAACATGTGATTAACAGTTCGGGTGCTTGAGGTTTGCAATGTCCTGAATACTTGTGATTGCACTAGAAAGACATCCAGGAGTGTATCGTACTTAGTAAGCACTGAGAAAGGCTGTAAGAATGTCAGCAACCTCTAGTTGCGTATCTTGAGTGAAGGAGCAAATTTCCCTTTCCAAGCAAGAACCCCAACTCCCACCCTTGCCTCACACATCACCGTCCCAAACTAACTGGTGCACACTCAGGCTTCCAAATCACAAGCATGGCCTCCTGCCCACACCAGTTCGAACTGGATTCCTGGCTTGCCAGCCCGCAGGCATCCATGGGGCTCTCCAGTGACCTCTGACATGGGTCCCTGCTGGCGGCTCACATGGGCCGCTAGGCACCAGGAGGAGATCATGGCACAGGCTGCTGTCAGGTAGAGCCAGGATCTCCACATATTGATGGGTGCTCCCCCTTAGAGAAATTCTTAGTGCCAAGTCCCTGGAGAGGAACCCAAGCCTTTTGGTTTCATGAACAAGTCATGCCCCTGTTTAATAAACACAGAGTTGGCAGGGCTCGGTGGCTCACGCCTGTAATCCCAGCACTTTGGGAGGCCAAGGCGGATGGATCACCAGGTCAGGAGATCGAGACCATCCTGGCTAACATGGTGAAACCCTGTCTCTACTAAAAATACAGAAAATTAGCCAGGTGTGGTGGTGCACGCCTGTAGTCCCAGCTACTTGGGAAGCTGAGGCAGGAGAAGCACTTGAACCTGGGAAGCAGAGGTTGCAGTGAGCCGAGATCGTGCCACTGCACTCCAGCCTGGGGACACAGCGAGACACTGTCTCAAAAAATAATAATAATAAAATAAAAAAATAAACACAGAGTTACCGTGGAGAGAGTGAGAGGACTGTTCCTGAGCACTGCGGGACGTGTGGCAGCTCTGGCTAACTTCAGTGAGGGTGCCACCTCCCACGAGAACATGCCGTGTCTTGTGCTTCTTGACATTGGGACCAGGAAGCTGCTGGTGGCACAGGGACTTGTGGAAGCTCATGTTCCCCTGAATACAGATTATCTTATTTTACTCCTCCCAGAACTCAGGTGTGTGACTATGGATAACAGAATCTAAGGTATCTATTTTTCAAGGTATTATTTATCACATTACGTATTTATGTTTTTTAGAGAAAAGTTCACTTTGAATGAAAATGTATAAAAGTTTGTGCTGTTGTGGCCTGCTTCTTCATGGCATCTGGTAGATTATTATTGTAAAGCCATGTGTTAAACTAAAACATTCCTCCTGCTGGAATATTTCCCTGACAGATCCACACCAGAAGACTGTTCAGACTTTAAGCTTCATCGAATGGTCTCTCATTGCATCTCTTATCACATAAGTTTTCACTGTTTAAGTTTTTGTACTTCTAGCATGTCTCTTCAGAAGGGATATGATCCTGAGTGTCAGATCCAAATCCTCCCAGAATCTTCCACGTATATGGGCCTCAGAGGCCAACAACTGAGGCTCCTGGGAAATGTGTTTGTGTCAGTGGTTTGCAAATCAAGTGTTTCTGTGTTTATTTCAGCCCAAAAATAAAAGCCAGGCTTCATAAAAGCCAGGCTTAATCAGAGAACAAACTGGTCCTCACAGCATAGCTTTGTTAGGGCACCAGGGGCTGAGCAAGTTAAGGGTATTTTGTGGATGTTTGCTTCTCCTAGTTTCCTTCTAGAATTAACCCCAGCTGTGAAGCCAGCTTTCTTCTCAGGTCCTCGTTGTGTAACTTTAAGTGGCGTGGACGCAGAGAATGAAGCAGATGTGAGTAAGAATGAAGGGCTCAGGCATCCTCAATATCCCCTTTTGTGGGAGAGAGGGAGAGAGCAGAGTGGTTTTGCTTTACCAAAATTTGGGGCTCCTGTTTCTTTCCTCAGACGGCTCCCAAAGACATTCCCTTTATTTTCCTGGCTGTCCTCCCTCCCTGGGAGGGCAGAAGGAGGAGGGCAATGCTTCATGCTGTAGAAAGGACACATTTGTTCTTCCTTGAGCAGTCCCTGGAACCTTCTGGAGTGAATGCCTTTGAGCATCCTGAGTGGCACATGCAACTGTTGGCACGGCCAAGGGGAGAGTGGAGACAGGCATGAAGCATTTGAATGGTAGGAATCTTAAAATCTGTCTCTGGGGGTTTTATGTATGAAATAAGTATGAACGCCATGATCTGTCTGCAGAAAAGCATGTATTTGGTGGGAATCTTGTGTACTGGTAGTAGAGAGCAGGTTTCTGCCAGGTTTCAAAGCACTAACCCCAGGGCCTCCTCCTGGTGGGCCTGGGATGGGCCTGGCTTACGCCCCTGTGCAGGTGTCCCATCCACCCCACACACGGTCCCCTGTCATGCCATCCTGTGGTTAGGAATGTTCAAATGCAATTTCATGATGCTTCCTACTTGAGCTGAGCAGGGAGAAATGACTCAAATCAGAAATCATTTTCAAAACCTCCGAGGGTCACGACTTCACTGAGAAGCCTTGGAAGCAGAGACTCAGAGCGGCGCCACGGGTGAGGGTTGTGTGCATTCTATGTCGCAAAGGCGGGAGGTCCCCTGATACTTGTGTTGTTGCTGGCCCTCCCTTGAAGCAGGGACATTGCAGGTGGTTCCAGTTTGCCCTGAAGGGTCCTCTGGCTTCCTGCAGAGAAACCTGGGAAGGCAGGTGGTTCCAATTGGCCCCGAAAGGTCCTCCAGCTTCCTGCAGAGAAACCTGGGAAGGGGGTGTTGGCCCAGCTGCTGTTGGCACTGCCCTGGGACTAAAGTGAGCATCATTTGTTTTCTGTGCACCAGGGGCATTGCTATGAGGAGGCTCTGGGGTGCTGGCCAGCCCTGCACACACCGGTGAGGCCTGGTGATGACCTGCCCACAAAGAGGCAAGGCTTACTCCTGACGCAGTGCACTGTATGGTGTCTCCAGGCCGAGACCATCCACCAGCTTCTCTTTACTAGAGGGACGCATGGTGCCCTGGGGCAGCAGGAGGTGGCACCCGTTCTTGAAGTGTCTCTCCTTTCTGTGTCCCCACCGGGCCTGAGGTACCACAGACAGAGTCCCACACGCCCCTTTCTCACTCTCACTCCCCCTCTCTCTTCTCCTGGAGTTAATGACATTAGCCAGACAGCATTTCTAGAAAAAAACAAAACATCTGCTCCACTGCTGAAATGCTAAGATGGAAATAAAAAGCATATACCATGCCCATACACAAAAATATCTCGATAGTAATTACAAAGCTTTTGTTTATATTTTTTAATTTCTTGAATAAAAGGAAAAACCCTCAAAATGGAAATAGTTGTCATTGTGAATCACATTTTTTCTCTTAAAAAAAAATAAATGATCTAAATGGGACTAGTGACACTTTACCAAACAGGCCAAGCATTGTTTAATAGAGAATTGGCCTCTTTGGAATCAATTTCTTCTTCCACTTGTTTTAAAAGGCACTCTTTCCTCTTGCCTCTTAAATAGCTTTTGTTTCAGGAGCAGTGACAGGAGGAAGTTTAGCTGCACCTCAGGTGACTTTTATAGCAAAGCTTCTCAACCACCCAGGGTTTCCTTTTGACTGGCTCTGGCTTGGTTTATAGGCACCTCCTTGAAAAATAGAATAAAATTGTCTATATTTTCTATATTTATCCTACTGAGTTTTTAAAATGTAACTCCGCTCTTGGGTTGCTTGATTGTATGTATTTGGGTTGCCAGCCTTTGGAATCTCTCTCTCTCTGGCTTTATTCTTCTCTCTCTTTCTCTACCTCTCTCTCCTCCCCCCCAACCTCTCTCTCTCTAGCTTTATTATTCTCTCTCTTTCTCTGCTTTTATTCCTCTGCCTCTCTCCCTCTGTCTCTCTCTGCTACCTCCCGTCCCCTCTCTCTCTGTCTACATCCTCTGTCTCTCTCTCTCTCTCTCTCTCTGTCTGTCTCTCTATCTCTCTCTCTGTCTGTCTGTCTGTCTCTCTCTCTCTGTCTGTCTGTCTCTCTATCTCTCTCTCTGTCTGTCTGTCTCTCTCTCTCTCTCTCTGTCTGTCTCTCTCTCTCTCTCTGTCTGTCTGTCTCTCTATCTCTCTCTCTGTCTGTCTGTCTCTCTCTCTCTCTCTGTCTGTCTCTCTCTCTGTCTGTCTGTCTCTCTCTCTCTCTCTCTGTCTGTCTGTCTCTCTCTCTCTCTCTCTATCTTTCTCTGCACCTCCTCTGCCCCCACCCCCACACTCTCCACATTCCCTTTGGGTTGGTTTTCCATCTCCCATAATGCAAAGCACTGATGCTCAGGGTGAACCTCTTGCCACAGCTGGGTGGCAGAAAAAGCTGTCTGGCTCTATGGCCTCACAGCATAGAATTTACTGAGTGGACAGCACCCAGCAGAGGAAATGTTTCTCAGGAGACCTCCTGTTCCAGGTGTATTGCCCTTGTCCCTGTCCCTGGCTTCAATGCAGTGTGATACCAGTTTCCTCTGCCTGGAACGCCCTTCCTCATCTGTCTCTTCCCATCAGATCACACTCGGGCTACAGAGCTCTGATCCTGGCTCCTCTGTCTCAGCTTCCTCTTTCCTGAGCTCCTATCACATCTGCTCTGAAGCCTCAGCACGCTTTAGTATCACAGACTGTGATCAGGAAAGGCGGATCATAGATTTCACACCATCCAGCATCTCTCCTAATTCAGGGATTCTCCGGAAATCTTGACTGGTGTTCACCTGCTGATCCGGTCTCTGCCTGAATACCTAGATTGAAGGGGAGATCACCACCTAAAAAAAAAAGAACATCACTTTTAACTGCACGTTATTGATCTCATTTATGCACATTGATTGCTTCTCCACCCGGAATGTTAGCTTCTTGCGGACAGGGACTATTGTATAATATAATGTAGTATAATGTCTTCTACAATACCCTGCCCAAGTCTTTGCACACACTATTGCTTTCAACAGATACTTAATAATTGATTTCTTCTACAAGGTAAATGGTGAAATGAGCATCCGCTGACACTTTAATAATGGGCTGAATGTTTATTCCTAGTTACATGTGACTTAGATACCCTCAGCCTCCCCAGTAAAAAGAACAGGCAGAAAGTGAAGCAGATTTAACTCAGTTTTGGTCTCATGTGTAGAATGAGGTAATTTCAACTTCACTGTCTGCCCTCTCTTTCCTCCTTCCGTTCATATCTCGAATGCAATGCAGTCTCCAGCATGTGTTCAGTGGCTTAAGCTGAGCCTTGCTGGGCTGCCTGGCCTCAGATGAACTGCATCAGGCGCGGGCATCAGACGCGGCTTCTGGGTGATGCTGTGCTGAGCTCAAGTCAAAATTCATCTGATCTCAGTCCTTGCCAACTCTCTTCCCCCATTCTTTCTAAATTGAAACCATCCTAAGATATGCAACAAGGACAGCCAGGCTTTTGTTGTGCTTGGGGCCTGGCATAAGTTGAGAGGATGCCAGGGGCTCCCCTCACCACAGGGCTCCCCTCAGATGGCCAGTTGTTTTCTAAGCAGAGTCAAGTGACCGGGGCACCGCCCGTGAGTCGCTAACCGTCACCTGTGACCAACCATGCTTGTCTCTCGGCCATTCTCATGTTCCTCATTCCTCAGGGTCTGAGCTGTCACCATAATTTAATATTTTACACTGATAGATGAAGATATCTTTTAGAACCCAGATTTTTTTTCTCTTCCTCCTTACTCTCCTCTGTATTCACCCCACTACTTTTTAAAGCAAGACCATCCAATTCCACTGAAAGCGGGGGGCCCTGTCCTGCCCCCCGTGCTGGTGGCCGTTGCCTTCCCATGGCTGATGCTATCCAGAAGCATCCCTCAGAGGCGCGCCAAGCACGGAGCAGGCTGGCGTTCTTGGAACTGGGCATGAACAAGCCTGAGTTCCTTCCAAGGATCTCGTCCCACATCTTTCCTTCTGCTTTGTGCATTTTCAAAAACGTCTGACTCCAGAGGAGCCGGGAGGAGGGAGGGGGCCGGTCTTGCACCTGGGGGTTGGTGTCCACCTCCTGCCCCAGGCCGAGGGGCAGGTCCTTCCCAGAAGGGCCAGGGCAGCCTCAGGCGGAAGCTTTGGCCCTGCGCACCTAAGGGACACAGACACACCATCTTATACCAGTTACTACTTCCTCAGGGGTGTGTTTTGTTCCCCGGGGACCCCCTGAGGCCCCTCACCTGGAAGCCTTCGTTCTTCTAAGTTCCACCTCCTTAGCTCCGAGGGAAGCCCAGCTCCACCTGTGTGGGAACAGTGCTCACCATCACCCTCCACGCCCTGCTCCTGCAGATCTGCCTCTAACCAAGGGCGCTCTGTCCTCAAGGAGCACAGTCAGCGTGGGGGAATGGGGAATGAGGTCCTCTCTCTATCTGTAGTACCTGGGCACTGGGGACGGAGCTCTGAAGCCCTCACTCTTCCTTTTTCCTTAGTGCACTTGGCAGGTTCCCCTAAGAATACACAGGCATTTTCTTTCCCTCCTCGGTGCTGTTCTTGTTCTTTTTCTTATCCCTCAGCCCTTTGGATTACATAGAAGATGGACACAGCTGCCGTAGTAAAGGCCCCATGAGGCCAGTGGCACCTGATGTCAACGACAGTTTTGAGGCTTTACTTCCCCGAGCTGCTAAGCTGGGACCCTCTGGCTCCAGATGCCTCCAGGGTGGCTGTCTTGGCCCCAGATCCAGAGCCTCTATCTTCTTGATCCTGTCTCTATGACTTCAGATTTTCTCTGTAAGCAGAACTTGCAAATGAAACATAAACATGCAAGACAGAGGAAAATGTTCTTTTGCAGAGTGTGTTTCAGGGAAAAGAGCGTGCCTTGGTTCCCCGTCTCACCGATTTCCACAGATCCGTTCCTCTCCTATCCCACTCTCCTTATCTCAAATGTCTTTCTGATTGCTCTGTGTACAGACTTGGGGTTAAAATAAATTAGGGAGAATAGTTTGTCAGATACAGTTTATCCAATACGTCTGATTCCTTGGAAGCAAACTTGCTTGTGATATCAGGATGTAGAACCACTTCGTCTTTTTTAAATTTACAAATACAAACTTTGCTCTCTGTGTGACTTGAGCACAGTGTTCTCAATGTGGCTTGTGGAGGCTGGGACCCTGAGGGCCACACAGACGGCTATGTCTGTGCACCTGTCCCGGCAGGGCCCCGCGCTGAGCCCCAACAGGGATGGGAGGCTGTCCCCGAGTGCTGACGAACCACCTCTGGGTTTGCAGTGTCCTGTCCAGAAACCGTGTCACTGCTGAGGGCAATATGGAGTCCTGACATCCACAAGAAAATAAAAAATAGCAAAGGAAATCGAAGTGGGGAATTTTCCCAACAGTTCTTTCCATAGCCAACCGTAAGTCTTTTGTGCATTTCACAAGGACTTTTTCTCCAATTTCAGGTTTGTTTTCATGTAACGTTTGGGAATAGAATTGCTATCCCAAACCAAGGAGGCCGCAGGCTGGCCTGAGCGGCACCGACTCAGCTTCAGGAGAGGCTGAGCAGGGCAGCCTTCAGTCTTTCCTGAGCCACGGACCCCAGAGCTGCAGGCCCCTGCGCCCGCCCCCAGTCACTCTGCAGGAATTCTTGCATCTGAGGATAGTAGAGCCTTCACCTGCCCTGCTCGCTGCCCCTTTTGCCTGGGAAGATTCCTTCCTTCCCGCTCCACACCAACAGAGGGAAGCAGAGCCCACGCAGCTGAGGCCCAGGCCCAGAGAGCAGCGCCCTGGATGGGCAGTCGGGCCCCACCCGCTCCTCTCAGCCCGGGCACAGCCACCCGCCCCGCCCTGCACCTGCGGGCTGTCGAGCGCTCCTCTGCACTCTTAGAATCGCACTCTGACGTCTCGTGAGATGCTCCAGAGAAAGCTAGGCTGTGAATAGAAATGCTAAAAATTATCAAATACTCTGTGAGACAGTGACTTTTAGGTTCTTTTCAGACCCGGTCATGTGGGCTCCTGTAATGCAAGAGCTGGCACCTGGGGGCACAGGGTGCGTGGGTCGGGGAGCCAGGCTGGCTCGGCGCCTGCACGTGGCAAGGGAAGCTGCTGTCCACCTGCAACCGCACCCAGCGTACGCGGTGCAGAACCCGACTTTCCACACAGGCCACGGCGCCGGGACTCAGAACCCATCACGCACCGCGTCTCCTTAGAACTGAGCGGCTTCCTCTTGTTTGTCCCATTAGCAAATATGTCGCTTTTGATTTTCACCTTCCAGTTTGTGTGATGAGCTTCTTCAGGACAAAGACCTGGACACTTTCCTGTTGGCCAGTCTCCTGCCTCCCATCCCCAAGAGTCACCTCTTCCATTTCCGCGAGGAGTAAATGCCTGTAGATTAAATCTTCTTCTGAAGTCATGGGCAGGCATGGGGCTTCAGTTCCAGCTCCAACCTGTAAAATCATGGGCTTCTCTAGCTAATTGTCCTGAGCCCAGAACATTTTCATTTTATATCATAAAGAGATTTAAGCTCAAATCACAAATCACTGGTTTCATAGTCAGGAGGCAGGAAGGCTGTACGTTGGCTTTGTAGCTAAAACCCAGAATCACAACCCTTTTTTCCTGATTTTTTTCATCATTCTCGCTTCTTAGGCTGCTTCTGTGCTTTGTCTCAGGGTTCTCAGCATAGGAGAATTTAATGTTGCTCTGAGTTATTCCTTAAGTAAAAACATAATTTATACTGACTTTCATTTTTTTTTTTTACCTAGCCTTTCCCTTACATAATCTAAATTGATTTTTATAATGGCCCTAGAAGGTGAGTGGGCTGGTGTTGTCAATGTTTTATCTTTTTCCTCTTTATCTAATGGAGGAAGTGGTTGTGTTTTGAAGTTCATACAGCTAAGAACTAGCAGAATAGCAATTCAAATCTGGATTTTCTTTTGCTAGTTCTGGGGATTTCTTTTGAGCCAGTGTTTCTTAGCCCTGGCCACACATCAGGATCACCAGGGGACCTTAAAAAAAATACTGATGCCTGGGCCTCACCCCAGACTAATTGGATCAGTGTCTCTGCAGGCAGGGGTCAGTGCCTTTCCAAAGGTCGCAGGTAATTGCAATATGCAACCAGGTCCAGGAACCACATCTTTAAACCATGTTGTTTTCCTGCCTCTACGTCAGAGCATGTGTGTGTATGTGTGGACTGGGGGCATGGATGCTAACAGAATGCTGTCATTTTAACCTGTAGTTCTTAAACTTGGCTGGCACATGTGATGAGCAATTAAGTTTTAATGACTCTTTTTCTTCATTGTTATCTTTATGCCCACACCAGTGTTGTATTTCCTTAAAATGTAAGTCCTTTAATTATACAAACTGTGTGAGTATAACATGTTCTTGCTATTATATGGCATGTGATAAAGCACACAGCACGCTAGTCTTCGAGATGAGGTCATCCAGCGACTTCAGACTTGCGCAAATAAAGAACCTTTTAAAAAACGAAAGCAGACGAAGGCCTCGCTCCTCAGATGGAAGTGGAAGCCAGGGCTCTGGGCCTTCCCCAGCTCCCTCTCCTTGCAGATAAACGTTTGCTCCATCAGAGGTTGGGGGTGACCATGGGACTCTCAGATATACAGAGCACAGTTCCAAGACAAGGTTCTAGACCTCAATCTAGAAATTCTAACTTTCTCTACTGCTTCTCTGCCCATGTCCTGCAATTTGTGGCTGTGTGGCTGACATCATGAGCTCATGTGGCAGCGTTGCGATGCTGAGTTGCCAAGGCCAGTGTCAGAACATAAATACCCAGACTCCCACTGGGGATCCCAGCCCTGCTATGGGGAGGTCTTCCCCAGGGAGCACATTTCCTCTCAGCATACTCTCCTCTCCTTCTTCCATCTCCTGGGATCTGCCTCCTGGGAACCTGCCCTTGCTGCCAGTGCTGAAGTGAAGCCCTGTTTATGCCATGACACAGGTGAACTGGAGTTTGGGGATTTATGACTGTGGCTATTAATTGGATCCACATCTAAATCACTTAAAATAATACTAAGAAACTCACCTAACGTCTCAGATATCAAATGCTTTAAAGTATCAGCCATGCTCTCACCCCAGTTAGAGAGGATTTTGGTTCTAGTCCACATAGCCTGTTTTTATTCCATGGGTGGTACCAGTGAGGGGGAGTTAACATTTGTTTGCAGAAGATCAAGCAGTGGTACAAGGGCTCTTCTTATTTCCGTCTTATGGAAGGATGACTGTTCAAGTGAACACAGCGATTTGCAGGTTGTTATGTTTTTTCATTATTGTTACTAGAGGCTGTTGCTTTATGCTTACATATTTGCAGATATTTTTTATGTAAGCCCAGCTTTTCTATAAGATATATGTAAAAATTAGCTCACTATATGAAACTAGACAGGCCTGAAAAAATGATAATCAGCAAATTAAAAATTGTTTTTAATTAAGAGTATGAACCACTATACTACTAGTATGCTTGAAATATGGGGTAAAATCATAAAAGCCTAAAAATTATAAATAGGTAAGCTTGAGTACATTTAAAGAAAGCTTTTTGGCCAACATGCAATAAAACTTCAACGTATCTGGCAGTATGATTAACAGAGGGTATTCCCACCCTAGCCAGACAGGGCCACCTACTGGGATTTTCTCAGGGTTAAGGGACAGGCATCACCCTCTGTTGTCTTCAGTCTTACTCTGCTGTTAGTGGAGGATTCTGTCTGCCCAGACAAGTGTCATCGTGGGCTCCGTTTGGTGATAAGGAATCTTGACCTACCTCTGACATCATGAGCTGCAGAAGCCTGCAGGAAAGCTACTTAACATGCAAGCCTGTGGCTTATATTGAAGGGTAGAACATTTTTAACAGGATAATTATCTTGGAGAAAATAACTTTTATTATTAAGTAACTTTGAGTTAAGAAGCTATCGATTTGAAGAAGAATATAAGCCTGGCATTCCTGAGACTGAATTGAATGGGTTATATTGTTCTCTAGCAAAGAGGTGTTCAAGCTGAACATGTGTATGTGGCTCTAGTCTGATAAAATTCCAAAGTGTAGCTCATTGTAAAATTAACCTGATAACTGATACTCTAGATCAGCACTGTCTAATATAAATATAATGCAAGTGGAAGAATTACATATGTGATATTACATTTTCCAGTAAATGTTAAACATAATTAAAAGAACCAGATGGAATTAATTTTAATAATATAGCTATCTAACCTAAATATGATAATATCAACAAGCAATCAATACATAATGATCAATGAGATATTTTACATTGTTTTCATGCTGTGACCAAATCTTTTGTGTATTTTACCTTTACGGCACATTTCCAGGTAAACTGCACATGAGGCTGGTGCACGCCCTGCTCTTTGAATGGATGTGGAGGACCCAGATAATGAGAAACACTTTGCTCAGCTCTTCTCAATACTTTGCTCTGTCTAGGCATATGATGATCTAATTTTTTTAAAGTTCCTTTTAATTGCATTGAGGTTTGAGTGTGGTATTTAAGAGCGCTTGCTGAGAAATTAGATGATCAGGGTTCAAATCCAACTCTACTATTGACAAACTAAGTGACGTTAGGCCAGTGATGTATCTTCCCAGGGCCTCATTTCTGTGATCTGTAAAACTGATGTTGTCCTGTATCTACCTGGTCGTGAGGATTAAATGACAATTCCTATTCAGTACTTGGCACATAGTCCCTACTTTTAGGTCATTATAAATATATCTTCCCTGTCTCTAGAAATGAACTAGAGTGTGTCAGGAAATGAGACCAGATGATCTATCTAGGGATAAATCTGATGTCTGTCTGAAGAAGCCAAAAAAGGGGGTGAGTAAATATTCTAGAATGATGTGTGTACCCCACCAGAGAGTTCTTAATGTAAGGCCTTGTGTTTAGCTATTACTCTACTTAAATCTCCAGTAGGTTAAATTCCAAATTTCAAACTGAGCTGTAGAGTTGGTCGGGCTTAATAGAGTTTGAGTTTCATTGCTATTACAATTTCCATGGCAAGGCAAGTGCTTCTCTTCTGCCTAAAACGTGGTGATATCCACACAGAAATAACTACAACTTTGTTTAAAAGACTATATGAAATAACTATTAATTAACTAGAATATCCATATGAATTTAAAAGACCAAGCTCTTACTGAGAAATAAAGCTGGATTTCAGAGGTCAAAAGGAGAGTCTTAAAGATGATCTAATCCATTATCCTCATTTTGCAAATGAGAAAGTCACTCTGTGCTCCTGAAATTGCCACTTTCCCATCTTCAGTAAATACAGTATTTATATTTTTTTCAACAATCTATTTTTTAAAAAAGACTGGGACTGACTCATGCTAGCTGATTTTCTGTAAATCACTTACTTTTGAGTATTTGAACAGGTCTTACGTCCAGAATTTTGCACCAGGATGCTGGCGATGCTTAACAAAATGTTTGAAAGATAATGGTCCTGACATTAAATAACTTCGTCTAGTCAATTTTTTTCAACACTTAAAAATTTAATACCTAAAGTCTTGTAAGCTCCTTGAGGATTATCTGAATTTTTAAAAAGGATTCAAATACTTTTTTTTTTCAGACGGAGTTTCGCTCTTGTTGCCCAGGTTGGAGTGCAAAGGCACGACCTCTGCTCACGCAACCTCTGCCTCCCAGGTTCAAGCTATTCTCCTGCCTCAGCCTCCAGAGTAGCTGGTATTACAGGCATGCACCACCACGCCTGGCTAATTTTCTATTTTTAGTAGAGACCGGGTTTCTCCATGTTGGTCAGACTGGTCTCGAACTCCCGACCTCAGGTGATCCGCCTGCCTTGGCCTCAAAGCAATGGCAATTTTAGATGAAATCTGTGTGTGTGTTTGTCTGTGTGTGTGTCTGTGTGTATCTGTGTCTCCCTCTCTCAGGTGATGATAACAGAATGGGAAATAGAACCTAGTGACATCGCTTTGACACTAAGTCTCTTCCACTCCCTGCCTTCGTGATTTCGCGCACCCTTCCCGCCTTCTGCAGGTGGCCTTTCAAGTGCAGGTGGGTGGGGAGGGAAGCCTGCTGTGTCCTGGCATAGTTCTCCAAAGCCAATGCCTGGTGCTTTAGGTAGATGTGTTGCTGGCACCCTTGACCACAGATGATCTCTCCTGCTGTGTCCAAGTGTAGCAAACCATGTGAGGCCACTTAAACCCATTAGACCATTTATTATTGACTCGCAATAGGCAAGTACACTTTAACCCGAGTAGAAACTAAATTTATTATCCTTTTCAGTTGTAAAGTAAAATCCGAAGACCAGACATTCTCATAAAAGTTTACTAATGGGTTCTATGTTTTCTTTTTTTCAATTTGTTAGAAATCATTCGAAACTTGATATCTGCATTACTTCTTTTAAAAGTGTACATATATTTCATTTGATTTTAAATGATCTAAGATGCCCTCCACATTTTAGTAATGAATGACATTGTCCTGGAAGAGTCATCAATTCTATCTGCAAAAGAGAAAGTTTCTGTGTGTGAGCCAAAGCATGTCACAAATGCTCAATGCTTCCTTTTAGAAGAATGAAGAACAGGCCGGGTGTGGTAATCCCATGCCTGTAATCCCAGCACATTGGGAGGCTGAGGTCGGTGGATCACGAGGTCAGGAGTTCAAGACCAGCCTGACCAACATGGTGAAACCCCGTCTCTACTAAAAATACAAAAATTAGCCGGGGGTGGTGGCACACGCCAGTATTCCTAGCTACTCACAAGGCTGAGGCAGGAGTATCACTTGAACCTGGAAGGCAGAGGTTGCAGTGAGCTGAGATCACGCCACTGCACTCCAGCCTGGGTGACAGAGTGACAGTCCATCTCACAAAAAAAAAGGAAGAAGAAGAAGAAGAGTGAAGAACAAAGAATTGGAGGATTGTTTGGAGGGTCTGAGAAACTGGAGGCTAGCCTGCAGCAGCAGAAAGCACCCTCGAGTTGGGAAGAGCTGGTTTTGAACCCCTGCTAGGCATGCTCTAGCTCTGTCTCCAGGGGTTAGGCAGCATCTTGAGCCAATGTACAGGGAAATAATGATGCCGACTTTGAGGATTAAGAGAGATACTGAACCTGCAGTGTCTGACCTAACGTGTAGCTTCTCAGCTGGATACTCGGAAATGGGAGCAGTTGACATGTGTGCTGCTCTTACCATGAAGATCCCTGCTCCTCTGTCACCAGGAACATGTCACAAAATAGAAAGTGTGGCTTCTAGGCAGAATTGGGAAGACCCAGAAAGGGGAGGGCATTCCAGGTAGAGGTAAAGAGATATGCAAAGTTGAAAGCATAGAAGAATTTCATGTTTCATTTTTCCTCCCACAGAACTGCTAAAATTGGAACGAATATGGTTAGTGGGTAGAAAAAGTTGAATTAATTTTCCAAAGGAATTATTGTCCTTTTCTTCCACCACCCTAGTTTTCCAAGTGAACCTAGGAAATAGGAAATATGGGAAACTTCCTGGTCTGTGCATGTTTCTTTACTTCTGTTTTTTAAACACCTCTTATTTTTCATTGTGGCATTTGTCCTGATATGGCCTTAGATAGGCAAGCTGCGTTTGAGGTCCCTATTGAACCTGCATACATTGCCATAATGCAATTCACGATGCACTCCCCAAGTCCAGAACCTTCTCTTGCAACTGCAATCACTGCCTGACAAGCAGCCTTTTGGGCATGGAGCTCACCTCCAGCTCATCTCCCCGGGTTAGAAGACTTTGTAGGGAGGACGGAGACCTAGGGACTCTCTCAAGTTTCACACAACTGACCTTGTTCTTTCATTTTTATTAAAGCACAGACTTTTATTTTAAAAGAAGTACAACTTTGGCCAGGCGCAGTGGCTCACACCTGTAATCCCAGCACTTTGGGAGGCTAAGGTGGGCGGATCCCGAGGTCAGGAGATCAAGACCACCCTGACCCCTGGCCAACATAGCACATGATGAAACCCCATCTCTACTAAAATATAAAAAATCAGCTGGGCATGGTGGTGCATGCCTGTAGTGCCAGCTACTTGGGAGGCTGAGGCAGGAGAATCGCTTGAACCCAGGAGACAGGCTCCAGTGAGCCAAGATCCCGCCACTGCACTCCAGCCTGGTGACAGAGCAAGACTCTGTCTCAAAAAAAACAAAAAATTACAATTTTGAGGAGACACAGTAGGAGTGTCTAACTCCAAGACCCCTCCTTAGATAAATTTCAGCAAGTGTGGCTGTGTGTGCGTAGGGCCTTCAATACTTTAATGAGAATAGCTCAAGATGCAGGGAAACTATCCATTCCCATTAACTCAAGAGAAAAGAGTCCCAGTTCCATTAACCATTTCTTCCTCTTCTCTTACATGCAGGGCGGGTCATGAGGAGGCTGTAGCCAAGGACGAGGTGTGTGCGGCTGTTGCCTGGACGTTTGTCCAATCCACGTTGACATTTGAGGGATCACAGCGTGTGGTATGTGAATTGCAATGGGACCTTACCGTTGTATTAGGAATGTAAAGGAGGTACCTGAAAACAAGCAGAACTCACAAGGCAATGACTGATTTAGAATTCGGGCAACTGGGTTCTTTTGTACCAGTTATTTCTTGCTGTTTTTAATGCTTACGTGCTTCAGTTGTATGCCTTGTCTAGTCAATTACATATACATGTTAAATTCATACATCAACTATGACTTTTTCTTATATCTTTATACTGATGAAAGCATCACCTATAATCTAAATATTTCATAAATGAACTGAACCAAGCAGAGAACTTGATCCAAAAACATATAGTTATGTTTAATTTCCTAATTCTTCTTGTTATACTTACGTGGTGTTTTCTGAATTTCAAACTCCTCCCACTCCTACTCCTTCACTTTAGCCTGAGTGCCTGCTTTGGGTGAGGCCACATTGCAGACATGGCTGGCTCTCTTGAAGCCCTTGAGTACCCTGTAAGAAAGTTGCCACCATCCCTTTTAGACATGAGGAAACTGAGGCAGAGGGAGGTCGGACAGGTAGCCAGAGGTGCACGGACTTCAGAGCTTACTTCCAATCAGAGCCCCATTTTGAGGCTGTAGTTTCCTTTTTCCATAGACGCACATCCTTGGGAATCATTTGTATCCCTTTTGAAATCTGTCTTGGACATAACTGTGTAAATTTTCAGCTGCATGAAAGAGTAGCATTGCCTGACCACGTGTAGGTTTGAGGTCTGAGCAGCCCTTACTGCCTGGGGACTTTGAAGCAGACTCTCAGCTTCTGTGGCCTTCACTTTCTCTTCCAATTATGAGTGGGTGGAATTGAGAAGTGCTACAAATTTAATTTCCAGCAAGACTGAGAAATAAACCAATCTGTTGGACCCAATGTCCTCTATTTGCTACACAACTAATTTTTAAT
Organism: Homo sapiens; assembly: GCF_000001405.40. Taxonomy (NCBI): domain Eukaryota; kingdom Metazoa; phylum Chordata; class Mammalia; order Primates; family Hominidae; genus Homo; species Homo sapiens. The sequence continues at coordinate 2,283,486 of NC_000002.12, read as the reverse complement.
GGTTCAAAAATTATACTTTTCAAGGCATCATCTCTGTACTCTCTTACTTTTGGTGTCAATATCTTTAGAAACTTATCCTCTCAATGTCGTTCTTTGCATTAACGTCAAACTGCCAGAGAGACCAAGTTTTTAAACTTCTATTTTCTTTACATAATTAGTGTATGTCCATTGTAGAAACATTAGAATATTAAAATAATAGATAATATAATTTTTAAAGCACTGGAAATTCAAAAATTCAGTGACAACCACCATTAGTATGTTGGTTTAAAATTCTTCAAGACTGATTTCTTTGACAGTCTTCAAAAAGATTTTAAATTAACATGGGTCAAACTGTGCCGTTTGTTCTTTACTCCTTTTTCCCTTATGCATCGTATGTATCTTTCTGTATGAAGAACTACTTTTTGTGTTGGGGGGGATGGAGTCTGGCTCTGTCACCCAGGCTGGAGTGCAGTGGCACAATCTTGGCTCACCGTAACCTCTCCCTCCGGGGTTCAAGGTATTCTCCTGCCTCAGCCTCCCAAGTGGCTAGGGTTACTGGCACATGCCACCACACCTGGCTAATTTTTCTATTTTTAGTAAAGACGGGGTTTCACCATGTTGGCCAGGCTGGTCTCCAACTCCTGACCTCAAGTGGTCTGCCCACCTCGGTTTCCCAAAGTGCTGGGATTACAGGTGTGAACCACTGTGCCCAGCCTGAAGAACTACTTTTCTGTTACCTTATTTTATTCCGTTACCTCATCTAGCATTCTACTTTATGAATACACTGAAATATACTTCATCAATTCTCTATTGTAATTTCATAAGTTGGATTTTTAAAATTTTGCCTTATAAACATGGTTTTAATAACCATTCTTTACCTAAAACCTTTCACACTGTTAATGATTTTCTTAAGATAAATTCACAGTAGAATTGCTTGACTCAAGACTATATACATTTTGAAGCTTTTGAGAAGGGCATTATCTTTACAATCCTGCTTCATTTTATGTGTGGTCCTATCACTGCATGTTCTCTGCTATTGAAAACACAGCTAACCATCCAGTGTTTGAACGGTCTGCCATTACACATAGCAGTGTCATAAATTCATAAATTCAACCTTAAGAAAAAACTAATCTCATAGCACAAATTTAGTTTTGTAAAGGCTAAAAATGTATTTCAAAATATCTTCTAAATTTTCATAAACTCAGTTAAAAAGCTGACACTTCTGTTCTTTTGTTCATATATTAAATCAATGTATGAAGTGCCTACTACGTGCAATACACTGTGTGAGGCAGTGGTGATATGTAAATGATAGAACATGATCCAGATTTTGAGAAGTCCACCTTTTAGTTGCAGAATCCACGCTTATATTGAGTCTCTGATACATGGTATGAAAAGCATTACAATACATTTACTTTAAAAATAAGATCTCAGTATGAGCAATTTAATATAGCGACCATTATTGTTTCTGATGTGTAACTCTGAGAATTTCGAGATCCACTACCATTAAAGAAAGCTAGGATTGTGTTCGTTATACTAAACGCCAGAGTGCACTACAGAAACATTTCTGCCCCCATGCCACCTACCGCTAAAAAGTAGCCTTTTTATTGCTTCTTGAATATTTCCAGGAACAGATAGCTTACAACTCAACAAGGCAACTCATTCCATTGTTGGATTGTGTCAAGGGTTTGCATATTATTCAGTTTTATAATAGGCACCTGTTGTTTTTACTTTCAGCCTCTGGAGAGATACAGACTATGTCTAATTCAATTCAACTTAATGGATGTATTTTAATGATCTACTATGTTCAGAACATGTTCTAGGTTCTATGGGCTAATTTCTATTTCATATGACAGTATTTTCAATATTTGATTATTGTTTTTCTAAATACACAAGTTAAGTTCACGCCATTCAAGGTAATTGGATCATTAATATAAGTCTGCTAAATCTCTATAAAGCAACACATTTTGGCCTCAGTTGTTGACCACTTACATGAGCTAGTTGGGAAGAATTTTACAATCAATCAGGAAGACACAAGCATTTACTCTTCCCACTTCTGTACATATTACACAACAATTATATTAAAAAGAAAACAAAAGTCATTTGCCCCACACTATTACTAGTTATGACATGAAAAGTCATGCCACGTGTACTAGTTCATTCTCACACTGCCATGAAGAAATACCCGATGATTTATAAAGAAAAGAGGTTTAATTGACTCACAGTTCTGCATGGCTTGGGAGGTCTCAGGAAACTTGCAATCACGGCAGAAGGCAAAGCTGAAGAAAGGCATCTTCTTCACAGGAAGGAGAAGTGCTGAGCAAAGCAGGGAAAGCCCCTGATAAAGCCATCTGATCTCATGAGAATTTACTTACTAACATGAGAACGGTGTGGGGTAACCACCCCCATGATTCAATTACCTCCCACCAGGTCCATCCCACAACATGTGGGGATTATGGGAACTACAATTCAAGATGAGATTTGGGTGGGGACACAGCCAAACCATATCACCACGGTTGTGTACATTTGGTATAAAACAAACCCTCATCAAAAGCTGGAAAACCTAGTGTGTCCCCTATGGCCGCACCGAGGCAAGCCACCAGCCTTCTCTAAGCCTCAGTCACTTCATCAGTTAAATGAAGGAATTAGAAATCTTTGAGGAGACTTAAACCACAATATTTTAGGATGAAATTTTGTGCTTGGTGTTCTGGGTTTTAAATCACAGAGCTCTGGATGCCTCTCAGGTTATGGTTTGTTTGGTTGAAGCTTCCTCTCCACCTCCTGATGGGGTCTGACCCTGCTGCAATGCTGCACGCGCGTGGCCACCCTGCACAGACTGCTGCACTGCAGCCGTGTCCTACGAAGTTGATGTGTGTTACCTGACTTCCTCCTTAAAATAACACTAGGGAAGGAAACATTATCATCCCCATTCTCAGCAGGAGAGACCTGAGGCAGAGCGTTATGTAATGTGCACAAGGGCGGATAGAAGAAGTTTAGTTCGGTTTAAAAGGCACCCCATAGTCTCAGCTCCTGATTTCTGTCTTATATGGAATGGGCAGGTGAACACCTTTACTCTTCCAAATTTTTCACTCCAAATAGTTTCTTGGAGTTGGTTCACTTGGTTGTCCTGGAGATAATGCCTATTACCAAGGCAACTTTGATATGCAAGAAACTAAAGCAATGGCAACAAATCAACAATACGTAAAGCTGTGAACCATACAACCAGGGTATGTATGCAATGCCTAACTAGTGTTTTGTGGTGAATTCATTAAAATGACCTAATTTGACATCATATAAGCAGGAATAGTATATGCTTGAAATCCTCCTTATGGGAAGAAAAACTTCTCAGAAAATCTAACACTTTCTACTTTAGTCCACAAATGAATTTTCTTGCTCATACAAATTTTCTTAATTTTTACTTTAATGTTTTCTGATGACACTTATAGTTTATTTCTTTATTTCCTCCTTTTCTGATACATGTTTTTACTACTTCTTATATCCATCTATTTGAAATTCCACATAATTTTTCTACATCAAAGCTTTTGTTTCATTTACCTCTTACCCCATCCTTGACTTTATGCCATGTACTTGTCCTGCTTCTTAAATAGATAAATCACGTAAGTGCTGTCTGCTAACAACAGCTTCCTACCTTTCCTAGTTTACATTCTTTGATTAGAAGAAGCTAGTGAAAGAAAATCCCAGTGTGCAGTGTTGCCCGCTTGAGGGTATACATTAAAAACCCTTATGAACATAGAATGGCAAAATGGAAATACCTTGAAGGCTGTCGCTCAACCCGAAACTACCTGGCCAACAAACTTGAAGGTAAAAAGCTGAACTGATAGGGAAAAGCAACCTGGGCATGGAACAGGTGTTGGTTGACATTTGAGGGATAATCTTGATTCCTTCCTTCCTTCCTTCCTTCCTTCCTTCCTTCCTTCCTTCATTCATTCATTCCTTCTCTCTTTCTCTCTCTCCTTCCTCCTTCCCTCCCTCTTTCTCTCTTCTTACTCCATTGTTTTCTTCCTTCCTCCTGGACTCCACCTCTCTTTTTCCCTCCCCTCCCCTTCCCTTCCCTCCTCCACCTTTCCCTCTTCCTCCTTCTCCTCTTCTTCTTCTCCTTCTTCCTCTTCCATGTTGAATGGCTTAATCATTATAATACTTCTTTGATATGTAAGAAGGCATTATTGTCCTCCATACTTTGAACTATCATCACAATCAGGCATAGCCTTGAAATATAGGAAAAGTAGATACTATTAGCCTCTATACAATCTTAAACCATAAAACCAAGGGAGTTTTGTCCTCTGTACCCAGAACTTCATAGTGGCCTTACAGCATCACAACTGTTAAGACACTAAGAAATGGTAAATATCTGAAAACAAAGATCCATTGAGGAGAGCTCTCCTTTTATTTTAAGAATCCTCTTAAGTAGTTTGGGGTGAAAGATAATAGCAGAGATGGTCCAGGGCCTCCCAGGTGCTTCCTGCATCTCAGAGACACAGGCTCGTGGGGAGGGGAGTGCAGAGCCCTAGTGAAGGTGCCTCCCAGAGCTGGGCAAGGGAAAGCGTGGTTAAGAAGTTAGAACAAGAGAAAGAGAGGGGCCTTTTGTTCTTGGTAAGTTCCTGTGTTGTGTTCATCTTTCCTTTAGGTGATGTGGCCTTGGGCTCAAGGGGACACTTTATCCCTTCATAGTTCACCACTGTCCTACTGTTTCCCATAAGAAGAAATACATGGTGTTAAAATATAGCCAGGAAAAATATAACTTTATACATTAAATTTACCCCTGAAGTTTAAAGCATCAACTATTTAAAACATCTACATGATATTACATAATTACTGTTGATTTCTTAAGTATGTTAATAGTGTCCTGCCTGTGTTTAAAAATAAAGTTCTAATATGTTAGATATGCACACTGAAACTTTTGTAGGCAAAATTATATGATTTCTGGAATGTTCTTCAAAATAATATAGAAATGGTTATCAAATGGAGGTCTAGATAAGCGACAGTGGCCAAATCACATTTTTGTAACTGATGGGTATATGGACTTATTATACTGTTCTCTTTAAAATTTTGTGTCTCTTTATAATTCTCCATACTTAAAAGTTACAATAAATGCAAAGTTGCATAACAGTGACAGAGGAGGGATCCCTAAACCAGACTGGCAGGAAATAAATCCAGCTTTCTATGTTTGAAAGTCTGAGGGTAAATTTTCCTCTCTGCCTCTCAGTTTCATTTTCTGCAAAATGAGGATAATAGTAGCCTGGACCTCTTGGAATCATTGTGGAGATCACATGAGTTGCTGTGTGTCACACGTTACATATACACAACACATGTAGGCCACCCATTAGTGCCTCGTACACAGCACAAATATGGCCACTACCATTAACTCATAAAAGTAAAAGCTTTTATTTTTACTTTCCGCTTTAAATTTCTTAGATTAACAGTTGTTATATAGGAAAAGAAGTCTAATTTTGTATATGAAAAGTGTTTCTGAATTAATAATTACCTTTTCTATTTTGCAACCAAAAGCAGAAATAACTTAATACTGACTTTTCTGTCACTCGTAACATTGGATGGATTTCTAAAGATATTCAAAGAAATTATTGTTTCAAATTTTGCTAGGAATATACTATAGTTTTTTTTCTTCAAATTAAGGTATGTTAATTGATTAGGTAGCTTAGCCATAACACTGGCTGTATCGTGGGTATTTTTTCTTTCTTTTTTATTCTGTTGCAAAGGGTATACAACCCCATTTTTTTCTATAATTACAATTGTTATATGACCATTTGTAGTTTACCTTTACATAACACCTGAAGGGCAGTAACTTTATAGCTGCTTAATCCTGTAATTATTTCTTTTCCACACTATTTCAATTCTAACTCATCCCTATTACAGGAAAAGAACCAGTCCCAGGACTCTGGACAACTTTATTTTCTAAAGAATCCATTTTCACTGATAAACACAGTGAAGGCTGTGGCAACATGAGCATGTATGTAACTGTGGGTTTTGACTGTTCCCTCTGTTCTGGCCATGATGCACCTGTGTGCAGTCTGTTCCCTTTCCTCCCGTATGGGACAATCTGTCCACCCGTGGGACCCTGTCATCCATTACTTGATGGGAGGTAACAGAAGTGGTTTTCCACAAGGTCACCCTTGAGCAAATGCTTTGTGCAAATCACCATCGGGTATGAAGGGTGAAAAGATGAGTAAAGATGGAGCATTTTGGAAAATTAAGAATCAATCGGGGCCAGGCAAGGTGGCTCACGCCTGTAATCCCAGCACTTTGGGAGGCCGAGGCAGATGGATCACGAGGTCAGGAGATAGAGAACATAAACCCCATCTCTACTAAAAAAAATACAAAAAAAATTAGCCGGGGGTGGTGGCGGGTGCCTGTGGTCCCAGCTACTTGAGTGACTGAGGCAGGAGAATGGTGTGAACCAGGGAGGTGGAGGTTGCAGTGAGCTAAGATTGCGCCACTGCACTCCAGCCTGGCCAACAGAGTGAGACTCTGTCTCAAAAAAAGAAAAAGAGAAAAAAAAAGAATCAATCGGAAGTTAGCAGGTGAAGTAAAGGCAAACAGAAATCGCACATGTGTGGTGCCGTGGTCAAGCACCATGGGCTCTGGGGACAGGAGTGTTCCTTTGGATGCACAGGCCCATGAGGGCTTCCAGGGGGGTGTGGAGTAACAGGCTCCAGCATCTGATATGGAGGCAAGAGAGAATCATGAGGAGGAGTAGAAAGCAGGCAAATGGGAAATGGAGAGGACAGTCTTGTATGCACCTGCAGAGAGGGTGAGATTCAAGGGTCCCTCAGTCTAAAATGAAGGCATGGTAATGTGAATTCAGCCTTCCCAAGCTGCTTTTCGGTGGCTTGGTTGCTAACACCATCGTTGCATGTGACAACCAGCCTTAGCGCTTGCAGAGTAGGAAGATGTCAGGAGGACCAAGGTGAAGTGGAAACTAACAAACCCAAACAAATAACTGGAGTCTTCCTGGTTCCCTATAGCCCTCCCCGTTCCCCAGCCTTGGATTCCTGAAACCATTTCTTTGTGTGGTTGTAAAAGGACTTTATTAATTAACTGACATATTTGTAACATTTTAAAGAACTGTCTGATCCACATCCCAATGAGTTAAATAATTCTGATAGGCAGAATCGAGAAACTTCAATATCCCGTAACAAGCTGTCATGGTCCTGGTTGAGCGAGGACTGGTCTGCTCAGGGCTGTGTAGGGGGCAGGCCCTGAGAAATGTGTCAAGGCACCACACAGGCACGCAAGGGTGTACACCCAGCTTTCAGAGCATAGTCTCTGCAGTGTACGGACCTTACCTAGCAAAAAGGTTCACTCCTTTGAAAGGAAGCCTGTAACATTGTTTGACTTCACAGGGTCCCTGAGGACCTATTACCCATACACCACTGTATCAGGTGGTCCAGGCACAGAGCTCTGAATGCTCACATTCCACCAAGAAACACAACAGATGAATAAAAAAACACAACTCCATAAAGCAACAAACACAAGGCAGGGTAGTTTGTCAGGCAGAGAGGAGAAACCCGCTGGGGCAAGGTGGAGGTCGATCTCATTTGGGAATGACACTGAAGAATACATAGGCCTTTCCCAGGCAGAGGAGGTTGGCTGGGACTTTCTCTTGAGGACAAGAACAAGGCGTGGAGGTGTGAAAGAATAGGTTGGTTATGTGTGGAAGGTTAAGGTGGAAAGATGGGCTGACATGAGGCTGGGAAGACATCAACCCATGCAAAGTTCATTGAAGTGTATCTTGGCAGCAACAGGAAGCATGCTCAGTGTATATGTGGAAAGTTTTCACGGTACATATTGAAATGAAAGGTAAGTGATGCTCACATTCCATGGACGAGGTAGAGAAGACCTCTCAGAGCAGGAGCTGGTGTTTTAAAGAGGCAACTTAGGGCAGGATGCAGCACACTGGCCTGAGCTCACACTAGGTGCGATACGACCTCTAGGAAACCACTTTCCCTCTCCTGGTTTTGTTCTTCTCATTCAACAGCATCCAAATCGCCCAACTGGGGGCACTGGGGCTCAGCATGTCATATATAGGTAGGCTGATTTCTGACATCCCATGACCAGAAGTAGCTCCTAGTGCTGAAACCACAGAACACTGAACAGATTTTAAGGTATTAGCTTCATCATTTTAGGTTCGACCAATACTTTTAGATGAAGGTCCTGCCCAGAATGGCCCCAGCAATGTGATAGTCTCACATGCAGTTTGTTTTCACATGACTGCTATAACAGGCATGCACACACACACACACACACACACACACACACACACACACACACATTTTATTATTATATTTTCTTGAAATTTCTTTCCAAACAAACATGTCTACCCATTTATCCTCCAAGACCTGGCTCAGTGTCTGCCCAAGGTGACATCCAACCACCAGCACTCTCCAGCTGTGGTCCCCACCCCAAACCAGCACACTGGCTCCCGCTGACTCTACCGCACTTGCTCATGCTCTGGGTGCAACACTGCCCTGGTCTCAGTGTGTGGCCATCTGCTTTCCTTGTTCCAGCCCCCTCATAGCACTACATAGGGATCAATACGTGTTTGCTGAGCCTCACAGCTCTCCGAGTGGAGGCTCTCGGGGTCTTATGGAATGAGCCCTGGACCAGGTTATAGGCTGGCTTGAGTCAGCCTCTGCCCATGCTCTGGGAGGCCTTCATCACCACTTCTCCTCCATCTTACCGTGGCATGCTTTAAACGTGTTCTGAGACTATGAGCATAAGGAGACATTTTACAAGGTCTACAATTAAGATTCCTGTGCAAAGTGATGTTATTAGAAACATAGTTCATTGCAACTGTATAGCTGGAGCTAATACTGTTTATTTTAGAAATATGTTTTAAGTACACTATACCTTCTTTCTCAGGCTACTCCCCTTAGTCCAAGAAATTGCTTTAGATAAAAACAAGCCCAAATCTCCTGAAACAAAATCTTCCAATACTAGCAATAGAGGCTAAGAGTCTTCACATATTATGAGTGATTAAGAATGTCCCTTTATTCTCCTAAATGTTTTAGGAAAAAAGTTCAGTTTATGTTGTAAGTAAATTCCAATGACATTTGAGTGCTTTGAATGCATTAACCCACCTGCCCACTGTCCTCTCTCCCTCCCTCCCTCCTTCCCTTCTCTCCTACCCTCCCTCCCTCCCTTCCTTCCTTCCTTTTTTCCTTCCTTCTTTCCTTTCTTTTTAAAAGTTTCCATTGATGTGTAATAGTCATAAATATTTTGGAGTTATATATAATATTTTCATACATGTACACAATGTGCAATGATCATATCAGGATATTGGATAACCATCACCTCAAATATTTATCATTTCTGTGTTGGGAACATTACAATTCTTCTTTTCTAGCTATTTTGAAACATATAGTAATTATTGTTAATTATAATTTCTCTATGATGCCTTTCCTTCCTTCTTTGTGCCTACCTTTCTCCTTTTTGTTTCTTTTTGTAAAAATGTGTCATATGGATAATTGAGTATCAGTTCTCTATATTCATTTGAAAAGTATTTCATTAGTGTTCTGTAAGGTCTTTACAGCAATTTTTTGTGTTTTAATAATGGAGACAAAATATTTAAAAATACCAAGAAGAATGTGAATTATAATTTCACCCACAATAATTTTTTTTGTGGGCGGATAAAAGCAACACTTTTATATTACTGCCTCACCTTTGGACATGTAAACAGCAATTGACTTTTCTGGTGTTTTTCCTTCTTATAACCCAAATTCCCTCCTTAGTAACCTCTCAGACATGCAGCACAGCAGTCCTCACAGCTGGGTACCTCCCGCTGCTGCAGCCACTCTGAGATGTGTGGCCCTGGTCACAGCCCCCCTACCCTGGGGCAGGTGCCTCTGACACTCACTGCAGGTCCAGGCACTGCCTACAGGCCCTGACTGCCCTATGCTCTGAGTGGCTTCCCATTCCCTCCAGACACTGGCTTTGGCTGGGCGACCAGGCCAAAGACTGGTCCTTAGGAGGATTACTATCTGGGGAGGTAGAACATTTAAATCTTCCTGGCATGATACATTTAAAAAGCTACCAAACCATAGCCCCAGTCCTACAGGAACATGATGGAATTTGAGACTTCTCCATGGCCACCCACTTTCTGTATTGGTCTCTGTTGTTTCCAAACATCTCATTTATCAGGGGTCATTTCTAGATGTGTTTTAATCCTTAAGGAAAATCCTTGTTCTTACTCATTTTGTTTTTCTTCTCCCTCACTATTTAGTGTTTTTCTCAATGGCTGAAGGCAGGACCAGGGCCGAAAGGTCCTGCGATAGTAAATAGGCCATTGGTGCCCCAGCAGAGGAATGAGGAGGAGCGTCACCAGGGAAGAGTCCAGAATTGTGGCAGGGGGCAGGATACAGCCCGCTGGGGGCATGTGGACACAAAGCCAGGCTTTGGATTCCGTGAGAGACAGCAAGGGGCCCGGAAGGCACAGGCCCCTGAGAGCTCCTGGGACTGACACTGTCCCAGGATCCCTCCACTGCAGGTGGAGAAGGAGCTGGAGTGGAGAGAAGGGAGCCAGGGGCTGCAGGGGCACAGGCAAGAAGCTGGGGCACCAGGGGTGGAGATGGGAGACACCTGGACGCCCTGGAGGTGCAGGGCCAGCAGGATTTCCTGACCCAGTTGTCATGGGGTGTGAGAAAGAAGCATCAAGGGTGACTTCCAAGAGTTCCTCCGAGCAGCCAATGGAATGAAAGTGCCATTTGCTCAACTAGAAAGACTGGCAGGGAAGCCCTTGGGAGGGACATCCAGAGATCAGTTTAGACAGGTTAAGCCAAGACGCCTGCTTTTCATCTAATGGAGAAATTCGTAGTTGAATATGGGCTTCAGGAGTTCAGAGAAGAGACCTATGCTGGAGATGATATTGTTGAAGGAGTCGAGGCAGAAGCTGTTTATTTTGTTCCTGTCGGAACTCACTAACATGCACACACTAAAGTGTATTCCCCTGAGAGGCCAGTTTGTTTTGTTTTCTACTCTTTTCTTATAGTTTGAGATCTGACCATTACTTTTTTTAAGCAAAGAAATGAGATGGAGAAGTAGCAGTAAAGGGAAGACACCCACCCCTTGGGCAGGCAGCACCTCTGAGAGCACCAGGGCTCAGCGAGGGCGGGGGCAGGGTGAGGCCAGGGAGAGCCTGCCATGAGTGTCCTAGAGGCCCAGAGAACATGGGAGGTCAGGTGGTGCCAGGAGTGGACGATGACAGGGCTGGAACCCAGCAGTGTTGGGAAGAGAGCTGGGCAATAAGGGTGCCTGTCGTCTTTGACTTCAGGCAGGGCAGGAGGGAAGAGAGCTGGGCAATAAGGGTGCCTGTCATCTTCGGCTTCAGGCAGGGCAGGAGGGAAGAGAGCTGGGCAATAAGGGTGACTGTCGTCTTTAGCTTCAGGCAGGGCAGGAGGGCATTACTGCTGCTGGTGGGATTGCTGGGTGGGGCGAGGCCTCGCCAGGATGCAGAGTTCAGGCAGCCGTGTAGCCTGTGAGTGTCTAACAGCGACAGGCAGAATGAATCATGAAGACAATTTTCCCAGCCTCTAAATTTATTTGAATTCTGATATCTCCCTTTGAAGATCTACCATTGATCCACCCACCTAGTAAAAACACCGCTATTATGGGCTGAACTGTGTGTCCCTCCAAAATTCAAACCCAAGGATGTCGTTGGGGTGGAATGAGGTCATGGGCATGGCATCCTTGTCCAGGGAGCTGGCATTTTTGTGAGAAGACTCAGCAATGCCAGAGTGAGGACAGGGCGAGTGTGGCCATTTGACAGCCAGGATGCAGGCCCTCGCTAGAAACCAAACTTTCTGGCTCCTCGATGTTGCACTTCCTCCTTCTAGAACTGTGAGGAAATGATTTCTGTTGTTTAAACACTGACCTATGGCACTTTGTATGGCAGCCCCAGCTGACTCCCAGAACCACCAGATGACCTCAGCGCCTTGGCTCAGAGAGGCCATCTGGCTGGCAGGCTCTGTTTGTTCCCTCTAGGAGACGTGCAGACAGATCTGCATTTAAAGACAAACTGACCTGCAGTGTAAATTCCCACCATTCGAATGGGGTGGGAGCTTTTTAAGCCATCCTTTATCATATCACATCATGGCTGATGTGTGTGAACATTGTTTTAGGAATGTAAGAATTGTCTTTCATTAACTGGAATAAACAAAATGAGAGAGCTCCATAAAGCCTTCCTCAGGTGGGTGTTCTTGGACTGTGTGGGCAACTGAGCCAGTATGCCTGCGGGGAGCTCCTCAAATTCTAATTTAAAAATCCATGTTGTTGGCACTGTGTCCCCCTGTGACCTGGCCAGACTGTTGAGACAGAGAAAAACAAAAGGGTTACTTGTCAGTTCCTTGCTAGATGTCAGAACCCTTCACTGCAGACGTGATTCATGGTGAGAATCCGTAAACACATGTGTACACACACAGACACGGGACCTCTCGAGCCAGCAAGGCCGCGGCATGCTCCCCGGAAGGAGGAAGCGAAGAACACGCAACCACATCCTTGACACGGGTAAGGAGTTTGTACATTCTGACATAATAAACTCGACAACATGACCAGGAAGGGAAAAGAAATGAAACAAGAGTCAGCGTCAGCCGATTTTTAAAGAGGAAGGTCATGATGAGCAGGATGCCCGGCACTGCTTTGCTCAGTCTCGGTGACATCTCTGCAGCCTCAAACTGGCTGGGAGGGGGCACGGCATCCTGACTGAGCTGGGGCAGGAGCACCAGGGCAGGCAGAGACTGTGCTGTACTTTCTTTATTAACTACTTTTGCTTGATTATGTATTGTCCTTAATGTCCTTTTATGGCCACACTTAAAGAATCCCTGAATACATTGAGTACCAATTAGGGAGATTGGCTGTAATTTTTTCATTGCTTGGATTGGCTGTAATTTTTTCATTGCTCGGATTGGCTGTAATTTTTTCATTGCTCGTGTGTCATTTTTGGGGGCAAATCTCAAGTGGAACAGACCTCTGATTCAGTGACAGATCATTCCCTTCTGTCCCTCTTCATCCATCCCTCTATCTGGCACATGGTAGAGACTCACAGATAGATTTGCAAAGGGGATAAATTATTTCATGTGACTGGACAAGACAGCAAGCTCATGACTAAAGGAATGTGATGAGGCAGATGCAGGCAGCTCTCAGTCCATTGCTGTCTACAAACATTGTGTGAGGCTGCCCAGGCTGCTGCCACAAGGCACCAACTACCAGACGGCTTAAACAACAGGCATCAATTCTCATAGTTCTGGAGGCTCCGAAGTCCAGACTAAGGTGCCTGCACATCTGGTGTGTGGCGAGGGCTCCCTCCCTGGGTTGCAGACAGTCTCTTCTGGCCACATCCCCACAAGGTGAAGATGCAGAGCTGGCTCTCTCTTCCTTCTTAAAAGGACACCAGTCCCTTCATGAAGACGCCACGCTCTTGACCTAATGACTCTCCACACGCCCCACCCACCTCCTGACACCATCACATCAGGCTCAAGATACGAATTGTGGAGAGACACAAACATTAGTCCACAGCCCATGTGCTATGTTGTATATGTGCTTTCTAATATTAGATCAGAAGTCATGAATAGATTTGGAGGCAGAGATAAAGGACTGTATGATTTGGGAATAGCAAGACATAATTCTGGCTGGGAGAATCAAAGAGGATTGAATTTATGCAAATGGACCCACTGTGATTCTGCCTTCTTGATTGGAGGAAAGACGTTCAGGCAGAAGGCACTATAGAGAAGAAAAGGGTCAAGATGTTAAGCAAGACGTGAGAGCCTTGATACCAGGCTGAGCTGTGAGGGCTTGCCGGGGAGCACAAATCCAGGGGCTACTGGAGATTACTGGGCTCACCAATGGCAGATGGCACTTGGCTTCCAAAGCTGAATCTTTTGGGAATCTCTATGACAGCTTGGAGGGAAGAGCATGTGGAGAGAATGCAAGGCAGAAGTAGGATGGGAGTCAGCAAGGGAACCAGGCTAGCAGCAATGACCTAAAAGCTGCCTGCATATAAAGCACTCACATCCGTTACCTCCTGTAACCTTCACAACCTTCATGAGATGGCAAGTGTGCCCCCATTTTGTAAGAGAGCAAAGACACTGAGAGATGCTATTGCGGTGCTGCTCAGAATGTGGGCTGCAGTTGAGCAGGGCCACAAGGTCTTTGTAAACCACCATGTCCAGAGAAGCGCACAGCCTGAGAATACAGAAGCTTCTGTAACAATTTGATCTCAATACAAATTCAAGGGCATGGCCATTTCCAAAAAGTATTGTAAGTTATCTTATAAAACAATTAGTCTAAAATAAGTGTGTGGGAATCTTTAAAAATCCTCACCCTTTATCTCCAGATAATTTAGAAAGTGTTGAGCGATAGATGGCCTTGGGAGGCCCTGATCACTGAGCCCCAGCCCAGGCCTGGGTGCACCCCACACACAGGAGACTGGGCTGATGGAAGAGAAACACAGCTACAAATCTACACATCGCCCCGAATGCTTGGGTGCACCATATAATAATGTCCGCAAAGAGACACCTGCTCAGGTGTGCACTAAAACACGAGTTAATCAAAGTGGCATTTCTATTTGCCTTGTGAATGGCTTGTTTGGGTTTTTCCCTCTTCCCTACAGATTTATCTTCATAATAATATTTTACTTAGGCTAATAACTAAATGAGTTTGAATTCCCTAAACATGTGATTCTTGATTTCGAGGCAGGGATGTTGTCAAGGTTCTGTAAACGGAAGGCAGCTCAGGGTTAACAACTGCCGCGGGTTATCTTCAAGCCGAAAACACACACCAGTGAGAGCAGCTTGTTATATATTGGAAATTAATGAAAAATGGAGCTCCTCTTGCAGATTTCCTGGCGTGGTTTTCCAGTTGAACTTTCTTACCATTGATTTCTATTTGTGAGTTTATTACTCAGGCCAAAAAAGTTTTCAAACATTTTTTCTGATTGTTTAATGTTAAACAGCAACTTTTGTTATACGTATTACTATTTTTAGGATAAGAAATTTATGAATAATTTTCATAGGCTATTTGTGGTCTAAATGTGGAAAAACTGACCTTAAAATAAAATATTTTGCATTTTAATCATAGCTGTTTTGCACTTTACATGTCTTCTCTCTTTTCCACTCTGTTCCCCCATGTTGATGTGCAAATTTACAAAGAATGATGCCCCTCATCTCACTGATTATTAAGAGTAAAATGTGTGAAAAGTAAATTTCTGTATTATAGAGGTAAATTACTCTATTATTTCCATACTTTTCATTAGCCCTCATGCCTAGTTAACAATGACAGAAAACCTTATTGATTATTTACGACTCAGGAAATAAATCCTTCTATCCAAAGTCTACAAGTACATGCATCAAATGGATGTGGGCTTGCATGGAATTGGAAAATGACCTTGTTTTAAACTCTATCTTATCTTATAAGTCTGTTTCTAGCATTTTGGAATTCCCATCTGCTATCCCCCCGAATCTCATCTTTTATTAATACTGATTAGAAGAGTAAATCTTCAATGAATGTTGAAGTTAGACATGCAAAGCGGGTATTGGATGCGTGACCTTAAAGGAACTTGAGTGGTGTGGGAGCTTAGGATGTGGTTCTGAAGCCTCTGTCCTTGGTTTTTTTTTTCTTATTTGACATACTTGCCTTAAGGATGGTGTCCATTCCATGATTTTAACTCTCATCTTCACAGCCGAATTTCACATCCCTGACTGTAGCTTGACGGATCCAGGCACCTCCTTGCAGGATATTTCTCCTTCGATGCCCCTGCGTTCCTTGAGCTCAGCACACCCTGACCACACTGGGTCTCTTCTTTCATCTGAGTTCATGCTAGCTGGTTGCACCTTCCCACTTCAGCCCACCAAGCGGTGAACTGCAGGGCAACCTCGGCCTTCCCTGTCCCCTTCTCCTAAAACCCAGCCATTTAGGAAATCCTGTTGCTTCCATCTGGGGCATTTTTTTTCTGTCCATTCCTTTATTAGGTTTCATCCCCCTCATTTCCCCCAGTATGGTGTATCGCCACATCCGCTTCTTATACAGCCTCCAATTTTCTTTCTAGAACATACTAAAGCGTGCACTTTGACGCCTTCATGTGGGTTTACACTCTGCTCCGCTTTTTACCTGTTTGGGGATCTTCGGAATTCACTCCACCTCTCTGAGTTTCAGTTTCCCCATGGAAGTGAGGGCGAGGCCCCTGTGCTTGAGCTTCCTGTGAGGGTAAGGGAGACTGCGAGGCCAAAGTCTGCCCCACGTGCCATCTGTGAAGCAGCAGCTAGCACAGGGCTGTTGCTCCTTTTCTCAAACACTCTTCTCAGACTTTGTGTTTCAGGGTACCATTTGCCCAGACGTCAGCTGCTCCCAGGCACGCCCTGCCCCTACAGCATCTGCACACTTTCTATTCGCCTCCTGGCTCAGTTTCCCCACCTGGCTTGCTCTGGTTCACCATGGCCGTAGGACCCATCCTCCCTGTGCTGAAGCACTCTCCACGTACTCCTTAGCTTGCTGGCTGTATTAGTCTGTTCTCATGCTGCTAACGAAGACGCTCGAGACTGGGTAATTTATAAAGGAAAGAGCTTTAATGGAATCACAGTTCCACGTGGGAGGCCTCACAATCATGGCAGAAGGCAAGGGAGAAGCAAAGTCACATCTTACATGACAGCAGACAAGAGAAGGAGAGGCAAGCAAAAGGGGAAAGCCCTTATAAAACCGTGAGATCTCATGAGACTTATTCTACCACAAGAACAGTATGGGGGAAACTGCCCCCATGTTTCAATTATCTCTCACCAGGTCCCTCCCACAACATGTGGGAGTTATGGGAGCTACAATTCAAGATGAGATTTGGGTGGGGACACAGCCAAACCATATCATCACTATCCCTCCTTCCTGTAACAACACCCTGGCCCACTCCCTGCTCCTGTGCCATCCTAAATATCCTAACTGGTTCCAGCCAGGGTAATGTAGCACATGGAGCCACTGCGAAATGCTGTGGTCCCTCACCCCACCCCACCCCCATCAATATTTTTACTACTTTGGGCCTTTGTGGCTTCCACACAAATCCAGAAAAGCCCTTTTGGGACTTAGGCACTCCCATCCTCACTGCACAGTTTGTGTGAATATTGAGGTCTTGTCATGTGAAACCAGCCACTGCTCCTGATGCAAATTCCATCAGTTTCCATTGCACAAGGAATGAGTATTCCCAAGGGGAGCAATGTCATATTTTGGGAAAGGCAGGGGCAGTGAAGTCCGGTAGATCTTAGCTAAAAGCCTTGCTGTACCATGAGTCAATTTGGAGCTGCATGGAGTTATTCGCTTCCTTGAGAGTCACCTTATTAACCTATAAAATGGAGATAGAACCTGCCTCGTAGAGCTATTGTGAAGACTGAATGAGGTCATACTTGTGAAACTCCCAGAATGTCTCTTGCAGCATCAGCAGGCTGTGAAGGGCTGTGCTGCATTTGCCCAGCTGCTGATTGCCCCCGCAGACCTGCACCCGGAGCTATTCTGTTTCTAACCTCTATGGGAGGCTAAGCCACCTCCAGTCCTGCTTAGCATTGCTTAGAAAACCTCTCCCCAGGCAGCACCTTCACAGCTCACAGCCTTCAGTGTTTTCCTCCCTCCATCCATGCCTCCTTAGGGCCCCAGATCCCATCAGCCTCAAGGCTCTGCCCTTCTTTTCCATCATTGTCATTGTCAAACGTAAATGTCTCCATTACTTGCTATGTACCGTGAACTTCTCTTCATGTATTTGGATTATTGAACTTCATGCTTACCAAAACCATATAAAATATCCATATTTTATAGACAAGGAAATGTTACCAAAAGATTAAATAATCTTTCTCACGGTCACAACCTCAAGGCCCATGCTCTTAAACAATGAAGTTCTTCCCATGCCGCGGGTGCACCATCCGACATCATCCCAAATCCCAATTAGACTCGGGAGGAAGGCCCGCCTGGTCCCCTCTGTACCCACTGTCTAGTTCTCACTGTGTTCTCTTTCACATGCCACTGGCTGCAGCTCTTTGAGCTCAAGGACTCGCACTTATTAAAATAATAAAGTTATCATTTATTAAATATGCCACACAGGCTATGTACCAACTGTTTCACTTACATAATCTTATTTAACTCTAATGACAACCTTAAAAGGTAGATGTCATTATTATCATTTAAAAAAAGGAAAAAAAAAAAGGATGGGCCAGGCGCGGTGGCTCAAGCCTGTAATCCCAACACTTTGGGAGACCGAGGCGGGTGGATCACCTGAGGTTAGGTGTTCAAGACCAGCCTGGCCAACCCCATCTCTACTAAAATTACAAAAAAATTAGCCAGGTGCCTGTAATCCCAGCTACTTGGGAGGCTGAGGCAGGAGAATTTCTTGAACCCAGGAGGCAAATGTTGCAGTGAGCCATTATCACACCACTGCACTCCAGGCTGGGTGACAAGAGCAAAACTCCATCTCAAAAAAAAAAAAAAATTAAAAAAGACTGAATTTTAGTTGCTCAAGATGTTCTGACCAGTAAGTTATAGAGCAGGAATTTGAACCCAAGTCTCGCTGCCTCCAAATGTTGTGCTTTTACTTACTCACTCCTTTTCTCGGCTTTGCATCCCCTTTAACATTCATTCTGGTATTTTGCCATGAGAAGTGCTTTTAAAAAAAGTTGCTGAATTGATTTGGGTCCATTGGGTTTTCCTGTTGCATAATTCTCCTAGAGGAGTGCTGAATTCCTCTGGACATTTTTACGATTCGTGGCCGCTTGGACTCAGCTTCAGCACTGACCTTCCACTGACGTTCAAGTCTTAGTTTCACAGCATGCACTGTGCTGTGCTGGGACCGTGGCGCGTCCTCAGCCCACAGGAGGAGTGTACACACTCCGCTGAGCACCATGGCTCTGAGCAGCTTGGGCCAGCGTTGCACAGAACCTGAAGTCCATCGAAGCCAACCCCGCAGAATTAGTGCCTTACTGTTCTGCTCAGCTGATTAAGATTATTAGGTTGTGTGAATGCTTCACTATGACCTATTTTTTAACTTTCATTCCTATATAAAGTAACTTAGGAAGTATGATTCTTTGCAAATTTGAGTATTATTCTGGGATTTTTTTTGGGGGTGGGGTTTGGGGGAGTAATCAGAGCATGCTATTTCTACTGATGTCATGAGGTTCTGTATACGCACAAATAAAGAAAAAGGCATCAGACCCAGGGCCTCTTAGGGTTCCACGCTGGGCTGTGGATTAGTGGGAAGCAGAGACCCTGGGTCTCAGGAGATGCATAGTCCTTGCCAGTCAGACTTGCATGAGATAGAGATCCAGAAACACAGAGTAAGTGAATGATGCTAAAACTGCCAGGCTTAATTCAGATGCTGTGCTGGAAGGAACTTGGGCTTCAGGGTCAGTCAAGGTTCAAATTCTAACCCTGCCACCATGGATGTTTGGCCCAGCAAGTTAACTTTCCTGAGCCCCAATTTCTTTTTCTATAAATGCAAGATTTTTATTATTACAGTATTATTATCACTTAAGTATTAGCGGTCCATTCTTTATAGGATTTTTTAAAATTATACTTTGAGTTCTAGGTACATGTGCACAATGTGCAGATTTGTTACCCCAATTTTTTAAAGTGAGAAACAGATATAAAACTCACCTTGCAAAATTGCTGCAAGGGTGAAATCACATAGGGAACCCAAGATGCAAACATCATGCTTGACGTCCAGCAAATGGGTACAGTCACTGGCCCCTCCAACTAGCAGCTCCCAGATGCCAGGAGCGTCTGAGGATCCTGAAAGGTCTAGTCGTGAACAAGAGGCCAAAGTCATATCAGGATGAACTCAGCCAGAGGGGAAAAGGGCCTCTTCTGTGCCACCTGCCAGGATCCTGGGGCGTGAGCTGCATCAGCTGACAGGTGCTGTAAGTAAAGGCAGAGGAGGGCAGCAGCAACGGGCACTGCTGCAAACCCCAGCACCAGTTATGCTCTGTTAGTCCCTTGTCTTGCTTGGTATCTGTGTGCAAAAGGCCTTTTTAGGAATATAGTTCACACTCACATCCAAAAGGTCATCTGCGCCACACGGTTCAGGCATTTATTGATTTATGCATTGGAATTGTTTCCTTCATCAGGCAATACATTCTGCGACCGGGTTTTGCATATGTGCAGCACCCCTTGTTTCTGGGATGTAAGCAGAGGGCGTCGTTAACCCTGGAGCTGGGAGGTGATTGGCCCTCCTCGCTCTCTGCCAGTAGGGTTCCCCTTCTCTTCCATTTTCAAAGTGATTATAAATGCACGATTTTCACAAATGCTGAAAGAAGACTGTTTATGGGAATCCTAATCAATTAATTCATCAAAAAAGGAAGTTGCATGTTGTCATTCAGGGAAGAATTAAATATGACTACCTTCTCCAAGGGCAATGATAGTTCTCTTTTTAAAGTTATTAGTTTCAATGTGTTTTATATCTGGAAATTTTGTTTGTGTTTTTTGCCCTGCCTTTTGGGAAAAATATTTTATATGTTCACTTTATGCTATTTTGTTTCCTCCAATGAAGACCTAGATGTTTATTACCTGTGATATATATATATATATCACAGGTTATATATATATATATATTTGTGCCTCTCACCTGGGGTAAAAACATCAAAATTCTTTCCAAATAAATCACTGTTCATAACATAATCTACGAAAGAAAAATGCTGTGCTTTGAAACACATGTCTTTATTTGGAATTGGACAGAAGTCATTTGGACTTTGGGCGGGCTAGAAAAGCTCCAACCAGCTGCAAAGACAGGTCAGATGTTATAGCTGCAGGAATCATAATTTTTTTTTTTTTTTTTGAGATGGAGTCTTGCTCTGTCACCCAGGCTGGAGTGCAGTGGCACGATCTTGGCTCACTGCAAGCTCTGCCTCCTGGGTTCATGCCATTCTGCTGCCTCAGCCTCCTGAGTAGCTGGGACCACAGGTGCCCGCCACCATGCCCGGCTAATTTTTTTGTAGTTTTAGTAGAGACGGGGTTTCACTGTGTTAGCCTGGATGGTCTCGACCTCCTGACCTTGTGATCCGCCTGCCTCGGCCTCCCAAAGTGCTGGGATTACAGGCGTGAGCCACCGCGCCCTGCCTAATTATTTGGTTTTTTTTTGTTGTTGTTTGTTTGTTTGTTTGTTTTGAGACGGAGTCTTTCTCTGTCACCCAGGCTGGAAGGAATCATAATTATTTGTGGAAGTATTTTGCTTGATAGGATATTATGGCAAAATTGGATATTTTATAAATAATTCCAGAAAGAGAACTTAAGAAATAGATAAAACACACATTCATTCATTCATTATTCTTCCCCAAAGTTGATTATTTACCTACTTCACAAATATTTATTTAGTGCCTGCAATGTGTCAGACACTATTCTAGCTGTTGGGATTCAACACTGAAAAAATGTAAAAAATACACAAAAACTCCAGACTCCTGAAGTTATGTTAAGGGGTGTCTCAATTGCACCCATGGATCATAGAATGTCCATGACTCTAATTTGAGTTGGGTTCATTTTATCATGCACTTTTTAAATTTAATATTACCTTTTTGGGAAACATTAAGTATTAAAGTTTTATCTCATTCCAACAATTTGTTTCCCTGTGTATTTTTTAAGTTTATTTTTATTCTTTTAAGAAATGAAGGATGTTCCTAGTGTATGTCCTCCTTCCTGGCTGGCTCCAGAAACTGTTCTAATAATCACAAGCACAAATTCCCTGACTTAGGCTTTACTTTCAGTCTCCATTTACGAGAAGCACATCATCATTAGGCCACTGCCTAACATTTTAATGGTCTGAAGATCTCCACAAATGTATTATTTTCAATTGTGGACGTTGTTTTTGTATCTGCACCACTCTCTTACTTATTTCTTTTTGACTTCTAACATAAATGCATTTTTTGCCAGATTCTGCTATTTGCCTCATTAGCCAAATCTGAACATCTCACCTGCCAACTCCCTATTGATAGAAGTTTTGAGGACTTGGCAATGGAAGATAATTCTGTTTCCTACCTAACAGGGGGGAGGACTAATGCTGTGGCTATCCCAGGGGTTTGTTAATTATCTTCTTAGTTCCATTCAGATAATTTTGTGTCTATTTAACATTAGCAGATGATATAGTTATGTTCCTAATTTATAATATTCTTTCTTCATTTCCGATTTGTCTAAAAGACTGTAATCAGATTTATAATGCAACTGAACAACAATATCAAAAGACATAGTGTATAAGTGCAATAGAAATGTAGTTTTCTGGTTTGACTTGATGGTAAGAACAACAAAATGCAAAGAAATTGTGAAACAAAAAAGTTGGAGATTCTATTGTAGACACATGTTGGAAACACATACACACACACACACACACACACACACGCACTCACACACACATGCACCCCAGCAGGGAGGAAGGGCGGTAGGGTGAGTTGAGCATGGGGCAATGGACTGAGGCAAATGTTGCCTAACCAAGACTTCCTGAGACAGGATTTGTTGGTGCTCAATCTCTGAGTAATCTGATAAATAACACCGTTAACAAAGTATCAAGGACAGGCTCCTGAGAGTAGTGTGTTTCAGAATCTGGCAGAATTTCCCAAGAGAAATGCTAGGAGCATTGTCCCGGAAGACATTACCATGACAACAAAACAGAGAAATCATCACCCTCCTCACCAGGCCAGGTCACCGATGAGCAGCCAGCTGAGTGTCCGATTCTGAAGACACCCTGCAGGTGATTGTGCCACATGGGCTGGGAAATATATTCCAATTGCAAAGAGGAAGATAATAAAAATAAAGGAAATCTAGGGAAAATTCTTTTAGGAAATTTTAATAAAGCAGAGTCTCAGTATAATATAACAAAAAAAAAATAATTCACCAGCAAAGTAAGCTTCTGTAAGATAGAAAAAAATACGTAAAACAGAAAGGTCGAAAGAAAGAAATTTCAAAGTTGCTCCAGCAGGATACAGATGACTTAGGCTGAAGTAGGTGATAGTTCTGCTATCAGCCTTGCAAAATTAGAAGTATGAATGGTTCTAGAAGTTGTGAAATAGTAACTCACAAGCACAGCATTCAGTTTCTGGTTTATCACTATGGTTCTTCAGTCAAACCTGTCATTTTCACTTGAGATACAGTAAAAATTCTTAGAGTTGTTGTATAATAATAGGCACGAAGTCTGTATATGCCTTTACAATTTTGAAGTTCTATTCACAAAACTTTTCTCATTTGATCCTCAGGAAAGTTTTGTCAAGTTTTATTACTCCAATGCCCATTTCACAGATGGGGTCACGGAGGCACAGACAGTGTTAGCCAATAATTTTTCAGCATCACACATCAGTCAGCGGGGAGCCAGGTGTAAAATCTCATCACGCATTGTGAATCCTGTTTCTCTCTGTAATGTAATCTCCGTGCTCGGTGAGTGCATCTGAAAACACTAAGGAATGGCGTGGATACTCTGATCTTGTTTAGAGGGAGCCAGGCCACGCTAATGTCAAGACGTGTGTAAAATGAGCGCCTGCTCATTGTCAGAGCCTGGGCTGGGGAGGCTGCAGTGGAAGAGCCATGTGAAGGAGCTTGACTGTTTCTGAAACATTTTTCACATACATTAGGCTACTGTGTCTTCACAGAACCCCTGGCCAGTGCTGTGCACATCTTTTTCTTTCTATATGAAATAAACTGGAGCTCGGGAAGGTTAAACAATGTGACCTAGCACACCTGGCCAGCGACACACATTGACAGGGCTCCAACCCAGGATTCCCAATCCTGAAGCCCATCTGCCGTCGGGATGACCCGTACCTTGACATCCATCCCAGGGGGATTAGCACTCCCTGGAATGGATCGATACTAGCCACATTTTCTATAAGACGAGGGTCAGTCAGAATGTGATTTTAATTTTCCCATTAATCCTAAAGATTTGGAGATTTTCAGGTCACAATTTTCACTTTGGGGACATATTCCTGATTTTTTTTCAGCTCTTTTAAAATATAATTGACAAATAAAAACTATATGTATTTAAGATACACAATGTGATGATGTGATATATATATACATTAGGAAAGGATACCACAATCAAGCTAACTAATACATCTATCACCTCACATAGTTCCATTTTTTTTTTTAATGTTTTTTTTTTTATTATACTCTAAGTTTTAGGGTACATGTGCACATTGTGCAGGTTAGTTACATATGTATACATGTGCCATGCTGGTGCGCTGCACCCACTAACGTGTCATCTAGCATTAGGTATATCTCCCAATGCTATCCCTCCCCCCTCCCCCGACCCCACCACAGTCCCCAGAGTGTGATATTCCCCTTCCTGTGTCCATGTGATCTCATTGTTCAATTCCCACCTATGAGTGAGAATATGCGGTGTTTGGTTTTTTGTTCTTGCGATAGTTTACTGAGAATGATGGTTTCCAATTTCATCCATGTCCCTACAAAGGACATGAACTCATCATTTTTTATGGCTGCATAGTATTCCATGGTGTATATGTGCCACATTTTCTTAATCCAGTCTATCATTGTTGGACATTTGGGTTGGTTCCAAGTCTTTGCTATTGTGAATAGTGCTGCAATAAACATACGTGTGCATGTGTCTTTATAGCAGCATGATTTATAGTCCTTTGGGTATATACCCAGTAATGGGATGGCTGGGTCAAATGGTATTTCTAGTTCTAGATCCCTGAGGAATCGCCACACTGACTTCCACAATGGTTGAACTAGTTTACAGTCCCACCAACAGTGTAAAAGTGTTCCTATTTCTCCACATCCTCTCCAGCACCTGTTGTTTCCTGACTTTTTAATGATTGCCATTCTAACTGGTGTGAGATGATATCTCATAGTGGTTTTGATTTGCATTTCTCTGATGGCCAGTGATGATGAGCATTTCTTCATGTGTTTTTTGGCTGCATAAATGTCTTCTTTTGAGAAGTGTCTGTTCATGTCCTTTGCCCACTTTTTGATGGGGTTGTTTGTTTTTTTCTTGTAGATTTGTTTGAGTTCATTGTAGATTCTGGATATTAGCCCTTTGTCAGATGAGTAGGTTGCGAAAATTTTCTCCCATGTTGTAGGTTGCCTGTTCACTCTGATGGTAGTTTCTTTTGCTGTGCAGAAGCTCTTTAGTTTAATTAGATCCCATTTGTCAATTTTGGCTTTTGTTGCCATTGCTTTTGGTGTTTTGGACATGAAGTCCTTGCCCACGCCTATGTCCTGAATGGTAATGCCTAGGTTTTCTTCTAGGGTTTTTATGGTTTTAGGTCTAACGTTTAAATCTTTAATCCATCTTGAATTGATTTTTGTATAAGGTGTAAGGAAGGGATCCAGTTTCAGCTTTCTACATATGGCTAGCCAGTTTTCCCAGCACCATTTATTAAATAGGGAATCCTTTCCCCATTGCTTGTTTTTCTCAGGTTTGTCAAAGATCAGATAGTTGTAGATATGCGGCATTATTTCTGAGGGCTCTGTTCTGTTCCATTGATCTATATCTCTGTTTTGGTACCAGTACCATGCTGTTTTGGTTACTGTAGCCCTGTAGTATAGTTTGAAGTCAGGTAGTGTGATGCCTCCAGCTTTGTTCTTTTGGCTTAGGATTGACTTGGCGATGCGGGCTCTTTTTTGGTTCCATATGAACTTTAAAGTAGTTTTTTCCAATTCTGTGAAGAAAGTCATTGGTAGCTTGATGGGGATGGCATTGAATCTGTAGATTACCTTGGGCAGTATGGCCATTTTCACGATATTGATTCTTCCTACCCAGGAGCATGGAATGTTCTTCCATTTGTTTGTGTCCTCTTTTATTTCCTTGAGCAGTGGTTTGTAGTTCTCCTTGAAGAGGTCCTTCACATCCTTGCCTCAAAGAGAATAAAATACCTAGGAATCCAACTTACATAGTTCCATTTTTAAAAAGTTAGTGATGAGAACCCTTGAGGCTACTCTCTTAGCAAATTTCAAATAGACGATACAGTGCTATTTACCATAGTCACCATGCTGTGCGTTAGAGCTCCAGGACTTACTTTTCCTGTCTGGTAAGGTTTTCTGTTCCTTGAATGGCATCTCTCCTCATCCTTGACCTCGTGATCCAACCGCTTCAGCCTCCCAAAGTGCTGAGATTACAGGCATAAGCCACCGCAGCCAAGATTGGATCTTTCAAGGTCCTTATGGCTCCAACCTGGAAAAACAATCCCAGGGCATTAAGACATCATCGATAGAGAAAACCGTCAGTCATTTCCAATATGAGCCCCAAGTTCAAAGTCATAATAGCAAATTGCAGGGGCTGTGTGTTTCACCTGAATTAATTTTCACTCCACAGGAGGTATCCAGAGGGTCCTACTAATTCGGGAATGGCGATTATTCTCTCAAGTAGTGTTCTCAGTGGGGTGCCCTGATCAGCCACAGGAGCATCAGCTGGGCTTCTTAGACAAGGACGTTCTGGACCCCATTCCAATTCCACAGAATTGGAAACTCTGGGGGTGGGGCACAGGAATGCATAGTTCACTAAGCTCTCCAGGTGAAGCAAGGGGAACATTGAAAATCTGTTTTTCAGTAACTTCAAGGAGGCAGCAACCTATGTATGTATGACTACACACATGTTTATAAGTGCCTGTGTGTCTGTGTGGCTATATGAATGGCATTTACACACACATGCACACTCTCATACATGTGAACAGACATGAGTAGCAGACATTTGCTTTGCACTTCCCCTGTATCAATCCTCAGCCCATTTGTCACTGCTGACATAGTGACTGCTATGCCTTTGCTTCTTATGACGGCTTTGGATGTTTATGTCAGCATTACCTGGCCATATAGTGCAATTAGTGCTCTCGCTTTTAAAAAAGGAGCATTTTGTACTGTCACACGATTCCCAAATGCTGCTTATTGTCCTGCACTCAGTTTCTTCGAATTCCCTCTGCACAATGTTCTAAAGGTTATAGCATCTCTTTGGATTTCTGTTTCCAGAGAAATGGTGGAAAACAGTAGTTGACAAACTTTATCCTTAAAAGGCAGATAGTAAATATGTTTGACCTTAGAGCCAGATGGTTCCTGTTCCCACTACTCCATTCTGCTGCTGTAGCGCTAAGCAGCATAGATAATACGGAATTGTGAGGATATGGTTGTGTTTTAAAACCCCTTATTTATAAAAATAGGTGGCACCTGAATTAGACCTGTGGCCACAGTTGGACAACTGCTGATCTGAAACCCTTATTCACTTTCCTAAGAAAGCCTAAGCTGCTCACTGGATCAATAGTTTTACCTTTCAGGTGTGGCCTTTCAAGTTGCTGATGGTGCCCACACTGGCCTCGGCCTGCGGACCAGTTTGGCCTCACGCCTCTTTGAGCAGCGTGCCATGTCAGCACTGAGAACACTGTGCTCACATCTACAGCCCGGAGCCTCTGTCTATTCACCGGGGGTCTTGTTTTGGCCCGACGCGAGTGAAGATGGTTACAGAGGTGATTAACAGTAATCTCCACCTGTGGCAAGGTCAGGTGGACCTTCTCTTTAGAAAACAAGTTGTCCTTTTACCCCGCTATGGCTCCCTATTTAATGAGACTTGGTAGCTGCAGAAAAGTACCAGGGAGCAAAGCAAGGCTGTTGCCATGAATTAATTCAGACTCAGTAAAGGGTAAGGTGTTCACAACTTTCATCACTTCAACTGGCCCCTAATAGGTATAAGCTGTTACTGCTCTTATCCCAGATGAAAGACAATATCCGTGATGGGGCAGAAAGCAGCGGGACTAGAAACGGCCTCCAGAGCTTGCTTTGTTTCACAACAGCCAGTCTAATATGGTCATGGGTGTGATGAGGATGAAGACGGCTTCTGTACCTGTCACTGCAGGCATCCACACGGGTATGTGCGACAAATAGCTAAAAACAGGATGACGGCCCAGCCTTCATTCTGTAAATGTTTTATGTTCAAGTGATTCATATTTTTAGAAAATTATTCAAATATTTTGAAAATCCAGTTGCAAATAAGGGCTGATGTAAATATCGTTTCCAGAGTAATTTGAATTTCCAGTGAAAATCGTAGAATGATTTCACCGTGTGGCTCCTTTCTCCCCTCCCTTCTAGGTGGGTTTGCAGCTGCTCTGATGCTCTGAGGGCAACCGTTACCCTTTTCTGGGGCAAAAGACTTGTATGTGAGGAGGCTTAGGGCTGAGCAGGAAGATGAGGCTTGTGCTTAAAAACTAACAACCCCCCCAATATCCTCCTGATATATTGCGTGACATAGATGGAAGGGTAATGAGTGTGTGTTGGAAATTTAGGGGGGTAAGAAATCACCCTGTAATCGGGCAGCCCAGAAAGGCTGTCAGGACGGGGAGCTGCAGGATGAACCATAAATGGTGTTCGGTGGAGAAAGAGGATCACTTCCTACATTTAGGAAAACAAAACATTTAAAATCACAAGACTATTTATTTTCTATAAAATTATCTCTTTCCATAGACCCTTCCCTTTGGCCTATTTTTATTAACTATTAAACATTCACATGTCTTTTATTTTAAATCACTTCAAATATTTCCTGGAGGCAGATGGGTTAAATATCATAAAAACAAAAAATAAACTGGAAATATTTATGTAGGAAAGAATATGGCACATGTATATTATAGAAGTCGAGAAAAAATATAGATCATTTCCTTGTAGTAAAAGTTTGGGGAAGAGGGGAATAAAATAAAAAATGGGAAGTAGTTGGGGCTGTATGGTAGATCAGTTGGAGGACAATTTTCTTGGTCAGAAGGACAAGCTGTGATTCTTGTGATGAAGATTAAAGTTCAATTAAGTAAAAATGGAAAGAGGAGATGACAATAAGCACTTTCATTAGAAAAAAAATGAACATTTCGCATCTTTCTGTGGAACTTTGCCATTCTGTATCTATATGGCTTTTTCAGGGTGTTTAAAACAAAATACTAAGTACTAATAATAGCTAAGATTTATTGATCTATGTGGCAGCCAGTGCTGTAAGAAACATACATGTCTGAATCTGTCTAATCTTCACAACAACCACTGTGCAGATAAGGAGACAGGAGCATGGAGGCCACCACGGCAATGCAGCTCTAGAGTCCCTTCTCTCAGCAGCTCCAGCGCCTCTGGAAAATGCCCACATCAATGTCCCATCACAGTCTCCTGAGGTGCAGCCCAGCCCCCAGGCCTCCCGGAGATCCTGTAGCTGCTGAATGAGTTGTTCCCCTCCCAGGGCCTCTGCTTCCTTCATGGATTGATGGAGTTCGACTCTAAATCCCGAATCCAGGTCTGATCTGCAGTCATTGTTGAAGATTTTCCCCATGAACGGCATTAATTGAATCTCATATAAAAGTAGATTATTTGCTTACTTATATGTGCATTGGACAAATATATGCAAACTCTTATGCAAAACCTTATATGTTGCAAATCTGCAAAAGGTACCATATACTCTTTGGGATACACACAATGCACAGTGCAGAATTCTGTGAGTAACGCCACGGCCACGGTGCACAACATTCCTTTCACACTTATCACAGGGAGCCTTCGGTTTTAGTTATCTTTTATACATAGTGTGCTGGGGGTGCATATATGTGTGTCTTTATGTATATTTTGGAGCATTTTTCCCAAACTATGTAATCTTTTCATCTAAAACATGTTTTAAATAAGCTTAGGATGAAAGTTAATTCACAGTCTCGCTGAAGGCAGACCTTAGGAGAGTGGCAGTGGCTGGAATGATTGTTTCCGGGAAATTCCGACTTGCTCTCCTGCCCCGCTTCCTGTTTCCGACTTGCCCTCCTGCCCCGCTTCCTGTTTCCGACTTGCCCTCCTGCCCCGCTTCCTGTTTCCGACTTGCCCTCCTGCCCCGCTTCCTGTTTCCGACTTGCTCTCCTGCCCTGCTTCTTGTTTCCCACTTGCTCTCCTGCCCTGCTTCCTGCACATGAACTGGGAGTTTTTTCTCCTCTCAGCTCTCAGCCTCCTTGGTGCATTTCTCTTCCGTGATCCTGTGTTTTACTTTGCATGCCCTTCTTGGCACTCGTTTTTACAAACACGTTCCCAATCCTTCCTTTTAACTGCATCCCCCTTCCCCCTATAGAGCATTAGAAGTGAAGACATTATCAGTCAGTGACTCTGGGCCACGCCATTACTGAGATTTCCCGCTGAGCAATGCTCTGTGTGGACTATTATCCAGAAATTTCATATGCTGACTCAGCCAAAGGTGGAAGAGTAGAGAAAGCGCCTAACGCTCTCCTCAGCACCTTCAAGGCGAAGTCACTGTGTGGAAGCCAGCGAGCCCTGTTCCCAGAGAAGGGAGGCTCCTGCGAGGGGGGCAGCAAAAGCTGCAGCTGGAATGGAGACCAGGCTGGACAGTGGAGCCCGCTCCGGCTCACAGGTGTCCTGGTGATCAATGATGTTTCCTTCTCTTTTTTTCTTTTTTTTTTAAATTCTTTTTTTCTTTTTCAAAGGTGCCACAATAGCAAAAGCCACATTATTTTTATATGTTCTTCTCTTTGATTGACTCTAAAATTTTGCAGAAAAACTTGCCTAAGACCTTAACTGAAAATAAAGGCTTTCAAGTGAGGGATAGAAATTTGGTTTATTTTTTTAAAAAAAATTTTACTTCCTTGACTGTAGATGTAAATGAGGATTCAGGATACATGCCCTAAAAAGGTGTCCTGAAGGAGAGAATGATCTTGTTTACAAAGTTATAGGCCCCAGAATGTTCTAGAAAAATTCACATAAGGGGGAAGAAAGAGGGGAAGGCATTTTAGAAGACATATAGCACCCCACTGAGCACACCCAGGGATGCTTTTCGTGGGGGAGGTGAGGACAGATGAAGAAG
The DNA here is from genome assembly GCF_000001405.40 of Homo sapiens. Lineage (NCBI taxonomy): Eukaryota > Metazoa > Chordata > Mammalia > Primates > Hominidae > Homo > Homo sapiens. The sequence goes on along the minus strand of NC_000002.12, from coordinate 2,252,738 downwards.
ACGATGGCCTCTTTCCTTTAGCCTTGGAGATGTGGTCTTTGGTGGTGGGGACAGGGGAGCTTTGCATGCCGGGCCCTCCCTGCTGCTGTCTTCCCCCTTCAACACCCCGCCCATCTACCAGCAACACACACCTGTGGTGTTATAGTTGCTTTTATATTCAAGAATTTAGAAATCTGTTATAGAATTAAAATAAGAATTCTGCTGTATGCAAGAGCAGTTTCTGCACTGATCCCTCTGAGGAGCCATCCCTGAGTCCCTCCTGGATTGCAGAATGGAGGAGCCAGCATCCGTCCCTGCAGCTCAATAGGAAGAACAGCTTGTGGTGGGCAGTGTGGACTCATGCCCAGACACAGACCAGGGCTGGAGCTGAGATCCCGAGAGGTTTCCTGGGTTCAGAAAGAGGCCATGGGAGGGCTGAATCTTAGCCTGGAACCTGAAGCATGGGCTGGTATTCAGGGGGAATTTTAAAGTTAAAAGGGTAGTCGGGACAAACAGAGGTAAGCAGAGGCAGGACAGGAGAGAGGAGCTTGGGTCAGACCATTTGGACACCCTCCTTGAGAACGAAGCCAGGAAAGTTGGCTGAGACAGGGCAGCAGAGAGAGCCTGTCTTCTCTCCACCACTGGAACACTTGAGAGGAGGAATGGAGAATTCGGTAACAAGGACAGCTGAATTTTAGTTTACATTTTCCCCTGGCCAAAATTTAGGTAACTTCAGGTAAATCTCATTTCATCTTTTATATTTTTTAGATGCCTGCTGTGTTCCCCATTGCCTGCCTTGCCTTGCCGTTCCCTTTTTTTCTTTTCTTTTCTTCTTTCTTTCTTTCTTTTTCTTTTCTTTCTTTCTTTTCGTTCTTCTTTCTTTCTCCTTCCCTTCCTCCTCCCTCCCTTCCTTCCTTCCTTTTTTTTTCTTTTCCCATATTGAACCTGGCCCTTATTAGATGCTCAAATGATGCTCTTGTATTAGTTGTGGGTAAATTTTCTTTGAGAATAAGGCATTTTTCAAAACAGATATATTAGAGCTTTCAGATCCTGTAATAGATCTATTGTCATTGCATCAACTGTCAACTAGTAGCTTGGAATAACCTAGTGAAAACTGAATTTACCTGGTGTTAATAAACACAGCACACTTGGTTTGCTGGCTTATGTACTTCCTCAATGTCCAGGTGCCTACTGGGTGCATTCCTTGGAATAATAGCGCTTCATAAAAACAGGGTGTGAGGGTACAAGTCAGCTGGAGTGGGGCAGGAGGTGGGGGGTACAGTCCTGTCATGCCAGGTTTCTGCACCTGGAAGCGTGGCGTGGGCGGACAGCATTGGTGATGGCATTCACGGGCGGAAACCCTGAAAGAACTGGTGGAGTGATACCACTTGCAAGGGCAGGAGAGTGAAGCCTGGGCTGCAGCGGACGTATCTCCACGTCTAGGTCATTATACAGTAGTTTATCTTGTTATCTTACTAATAATAAAAGGAATATGGGCTCATTGTAAGCAAATTAAAGAAAGTAAAGAAAATTATAAGAGAAAAATAAATCACCTCTAATTTCACAACATACCTGTAAATGAGGATTGAGGATATGTGCCTTAAAAATGTATCCTGAAGGACAGAATGATCTAATTCCACGATGAGAGGTAATAGCTTTTATCATATACATTAACATTTAATAAGATTTGATACTTCACCTTACATTATGAACATTTTTCATGCCATTAAAGTTCCAGGTAAACATTAAGTCGGCAAAATATTTTGTTTGCAGAACTGATCATAATCTATTTAACATTTTCTAATTTTAAACATTTTTTAATTATAAATCATGCTATAATTAATTTTTTTCTTTATATATTTAAAGAGTAGGATCTTTAAAGAGAATAACTAGAATACATTCAATGGATAAATTATGCTGGCTGAATTTTTCTTTTTCTCAATTTCCTTTTTAGTTCTTGTGGGTACATGGTAGGTATATATATTTATGATGTACAAGAGATATTTTGGTACAGGCATGCAATGTGTAATAATCAAATCATGGAGAATTGGGTATCCATCCCCTCAAGCATTCTTTGTGTTACAAACAATCCAACTATACTCTTTTATTTTTATGTGTACAATTAAATTATTATTGACTATAGTCTCTTTGTTGTGCTATCAAATAACTAGGCCTTATTTGTCCTTTTTTTTTTTTTTTGTACCCTTTCACCATCCCCACTTCCCCGCCTGGCCCCTTACTACTGTCCCAGCCTCTGGTAACATTCCTTCTATTTTCTATCTTCATGAGTTCAATTGTTTTGATTCTTAGATCTGACAAATAAGTGAGAATATGTAATGTTTGTCTTTCTGTGCCTGGCTTATTGCTTTTAACATAATAATTTCCAGTTGCATTTTGGTGCAAATGGCAGAATCTCATTTTTTATGGCTGAATAATACTCCATTGTGTATATGCACCACACTTTTTTATCCATTCATCTGTTGATGGACACTTAGGTTGCTTCCAAACATTGGCTGCTGTGAACAGAGCTTCAGCAAACATGGGAGTGCAGAGATCTCTTCAATTACCTGATTTCCTTTAAGTGTATAACTAGCAATGGGAGTGCTGAATTTTATGGTAGCTCTATTTTTATTTTTTTCAGAAACTTTCAAACTGTTCTCTATAGTGGTTGTACTAATTTACATTTCCACTAAGAGTATATAAGGGTTCCCTTTTCTCAACATTCTATCCAGCATTTGTTATTGCCTGTCTTTTGGATAGAAGCCGTTGTAACTGGGGTGAGATGATATCTCATTGTAGCTTTGATTTGCATTTCTCTGATAATCAGTAATGTTGAACACCTTTTCATATGCCTGTTTGATATTTGTATGTCTTTTGAGAAATGTCTATTCAAATCTTTTGCCCATTTTTTAATCAAATTATTAGTTTTTTTTATAAAGTTGTTTGAGCTTTATATATGTTCTGGTTATTGATCTCTTGTCAGATGGGTAGTTTGCAAATATTTTCTCCCTTTCTGTAGGTTGTCTCTTCACTTTGTTGATTGTTTCCTTTGCTGTGAAGAAGCTTTTTTACTTGATGTGATTCCATTTGTCCATTTTTGCTTTGGTTGCTTGTGTTTGTGGGGTATTACTCAAGAAATCTGCCCAGATCAATGTCCTGGAGAGTTTATCCAATGTTTTCCTATAGTGCTTTCATAGTTTGAGGTCTTACATTTAAGCCTTTAATTCATTTTTATTTGATTTTTTTTTCTATTTTGGTGAAGAATGTCATTGATATTTTAATAGAGATTGCATTGAATCTGTAGATTGCTTTGGGTAGCATCAACATTATAACAATATTGATTCTTCCAGTTCATGAACATTGAATGTCTTTTTATTTTTTTGTATCCTCTTCAATTTATTTCATTGCTATTTCATGGTCTTCATTATAGAGATATTTCACTTCTTTGGTTTGGTTTATTCCTAGGTATTTGTTTTTATTTGTGGCTACAGTGAGTGGGATTACTTTTCTTTTTTTTCTTTTTTGGATTGTTTAGCATTGACATATAAAAATGCAACTTATTTGTGTATGTTAATTTTGTATCCTGCAAAATTTATTTTTTAAATTTATTAGTTCTAATCATTTTTTGGTGTAATCTTTAGTTTTTTTCCAAATATAAGATCATATCATCTGCAAACAAGAATTACTTTACTTCTTCCTTTCCAATTTGAATGCCCTTTATTTCTTCCCTTTGTCTGGTTGCTCTGGCTGGGACTTTCAGTACTATCTTGAATAACAACAGTGACAGTGGGCATCTTTGTCATGTTCAGATCTAAGAGAAAAGTCTTTGGCTTTTCACTCAGTATGATACTAGCTGTGAGTCTGTCATACATGGCTTTTCTTATGTTGAATATGTTATTTCTATACCCAGTTTTTTGAGGGATTTTATCATAAAGCGATGTTGAACTTTATCACATGCTTTTTCAGCATCAATTGAAATGATTATATGGTTTTTGTCCTTCATTCTATGGATATTGTGTATGACACTGATTGATTTGTAAATGTTGAACCATCCTTGCAATCCTGGGATAAATTTCGCTGGGTCATAATGAATGATCTTCTAAATGTATTGTTGAATTCAGTGTGCTAATATTTTTTGAGGATTTTTGCATCAATATTTATCAGACATATTGGCCTGTATTTTTCTTTATTTGATGTGTCTTTGGTGGTGTTGTCAGGGTAATACTGGCCTCATAGAAGGAGTTTGGAAGTATTCCCTTTTCCTCTATTTTTTCAAACAGTTAGAGTAGGATTGGTTTTGGTTCTTCTTTAAATGCTTGGTAGAATTCAGCAGTGAAGCCATTGGGTCCTGGGCTTTTCTTTACTAGACTTTTTACTACGGCTTTTATCTCATTACTTGTTATGGGTCTGTTTAGGTTTTTTATTTCTTCATGGTTCAATCTTGGTAGGTTGCATGTGTCTAGGAATTTATCAACTTCTTCTAGATTTTCCAATTTATTGGTATATAGTTGCTCATAGTAGCCATTAATGATGCTTTGAATATATGTGATATAAGTTGTAATAACTCCTTTTTCATTCCTTTTTTTTTAAATTTATTTGAGTCTTCTCTCTTTTTTGCTTAATCTGGCTAAAGGTTGTCAGTTTTGTTTACCTTTTTAAAAAAACAGTTTCATTGATCTTTTGTATTGTTTTATTCATTTCAAATTCATGTATTTCTGCTTTTATCTTTATTATTTATTTTCTTCTACTAAGTTTTGGGTTGGTTTGCTGTTGCTTTTTTAGTTATTTAAGATGCATTATTGGTTATTTATTTGAAGTTTTTCTTCTTTTTCGATGTAAGCACTTACAGCTATAAATTTCCCTCTTAGTACTGCTTTCACTGTATTCCATAGGTTTCGGTATGTTGTGTTTCCATTATCATTTGTTTCAAGAAAGTTTCCAATTTTCTTCTGAATTTCTTTACTGACTCATTGGACATTCAGGAACATGCTGTTTAATTTCTATGTATTTGTAAAATTCATGGAAATTCTAAAATTATTCATGTTAATAATTTCTAGTTTTATTCCATTGTGATCAGAGAAGATGCTTGATATTATTTCAATTTTTTGAATGTTTTAAGACTCGTTTTTTGACCTAACATATGATCTGTCCTTGAGAATGATCCATGTGCTGAAGAAAATAATGTGTATTCTGTAGCCATTCAATGTTCTTTAAATATCTATTAGGTCCATTTTGTTCTATAATACAGATTAAATCAAATGTTGCTTTGTTAATTTTCGGCCTGGGAGATCTGTCCAATGCTGAAAGTGGGGTGTTGAAGTCTCCAGCTATTGTTGCACTGAGGTCTATCTGTCTCTTTCGCTCTAATAATATTTGCTTTATATATCTGGATACTCCAGTGTTGGGAGCATATATATATGCAATTCTTATATCATCTTGCTGAATTGACCCCTTTATCATTACATAATGATCTTTTTTGTCTCTTACAGTTTTTGTCTTGAAATATATTTTGTCTTACATAAGTATAGCTACTCCTGCTTTTTTCATTTCCATTGAATGAAATATCATTTTTTATCCCTTTATTTTCACTCCCTATGTATCTTTATAGGTAAAGTTTCTTGTAGGGAACAGATCGTTGGGTCTTGTTTTTCCATCCATTCAGCCACTCTCTATCTTTTGATTGGAGAGTTTAATCCATTTCCATTCATTGCTATTATTAATAAGTAGGAACTTACTCCTGACAGACTGATTTTTTCCAAAGGTCATACCACCCAATTACATTCTCATTATGAAGTCTACGGAATTGTCCAAGTCACAACAGTGCTCACCAGTGAGTTCGACACTCAGCCTCCATGCTCTGTGGGCTACATGTTAGGCTTCTCACCCCATGTTCTTAAAAAGCATTGAACATGTTCATAAACTTGAGGTGTAATTTAATTGGCAAAAGCTAAGATACTTAGGCTCCCAATAAGTGATCAATAAAATTAATTAGCACTCATCTTCAGATGTAAATCAAGGTTTACAATTTTTTGAAGTCCCTGTAGCCTTATCTTACACAGAATCACATGCCTTCTTCTGGATGATTTTCACTTAGGCATTGTGAATTACCTTGTATATAAAAATAACAGCACAATCACTCATACACAGTAGGCACTCAATAAGCCTCTGTTGCTTCGATTTAGTTAACACCAGAGCTGTCTGAAGGCAGGACAAGAAAAGGCCCCCTCACAGGTACAGGGACCCCTGTCTCATGCTGATGAGCTTTCTTTCTTCCCTTTTGGGGTTTATAAAAGGTCTATTCAGTACCCGTCTCATGGTGTTCCATTGCGGCACACACAGCTCATTTCAGCCACACTGTCTCCCCATCCTAGCCCCAGGTACCTATTAAAAAGGTAGCAGGAAAAAGTCTGAAGCATAAATATGCAAGATGAGGAACTTCTTCAGGTGAAAAGCATTGAAGACTCAGAAATAACCTGACTCTTTTGTGGCAGGCGAAGCTCTCCACTCCTGGGGGCTGCTAGTGTATTTCACAGAACCTACTAAATGATTGTCATTGTCACCTCTCTGCTAGCTCTCTTTCAGTAGTACTCCAGTTGCAGGAAAACATACCAGGTGCCTCAGGTGGAGGAGGCTGAACTAGGGCAGTCAGCGAGCCTGTATTAGTTTCCTATTGGCAGTTGCAACAAATTCCCACAAACACAGTGGTTGAAAGAATGCAAATTTGTTATCTTACAGTTCTCTAGGCAGAAGTTTAAAATGGGTCTCACTGTGCTAAAATCAAAGCTGGCAGGGCTGCATTTCCTTGGGAGGCTCCAGGGGAGAATCCCTGTCCTTGCCTTACAGCTTCTAGAGGCCACCCGTGTGCTTCAGCTCCTAGCCCCAGCCTCCATGTTCACAGCCAGCAGCCTAGCATCTCCAAATCCCTCTCTGACTTGAAAAATGAGAAAAGATTGGAAGAATGGATCAGAATTATGGAGGAGGATGATTAACAGCCTTCAGCAGGCTCCACTGCCTATGTGAAAGCATGCGCTGGGCTGACTGAGAGTGGATGGTGCTGAGCCCTGTAGAGTCCTGGAGAAGGAGGTAGACCGTCCTCAGCTCTAGCCTACTCCAAGACATGAGCTTGGGAACTCCTTGAGCCTCCATTCCTGGGGGCTGCTAGTGTATTTCACGGAAACTGCTAAGTGATTGTCACTGTCACCTCTCTGCTATCTTGCTTTCTTCTTTTGTCATTACACTTTGAATGAGTTGTAGAAGTAGCATTAAAATATAATACCAGCTGCTGAATTCCTGGTTTAAATGTTGCCAAGCCTCAAAGCTTGATTAACTTATCTAGTCTTTTCTTCTCCTGAAGAAAGAAACACAAGGCTCAAGGAGTTCCCAAGCTCATGTCTTGGAGTAGGCTAGAGCTCGGGATGGTCTACCTCCTTCTCCAGGACTCTACAGGGCTCAGCACCATCCGCTCTCAGTCGGCCCAGCACATGCTTTGATGTAGGTGTTGGAGCCTGCCGAAGGTCGTTAATCATCCTCCACCATAATTCCGACCCATACTTCCAATCTTTTCTCTGTTTTTCAAGATTATTTTTTCATCCCCTGTGCCTATTTTAACAAATCACTCTTGGTGCAATAGTTAGCCTTGTTTACATAATCTGTACACTGGGGAGCTGTTCTCAAACTGTAATACGAGTATGCTGTGTTGTTAATCTGAGCATGCAAGTGGGGTGCTAGACACCAATTGTCCATTCCTGTTGAGTATGCTTCATATCATTTAGAATGTACAACAGGATACAATGTTGCACATAGCTTCTAAAGGGAAAATAGCTTTTCTCCATATCTTTATTCTAATAAGGACCTCAAAATAATATGGTAGCCATCTCAGCTCTCCCAGGTGATGTGGCTGGCTAGAGAGCTAGAAGAATCTCTAGCCGTCAGTTTGCAGGGAGAACCTGGACTGCTGGCTGGAGCAGGCAGGCTGCAGGGCAGCCCATTCAGTCACCCTATGGAGGTATCGTGTCTTGCCAAGGGCCACATCTTATCAAGTCAGTCTGTGTTTCTGCCACCATTTCCCCTCTTCTCCACACCTGCCCTCTGAGCTGGCTCTGTTCCTGGAGCCTGCAGTTTGAGCAGGCCTCTCATTTCCGATAGTTCAGCTTATGCTGAGCTGGTGCAAGCTTCTCTTCTCCCAGGGGCTTCAAGCCTCATCACCGATATCTGAAACTTGGGATGTTCAATCTTCAAGACTCAACTTCCTCATTTAGAATATGGGGATATTATGTGCCCTGTCCACTGTGCAGAATGTTGTGAGACTAAACTAAGATAATTGGTCAGAAGTATTTTACATACCATAAAGCACTGTGGGAGGCACACTTTTATCATTTTTTATTTATGAGATTATTATTTTTCCCTTCTCATAAGTCCATCAACCAAGAATCTTGCAAAAGTTTACTGTTTAATTTTGCAAATGGACACAAACAAAAACCCACATTGAGTGGTCTTTGGGAAAACTACCCTTTTCCAACAAAGAATAGGGAGCAACAAAGACCTGGGAGCAACAAAGACCGGTCAGCATTTTCCCAGATTGTGACTTTTCATAAAAGCAGGTGTGTGTAGTTTGATATGTAAAAATCTTTTGATAAGTTTGAGTATTTTCCTATGGGAGTGAACATGCATGATCGAAATAGAAACATATTTGGAATGATGGTCTCCAGGATTGTGTGAGTATTTTATTATGGAATCTGTATTTAATTGCCTTTTGGATGTGTCTGGAATTTAGTCATTCAAAAACTTTCCTGTCAGTGTGCGCTGCCAATCCTGCATGTGGTCTTTCTGCTGGAATGGCTGCTAACAAGGTTGCCAATTAGGGTGAACATTTTTCAGTGATGTGAGCCTCTTTCCACTGGAAGCTAACTTCGAGCCTCCTTGTTGCTTCATATACTGAAATGTGTCATCTAACAATCAGATGCCAAAAGTGACTCCACTACTTTGCTCGCAGCTCCCACCAGAATCCAAAAACAAAAGACAAAAATATGAGACAGACACTCATTTGGATTCCTGCGTGTGCTACCATATGAGTCTTATGTGTTTCTATAAATAAAAGCAGTGTGGATTGAGTGCAACATGTGGCTTCCCAGCTACTTTTCTGCAGGGCCCCTGGTGTTTATTAAGGCCTGCCACATGCAAGGTCAAAAGTCTACTCTATTCTACATTATACACAACTAGGTACCATGGAAGTTTGTGATTTGGCATGATACTTCTTCACAACTAGCTTAAAAAATTATGAAGTCAATTAGTTTGTGCCCCTGTTTTGTTGGGGAACCTTAAATCCCACTGTCCCAATTAAGGGAGATGCCAAGTAAAGGTATAGTCCGATGTAAATAAACCTTGAGAGATAAGTTTGTATAGAAGGTTATTTATTTTACATAAATCATTTTGTTCTCTTTGCAAAAGAATTCACCAAGAATATCTTTGAATGGTAAACTTTCTTAGGGCTTTTAAAATAGGACATGCCTGTCCAAACCTTGATTTTAACTTGTTGTTGAGGAAACTGTAATAAAGTGTATTTTTACTTAAGACAATTTCAATTCCTCAACTTCAACACTTCTGATTTCTCCTTTGGTTTTCCAACTTCAGGGCAGCCTCTCCCTTGGTACTTCTCTCCACCTGGGGCCCTTCCTTCATTCTCCCCTGCTCCCATTGACATTGCCCCTTGGTCAACAGATAGCCATCCATCCTCCTATTCCATGGGCACCTTCCTGAACCCTGCACCCTTCCTAGAGAGCTGGTCTCTCTTGTTTCTGTCCTCTTCATTGCTAAAACCTATTCCACAGGCACCTTCCTGAACCCTGCATCCTTCCTAGAGAGCTGGTCTGTCTTGTTTCCATCTTGTTTGTTGCTAAAACTTGGGCACATCTTGTGCAGAGGAATGTACTTCATTTCCTCAGGATTTTCTGCCATAAATTCTCCTTAGCCATATTCGACTTCATATTGTGATTTAGGTGTATGCCCACTCACTAGACCAAAAACTATCTGTGGCCCTGATAATGCTCCTTGAAATGGGCTTTCCTCCTGGGTGACAGCTATCACATCTTATGAGGCATACACAGTCTCATGGGATTGGGGACCCTGCCTGCTTCTTTCTGAAATGCCCACAGTATTCCAAGTGACCAGTGCTTGATAAATGGAAGCTTATGGATGAATGGAAGACTAATTTATTTTTGCAATGTTTGTTGATAGAGCGTCTCTTATGTGCCAGGCACTGTCTTCATGAGACCAAATTCTGAGTAAAAGATGAAGGAGAAAAGACTCAGGGCAGGACATTTTCTTCTAGCTAAAGCAGCAAGTTCTTTTCGTAATATGTGGTGAAAATTTATAGTTTATACTAAGCCCCTGGAATGCGCTTTACGTGTTGTTAACCATCACTCTGTTAATAATATTGGATCAAGTCACATGTTTGTTTTCCTCATTTTTCCATTTGGGAGATATTTACTGGGCCTGCGCTCCTTTGCAGAGATTGGCAGAGGGAAAAAGATGGATCTGGTCTCTGTACTCATGGACTCATTTTTAGGAATGTTTTACCTTTTAAGCTTCCTAATAATGAACTCTGATCTTCCAGTTACTTAAGTGAAGAAAGCTCGTACTTCTGACATTTTTTCCTTTTCCTTTTCCTCTCTGTTTTTCCTCCTTCCTGCCTGCCTTCCTCCTCCTTCTCCTTTTCTCTTCCTTTTCCTCTTTTTTCCTTCAATCAACCTATCAATGTATATTGAGCACTTCACTAAATGCAAGGTGGGATATAGTACTATATATATGTGTGTGTGTGTGTCTAGACACACCCATCTCTGGGTCCCAGCATTCTGCTTTCTGTCTCTGTGAATATGACCACTAGTCTTACCTCATGTGAGTGGCATTGTACGGTATCTGTTCTTTTGTGACTGCTCTCTTTCACTTAGCGTAATGCCCTCAACATCCAGCCATGTCGTAGAATGGGTCAGAACATCCTTCCTTTCTAAGGCTGAATAATAGTCCACTGTACATCTGTCAGTGGACACGTGTGCTGCCTCCACCTTTCAGCTACTGTGAATTATGCTCCTATACATATATCTTGCTTGCAGCTCCCACCAAAATCCAAAAACAAAAAACAAACAAAAATATAAGAAAGAAACGCATTTGGATTCCTGTATCTGCTACCTTATGAGTCTTATGTGTTCCTATAAATAAAAGCAACGTGGCTGGAGTGCAACATGTGGCCTCCCAGCTGAGTTTTCTGCAGGGCCGCAATGAGTTCCTGGCCTCATAAAGCAGTGTGTGGACAGGCAGCTCAGAGCAGTGCCGGAGAACTGAGGAGAGAGGAGCGTTTGCCATGCTGGGGTCATAGAAACGAGAAAGGCAAATTCACTTCATGGGGCTTCCCCATTGTGTTCCTGTTCTTCCCTCTTTTCTGATTATTTCTGTTTTGTGGTGGATGTATCACACACACACACACACACAAAAGATGTATTTTACAAGAAACCAATATACATTTAAAACTCCCTTTTAAGAGCACACATTTTTAGTGCATTGGATATGGCAGGAAGCGTGCGGTTATAGCACCTATGAGCTTGTTACTTTATTAACACGTTCACTAACACACAAAATTCAGAAATTCAAAAAAAAATTCTTGGTACCATTACAGCATCCAATATCAAGAATAAATAAAAGGGGCTAACATATTGCAGCATGATACTTTTTTGTCTTTATTTTTCCCTCTGTCTCTCTCCAATACGTGAAGTGGCAGCTACCATTCACTCATAAGCTAAACCCCAAATCGCAGGGACACATCTGTGAAAGGGAAATCAGGGCATTATTCTGATTGTGGTTCTGAACAACATGACTTTTGACCTACATATATCTAAGTTGTTAAAATTGGAACCCTTTTTCCAACTCCATGACAGTGGTAGGAATAGAAATATGCTCCTTAGCCTCTAACTAAGGCCGCTGGCACGCGGGGCTGGCGGGGAGAGTGACACCGTGTTTTACCTCAGGGCTGCCTCTGTGTGAAGAAAGCTATGATATATTTGGAAAATGTGGACACCGCTATGTCAGCGACACTAATTGTCACGTTCAAATAATATAATTCCAGTCCATATGGAAGTAAGAGCTGCATTATCGTTTTCTCGTTTGCTTTAGGGAGACTTAGACAAAGGATTAGAACGTATATTTTAATTTGTGTTACTATAAAAATAGATGTAATTATGTACTATTTCAAAGTAGCAATAAACAAAGAGTAGATAATGATCCAAATTCCCTCCATCTAAAAATGACCACTATTGCCATGTTGTTATCCATTGATCCCATATTTTCTTGATCATTTACATTTCTTTTTTTTTAAAAATGAGTCTGTGTTACCATACTTTTTAAAGTAAAGGATAAAATATTTTACTTGGGAAATATGTCACATAGTAAATTTACCATTTATTTATTTATTTATTTAGAGACGGAGTTTCGCTCTTTTTGCCCAGGCTGGAGCACAATGCTATGATCTCAGCTCCCTGCAACCTCCGCCTCCTGGTTCAAGTGATTCTCCTCTGCCTCTCAAGTAGCTGGGATTAGAGGTCTGTGCCACGTGCCTGGCTGATTTTTTATGTTTTTAGTAGAGATGGGGTTTCACCATGTTGGCCAGGCTGGTCTCAAACTCCTGACCTCAGGTGATCTGCCCACCTCGGCCTCCAAAAGTGCTGGGATTACAGGCATGAGTCGCTGTGCCTGGCCTACCTTTTATTTGATAAAAGAGTAAGAGACAAGGAGAAATAGAGACAAAGGAGGAAAAAGAATGGATGAAAGAATGGCACAAAAGGAACACAAACTCAGAGAAAAAAGAGATGAGTGCAAGGGGACCCGGGGGCAGAGAGAAGACTCAAGAGCTCCCCACAGCAGCTCTCTGCTCTGTCTGGGAGACTTCACCTCTCAGTTCCATTCATGAAATATCAAATTAGCAGATTACCCACCTGCCTTTTCTGTTGATGTTGCCTGTTGTTTATTTTTATTGGTTTGCTATAGTTTGGAGAGCCAAACCAGCCCACTGGGGAGAAAGAGGAAAATATTTTTGGAATCTATCAGCAGTGATGAGAGCAGGTTTTGGAAATGGATATAATCAAGCCAGTCTTAGGTTGACGGCATGGCATCACAGAGCCTATCCCCCATGTAAACCCCGAAGGACGTTGCCCATCCCGACTTCAGAGTTTGAAGCTATTCCTTTCAAACAAACTCATAGCTCACCTATAAGTAACCAGTAACTGCTTATATGTCTCTAATACTTTAACTTTCCTTGAATTTGTTTCACTAATTTTCCTGCATGTGAAATTGAAAGTGTGTTACCTGCCACCCATGTGCACTGTGACAATAGTGAAGAATGTGAAGGAAGCATTATCAGTCTGTAAAAACGTTCATGAGGCAACTTATCATGGACTAATTTTAGGTCTCATTGAGAGTCACTTTTTCCTTCCTTTGCCCCCGTCTGTCTGTGCATGTGCACATATGCATACATTTGACATGTTTCCAGTGGGCATTCTATGTTATGTTATGGTGGCTGCAAAAGCCACAGTGAGGAGCTGGGGGTGGCTCTAAACTGGAAATGGTAGTGTCCATTCATGTGCTAGTTTCGAATTGCCATTGCTTTTGTATATGCATTATCAAGTAAGAGACTAAGTGAGAATTATCGTTATCTTCATTTTTAGAGATCAGGAGCCAGGCTCAGTGTGGCCAGTAGGCTGGGTCAGGGTCCCCCAGGAGCTGGCATGTGGAGAGCTGACACTTAACCAGTTCTCACTCTTTGTGCAGGCTCTTGGCAATGCCCCACCCACCCTGGCACCTGCTACTATTCCACATCACAAGAGACCAAGATAAACAGATCAGCTACCCAGAGACTGGGACGTGTACAGCTATGGGGGCTGCTAAGGAAAAGGGCAGCTTTTAGTCAAAGAGGGCTTACTTCCTGCTTATCGTGGAACATGTAGAGATGTATTTACTACACTTACAATCGTTGCATTGCACAAAGCGTTTTTATCACAAGTTGATCTCTAAGAGTGCTTTAGTAGCAGAGCTCCTACACGGAGATTGTAACGCAGGATCTCTCAGATATACACTGCACACAGGTTTCACCTCTCAGCTGTGATTCTGCTGGTGGGTGCCGATCCCTTAGCGTTCCCTGTTCCCCAAACAATGAAGAACAACTCTCCTCGGGTGTCACCCAGCACAATGGATCTCAAACAAGTGACGAACGACAATCTCCATACACTTTGTCAAAGGAGGAAGTGTTTCTCCAACTGCATATTTACTGAAGCCTTATTTGCACTACAGATACATCTGAAACTGCACCCAGTGACCCCACCCTTCCTTTGTGGCCACAGAAATGAACCACTCTCTGGGAATCCAGTGGGAACATTATTGATCTAGTCCCAAATCTTCATTTTCTAGATTAAAGAGTTGAGGCCCGGACAGCAGGGTACCTTGCGCAGAGACACACAGCTCATGGGTTTCCCAGTAAGGACTGACTTCCTAACAGCAGATAATGACCTTGATTTACCTTCCTTACAATAAGTTAATACAGCAATTCAGATGCCCCACCACCCCCTGACCCCATGTTCTCTGGTTCTGAGAAAAATCTAAGCATTCAATATCCTGAAAAATATTCAACTAAGAAACCTTAAAACACTTTATCTTCTTTGAACGTGTCATGATCTTGTCTTTCCATTATGGAGGAATCATAACGCGCCTTTCTGTCAGAAGGATCTTCAATGTGGAAAGTGAAAGCCTGTGGTGTTTGCACGTGTGCCCCGCTCTTTAAACAACCTGACTTTACCTTATGCAAGTACCAAGGTGTGGCGAGGGGAGTTGCAGGTGACCGCTGTCCCAGGTTGCCTCTGTCTGTGGCTTTCACAGGAGACCCCAGCTGCCCAATGAGGCAGAACCCAGGTGCAGATGCCATCTCTGTCAGTCACAGACATGCAGCCCACGTGACCCTGAGCAATGACTTAAGCTGCCTGGCCCCCTCTTTGGAGGCAGGACATTCCCAATCCAGGGGCTTAGGGACTTAAGTGGTTTATGTAAAGGGGCCTGGCACCCACTGAGTGCTCCAGGCGAGGCATCCCTGGCATTCTGAAGGGAGGCTTCCTCTCACTGAGGTTCTGTGGGATTTTGGATAAAGAGGCCATGAGAGGAAAGTCTATTCAATTATGCATTTTAAGCAACTTAAAACACTTACAAAAACTGCTTTTTGTTAGGAAAGAGAATGATGTCTGGCACTTCAGGATACAAAATCACATCCCTCATACTGCCATTCTCTATCCAAACCACCAGCACAGTGATGCGAGGAGACATTAGTGCTCCCTGTGAAGGAACGGGCCTTTTCTCCTGCCCTGGTTTCAACTTGGCTTGTGCAAGGTAAAGATGTTTCACATTCATGCTCCTCACAGGTTGCTGTGGTTGTGTGAAAAGTGCTGGTTATCAGTTAGTTGTGGGTAGTTGAAATCTTCAGACGGAATGAGGTGGGAAGGGAAGGGAGCTAGGAAGGGAGGAGGAGGAACAAAGAGGGATCCAGAAAGGAAAGAGTGAGATGGGAAAGTATGAGCATGTCCTTCAAAAACATCTTCCTGATTTAAAGAAAGGACAACCAGGTTGGGCGTGGTGGCTCACACTTATAATCCCAGCACTTTGGGAGGCTGAGATGAATGGATCACCTGAGGTCGGGAGTTCGAGACCAACCTGACCAACATGGAGAAACCCCATCTCTACTAATAGTACATAAATTAGCTGGGTGTGGTGGCACATGCCTGTAATCCCAGCTACTTGGGAGACTGCGGCACGAGAATTACTTGAACCTGGAAGGCAGAGGTTACAGTGAGCCGAGATCACGCCATTGCATTCCAGCCTGGGCAACAAGAGCGAAACTCCATCAAAAAAAAAAAAAAAAAAGAAGAAGAAGAAGAAGAAGAAGAAGAAGAAGAAGAAGAAGAAGAAGAAGAAGAAGAAAGGACAACCAATGAGTCTTCACCAGTTTTTGAGGCAGGCTGAAGGAATATTGGAATGTGCCGTGTGATGTACTGGGTTGGGTTGGGATGTGCTGGGTTGGGTTGGGATGTGCTGGGTTGGGTTGGGATGTGCTGGGCTGGGTTGGGATGTGCTGGGTTGGGTTGGGATGTGCTGGGCTGGGTTGTGACATACTGGGTTGGGTTGGGATGTGCTGGGCTGGGTTGGGATGTGCTGGGTTGGGTTGGGATGTGCTGGGTTGGGTTCGGATGTGCTGGGTTGGGTTGGGATGTACTGGGTTGGGTTGGGATGTACTGGTCTGGGTTGGGTTGTACTGG
The DNA here is from genome assembly GCF_000001405.40 of Homo sapiens. Taxonomy (NCBI): domain Eukaryota; kingdom Metazoa; phylum Chordata; class Mammalia; order Primates; family Hominidae; genus Homo; species Homo sapiens. The sequence goes on along the minus strand of NC_000002.12, from coordinate 2,236,422 downwards.
GCTGGGTTGGGATGTACTGGGTTAGGTTGGGATGTACTGGGGTGGGTTGGGATGTACTGGGGTGGGTTGGGATGTACTGGGTTGGGTTGGCATGTACTGGGTTGGGTTGGGATGTACTGGGCTGGGTTGGGATATGCTGGGCTGGGTTGGGATGTACTGGGTTGGGTTGGGATGTACTGGGTTGGGTTGGGATGTGCTGGGCTGGGTTGGGATGTGCTGGGTTGGGTTGGGATGTGCTGGGTTGGGTTGGGATGTGCTGGGTTAGGATGGGATGTACTGGGTTGGGTTGGGATGTACTGGGTTGGGTTGGGATGTACTGGGTTGGGTTGTGACATACTGGGTTGGGTTGGGATGTAATGGGTTGGGTTGTGATGTACTGGGTTGTTTCGTAATCTGTTCATTCTTGGGCTCCTTTGGGAATATGAAGGGTAATGATACGCTATTATCTATGTGTCTCAAAAATTCAGATGCAATGCAAATGAAACTATTGGATTTTCAATAAAAATATATTAGCTGCTCCTCAGCCTACTAGTAGTAAAAGCCATTCACAACCACATTTTCTTGATGCTAGAGAAATATTTTAATTAGAAATGAAGAGTACATGAGGGAGGGGCGTACCTTATAAAAATATAGAAGTAAAACACTATGAATTCACAATTTCACCATGGAAATCAGCCAGTCAGCCGGAGTTAGTACATGACCAAGGCAGTGATGTATTTCAGTGTACAGTGTGTGGAACTGAGGAGGGGCTGCGTGTTCACTCTTGCCAAATGGAATATGGCAGAAGGGTGAGAAATCAAACTCATGCAATGTGAGGGCCAGAGGAACCAAGAAATACAACCTCTGTGGGAAACACAGGTCCAGAGTTAGTGCCAATAAACACAGGGCTGGAGGTAAGAGACCCAGGAGCAAGGGAGACACCAGCCAGCTAACAGGGACCCCACTAAGGGATGCTGTGAGGGTGACACTAACCAGCTAACACATACCCCTCTAAGGGGAAGCTGTGAGGAAGATGCCAACCAGCTAACCAGCTACACACACCCCTCTACACACACCCCTCTAAGGGGAAGCTCTGAGGAACACGCTAACCAGCTAACCAGCTACACACACACCTCTACACACACCCCTCTAAGGGGAAGCTCTGAGGAAGACGCTAACCAGCTAACCAGCTACACACAGCCCTCTATACACACGCCTCTAAGGGGAAGCTCTGAGGAAGACACCAACCAGCTAACCAGCTAACACACACCCCTCTAAGGGAGGATGTGAGGGAGATGCTAACCAGCTAACAGACACCCCTCTAAGAAGAACCTGTGGTTGCCACAACAAATCTAGCTTGGAAGAGAAGAGAAATTGGTGGGTTATGACAAATGCATTGGCAGGCAGACAAGAGACAATGGAAGAGGCAGAAAGAAAGGGAAAGTGAAAAAGGGGAGGTCCAGGGTGAGGAGCCAGCAGAGAGGGAAAGGACCGCAGGCCAAGGGGAGCTGGAGGCTGGGTTTGGAAAGATGACCAGAGGCGTGAGCATCGGGGGAGTGCAGTGAGGCCTGAGCACTCATCTATTTCAACATATGAACACAGTGCAATCAGAGCCTGTTTAAATAATAGCCTATGTTATTTTGCTTGAGTTCTCCAAGCTCCCAACTTACCAAGCTCAGTGAGTAGAACTTCATATTCTCATGCTGAGATTTGAACCAGAGAATTACTCAGTAATTCAAGTCAGGATATTCTATAACCCTTTTAATGCACTGCCTCTTAAAGATTGCCATGGGGAAGGACTACAGTTTTAGGTGAAGTAGGCCCTCTGGGAGGCACTGTTGACTTTGTAGGCAAGGCAAAGCAGCGTTGCCAACTTGAGCTGCAGGGGTTCCACGCCACACTGCTTTGTCTTTGTCTGTAACCTTCTTGGCTCAAGCATTAATAAACAGCAAAGGTATATATTATGTATCCAAAGATAATCTCTCAAACTTTGCAAGATCTATCCTTGATTTAAATGCATTGTTTGAAGCACTTTTGTACAATCGCAGAAACTTCTGAATTCCGCACCCTACAAATGTGTGCGTCTGTCTTCACTGTCTTTATTCTGCAGACTATAATCAGGGCCTTTCTTTTTTATGATCTTCAGAGCAGGAAAGCCAAGACAAGTGTGAAATTATAAGCTCATCTAACACTATTCTTTTAAATTGAAATGATTTAGAAAAGGGCAACATGTATGAATTTTATTCTGATTCCCTATTTCATGCTTAATTCCAATTTTTAAGGAGTAGAATAATGAGTGTACATTAAAGAGACAAATAGACTGTGCGTTTCACAAATGTCACTTCTTGACCTGATAAATGTGAGTTGCCATTTAAAATGCACTGAATAGACTTTCATAGTAGATTGATTTCACATTTTATTATACAAAACAAGCATGGACTTATCTAAGAGCTACAAGCCTGGTTATAAGATCAGTGCCAGGTATACCCGCAATCCTGCCATGGCCTTATGAAGAAAAACACAAAAACAAACTCCCCATAAGAAAATAGACCCTTGAGCAGTGGCTGTTTCTCCTGTATTTCAGACTGTGGCTGGACATAGTTAAAGGCCACGAGCTTGGCAGGCCAGTACAGGGTGAGAATCTGGACTCCCTTGCAGCCCACAGGGGCTGCCTTGGTTCAACATGATAGCTACTAAAATGGATTGCTGACCCTCCCAGGCAGCAGCCCACCTTGGGTTCATTTCCTGTCTGACAATGGTGCCGATATGGCTGGTTCCGCTCTCTTGTTACAACCACACTCACAGGTGACTCTGAGTCATGATTCCCAGTTCTCATTGTATCATGTGCACTGGATGGCCACTTCCTCTTCTTCCTTCTGTGCCAGGGACACACGAGTGTCCTGAGACACCAGAGGCCGCCCCATCCCACCCCAGGGTCTGTGAGATGTGTAGACCCCTCAGGAGCCAGAGCAGGCGGCCTCCAAGACACAGGCGAGGTCCGCAGGGGCACTGGGTACATCAGCTCTTTAGCATCACAGCGCAACCCTAGGGCTCCCGCAGCCCGTTGGTCTCCAGGACTGAGATGAGACGTGGCAGGCCACACCCCCGCATCTCAGCCCTGACATCCCGGCGCCCCGTGCTCTGCTTCCTTTTTGGATCCTGTCGTCCTGGCACCCCTTGCTCTGTTTTCTCTTTGGACCCTCCTGGCCCTGTCACTCGCTGATCATCTGACCTTGGAAAGCTCAGGTCTGTAAAATAGCTTCTCCAAGATTTCCAAGATGTGAAATGTGCGACTTAAAAAATGTGTATATTATTCATTCATTCACTCAGAAAATATACGTTGAGCACCTGCTACCTTCAGGGAATGCCTATGTGATGTTGAGGAGTGCTTAATGCAGGCTGGGCCCTGAGTCAGGGGCTTCCTGAACGTTTTTACATCCAATCGGCCCAGTGATTTTTCAAGCTAAATTCTATGGCTGTCCTCTGTTCACAGAGACCTCTGAAGGTCCAGAGTGATAAGAAATACAACTTAGGTGGAAATATCAACCCAGAGGCAGTACAATCAGAGAGAAGGGAGCCATGAGGACGCAGGGCCTGAGGGCAGGTCACAGCGCAGTCAGCAGCCAAAGAACTGAAGTCCACCTCTTCTTGCCTGCCCTGTCTGTAGTCACTTCATCATTGCTCCACACTGCCTTCCTGTTTCAAATGTATATCATCATCCTTAAACTTAAATAAGTGTCCAACCATCCCTAAAGCCTATCGTAGCTCCCAGGAAGAGTCCTTTGTCCGAGGAGTCGTGTGAAGAAATGAATGAGTTTTCCTTCCTCATATGGATGGGACGGTGCCACTCTGGGCACAGGAATAACATCCAACATTCACATATTGTCCATAGTTCAAAAACTCATAGAAGCCTTGAGAAGTAATTGTCATACCCATGCTACAGAGGCACCTACTTGGGCCGAGAGAAATTAATGAAGTGGGTAGAAGAGCAGACTTCAAGTCCAGTGCCTTTTCCACCATGGAATGCTGACTTACAAAGTAAAGCCCATAGCTGGCAGCTGCCCCAGGAGAACCTGCCTATGCAGGAAGTTGGCACACTTGAGTTCTTGTTGTGTTTGTCACAGTAACTGCAGGTGACCCAAGCCTCCCGGCTGGAGGGCAGAGCTGCTTGTTGCAATCAAACCCCACCTCTCCTTTTCTGCCTTTTCTTCCTGTGGATGCTGACTGTCCCCTCTTCACCAAACCTACCTGTTATGCACTCAGCCATCTGCACCACTGAATGCATCCTTTCTTCACTCTTTCATGAAGGAATTCAGTAATCAGCAAGTTACATCTTCTTGCCTATTTCTCATTGTGTTCTCTGTCGCAGGGATATTTGCAAAAGAAGCCTTTGCATAATTGTGGAATGAAACTTTCCTTTATTGTTAAGTGGTTTTGCAGTATCAATTTTTAGGTATTTTGAGTTCAGACAGAACTTGTGCATCTCTCTGAGAAGAACCACAATAATCCGTTGCTTGTTCTGATGACTTTTAAGATCAAACCAAACCAGAATCTAAAGAACAAAACAAATGAGCAAAGACTAAATATAAGACTAGAGGAGTTATCTGGGAGGAGTTATCGTGGAAATCCAATTGTTAGAGTCCTTAAGTTGTCATTGTTCCATGCTTTTTTTATATATATAAAAAATTGGTTTTTGGCTAGGCAAGGTGTCCCACGCCTGTAAATGCCTATACTTTGGGAGGCTGAGGCGGGTGGATTGCTCGAGCTCAGGAGTTCAAGACCAGCCTGAGCAACATGGCAAGACACCATCTTTACAAAAAATACAAAAATTATCTGGGCATGGTGTTGCATGCCTGTAGTGCCAGCTACTCGGGAGGCTGAGGTGGGAGGATTGCTTGAGCCTGGGAGGTGGAAGTTGCAGGAAGTTACAGTGAGCTGTGTTTGTGCCACTGCACTCTAGCCTGGGCAACAAAGCCAGACCCTATCTCAAAAAAATAAAAAATTAAAAAAATAAACAAAACCATTTTTGCCTAACGAGCCTTGAAAATCTTAGGCAGTAACGCAGTCAACCTACAAATGTTTGTTAATTAGTAATAGACAGACTGCAATCAACCTACAAATCTTTGTTAATTAGCAAATGACAGACAGACAGACGGAAAATGAATGGGTGAATATGGGTAGGGCAGAATAACTAGTATCTCCCTTCTGTCATCCTACAGTGGGGCTTACTTCTCTCATGCTTTAATATTCAGCTGTTAATATTTTTCCCAATCCAGCTCAATAGTCTGGGAACCAGTGAAATAAAAAGCAGGAAATGAAAGCTGTGTTTGCAGTTGAAAAGGACTGGAAAGGGTAATAACTTGGATAATGTTGATTCCTATTTTGAAGTATTTGCGAAGCACCTTTGCTATGCCCTGAGTCTGGGGGTGGGGGCTGGGTAAGTTCCCTGATGGTCGTGTGGTCTGTCTGCCTGGGCCAGTGGTGTGGCCTGAACAGCCGTCTCACAGTAGTGCTCCATGGAACCTGACTCCTGTCCAGGCTCAGGGCACCTCATTTTCCACCATAGAAATGTAAAGACAGAAAGATCTTGGAGGTATTTGAACAGGTGCTTTTTTCTCCACCTAAGCTTATAAAAATATGCAAATAGCTGAGGATCAAAGGTAAGACTGGGAAAATGGCTTGGAGTGGAATCTTTCAGCGTGGTGTGCAGCCCGCTTGAGACAGAGCCCCCGGCAACATCAGTGCTGTCAGCTTTGGTGCCGGTGGAGCCCGCTGACAGCCCAGATGCTGCTGCTAGAAGTGGATTTTCCACAGCGTGGCGTCTGGGTAGGGAGCGGGCTGACACTGTCACATGTCACCTTGCAGGCATGCAGCTTGCCAGTGGCGATGGCAGAGCTCAGGGAGTTGGCCAGGGCTACCATCCTAACTCAGCAAGACCCATAATAGTCACCGAACAAGAATTCTGTGTTCTAAGTACATTGGCGATTCATAATCCTGAATTGAGCTGGTCAATAAACTCACAGGGAACAGGCGTCACATATTACTTAGCATACATCCTAATGAATTACTTTCAGAAATTCGAGCTTGAAGTTGCATCCCAGCAAAAGGAAACTGTACCTTGGAAGTGCTAAGGAAACAGACGCTGCAGCTGAGGGATGAGTTCACCGAGCACTTTGTAGGTTGTTTTCTCCCACAGGCTGAACCCAGCAGCTGCCTGCCTTTTCCTTATCCTTTCTATAAATATGTTGTTCTATTATAAAACAAATTCAACTGGCTGATGTTTTCCTGTTGAGAGATCACTGTTCACCGTATAAAAGGGTTGTCAAATGCATCTTAAGGCTCCCTCTACTGACAAGTCACTGGAGAATCTGAAATGTAATTTACATGAAGGAAAAGAGGAATTGTTTTGAAGTCAAATCTATGTTAGGCGAGTAAACAGTTAAAAATAAAGGTAAAGGAGATTTCAAGTAAAATTCTCTGCTTAATAATGCAAGGAATTTAAAACAAATGGTTTTTCACCGGAAGGATTTATAAATAATAAAATTGTAAATGTGGTTTTCTGTTTCGGTGGAGAGGACAAAGACTTGGGAGGCAGATGCACACTGGTTCAGATGGCAGCTCCAGCCCTCACTAGCTGTGCAGTTTTACACACACCATGGGAGCAGCTATGTTGTGTGCCTGCTTGCGTTGGCATAAGGTTTAGAGATAATATATGCATATACATACATATACATAGAATTCTGAACACAGTGCCTTGCCTATAGTGGGTGCACGCTGGAGCCCAGGAGTTCAAGACCAGCCTGGCCAACACAGTGAGGCCCCATCTGTGCAAAAAACTGAAAAAAAAAGAAATCTCCACCTGTGTTCCCAGCTACTCAGGAGGCTGAGGTGGGAGGATCACTTGAACCCAGGAGGTTGAGGCTTCAGTGAGCCATGATCACACCACTGCACTTCAGCCTGCGCAGCAGAGTGAGACTGTATCCACACACAAAAAAAAAAGAAAGAAAGAAATCCTATGAGACTATCTTTATAAGTGTTCAAGAATATGTGGCTAGGGATGCTCATTGTGCTAGCCAGCTTTGTAATAATAAAATCATGGAAACCACCAAAATTTCAAATGTAGGAGAAAGAATGAGTAAATATTTATTTTTATATATAGGGATCCTGTGCTTTTTTAAAAAAAGAATGAAGCAGATCTAGAAAAGTTAATAAAGATATCATTTTTGTATATGAAGAACTCATTTCAAATGTATGGAATAATGTGATTCTATTTGTATAGAGAAGATAGTTATGTTAAATATGTAATTAGATATGTAAAATGCCTAATATAAACATAAACACATCTCTGTATATTTATGTATGTATGTGTATACACAGAGTGATACATTTGTAAAGGCATAGAAAATACCTGGCTGAGTTCTCAACCGGCTGTTTGCTGCTGAGAAATCGGAGCCAGGAGCTCAGCTGGATACGTTGGAAGACCCCCGTGTTTCACTTCATATCCTTCTCTACTGCTTGTGTTTCTTCTTATTAACTTGCCCTTGTCCTGTATTTTTTAAAAAGATTGTTAATATGTGCTAATATTGAGCACAAATTTATTGTATTGGCTGGGCAAATAATCAATACTTCCCTGTTACCTTGAAAAGAAGCAACCTAAATAACATAGTTTTTCATAAGTTTTCAGGTGTTTGGGGGAACATGAAATAGTGTATTTATAGCTCTTCTCTGTAATATTAAGGTTGAAACCTTTTTATACCTGCTAAGTTATATAAATGGTTCTATTTTAATGTTTTATAGACAAAGTGGGTTTCTAGACTGCAATTTATATTATTAGCTTAAAATTTTTGCTTTTAATCTTTCAACTCAAGAATTTATATAAATACTTTTTCTATAAAATCAAAAAGATTGGCAAAAAAATTCTAAACTTTCTTCCAGTTCTAAAGTTCAATTTGTCTTGCTGATTTCAGCAAAAATCTTAACTATTTAATTAGATAACAGTATTAAAAAATGTTTGCTTTTGGATAAGACATTCATTCACTACAGTATTCAAAATCTAACACAATGGTAAGTAACCATGTGGCTAGCTAAATTATTATTATAATCCTGTTGCACAGGTTTTTAATATTATCACCTTTGCCAATTTGAAAGTCATATGATGGACTTTTGCATCTTTGTGCTCTTAAGGTAATTATGAAGCTAAATGACTTTATCAGATATTCAAACCTGATACAAAATGTATATTACAGAATCACCCCCTTGCCCTGTCTTTTATGTAGGTAATGATTATACTGATGATAGTGATGATGATTATATTATCTGTAATCCTTGCATAGAGATATACATGGTCTGAACATCAACAAACTTATATTCAACCCTAGGCATTTACTAGCCGTTATGAGCTACTTGACATTGGGCAATTTAGTTAATGTCTGTGAGTATCTATTTTCTCAACTGCAAGATGGAGTTAATAGTATCTGCCTTTCAGAATATCTGAAGAATTGAACAAGCTAATATGTAAATCACAGAGCACAACTTCTGACAAATGCTAGAAGGTCATGTTAATTCCTTTTGAATTATTTTTCTGGATAATATAAATCAGGGCAAAATATTGGTTAAACTACGGCTGTTTTTGATAATTCAGTGAAAAAGGCCTTTCTAAAAAGTACATGATGCAGGGGTTTTAACTTCATGGGTATCATCATGAACATTAATTCGCCTAGCTCTAAAACAATGGTAGTGAACATATTTGAACCACTATCCCCAAAAAGAAAGAGTTTTTTGCTAATTCAGATAACAAGAAAAGGACAGAAGACCAGGAGCTTCTTAACAGATAGTGCGGTCAGCTTTCCATGTGAGTCTGTGCCCAGGACAGGAGCAGTGCAGGGCTGGGTGTGACGAGCTGGGAAGAGATGAGGTCCTTATGGGTTCCACCTGGAAGCCTCATCCTGGGCTCCATCCTGTGGTCCCTCGATGCACTCCTCACAGTCAAACACCTTTCTGGTTTGGCAGCTGGTCTAAGGGTTTTGAGCTTATGGGAAACACACAGAATTCCACTGTGGACGGGGAAGCTTGAGATGCCAATTAGATATCTCAGTCGAGATGTCAAGTGGGTCATTGAATCTATGAGGCTGAGGTTCAGAGGTGAGTCTCAGTCTAGAAATACGCTTTGGGAGTCATCCATGTAGAGATGATATTTAATCCCATGGGACCAGATGATATCAACAAAGAATGAACAGACAGAAAAGTCAAGGTCTAAGGTCTGAGGCCTGCAACACTCTGTGGTCAGAGCCAAAGGGAAAAGGGGAAAAGCAGGCCGGGACAGCGCATCCCCAGGGTGGAAGGGATCCAGGAGAGTGGTGTCCTGGAAATCAGAAGCACACATTTCAAGGAGAAATGAAGGATCTGCTGAGTTGAGTTCTGCTCACAGGAAAAGTAAGAATTCCCTATTGTTCAAAAGTCATCATTCTAAAGCAAAGCATAGTCTAAATAAGAGAATAAGGGTATTGCTGGCATACTTGTTAATATGGAAGGGAGACACATTAGAAAGAGCTTATCTACTTAGTGCTATCTGGACAGAAGCCCAGGGTTGAAGAAGGACCATGAAGTCCACCCTGGCCTAGAAATGCTGTTGGGAAAGTCATTCCAGAAAATGAGACCCAATTACAGGCAGATGGTGGGAGAGGAGGCACCGCAGCTGAGGAACACTGAGTGTTGCTCTGGGCTGGGTCTCAGGGCAGGTCCGAGAACGCAGCAGCAGATGAGCCTGGATGAGTTGATAGAGGTCATGTGGTCGGAGGTTTGGAAGCCCAACCTTGGAGGCTGCACTTTGCCCTGCCACTGAGTTGGAGAGGTCACAGGCAGAATGGTCTGGGTGTGTGCTGGCTTTGGGAGAACAGACAGATGGCAGGTGAAACATGCCAAAGAGAGAAGGAGAAAAGCAGCCTGGGACAGCACATCCCCAGGGTGGACGGGATCCAGGAGAGCGGTGTCCACGGCCATGACTCTGGATGTTCTGAAACTCATAAGACAAACACTTCAATGAAGGTGGATTTTATGGTGTGAGAATTATATTCCATCCATCTAATTTTATATTAACCTGTTTTATTATAGAACAAATATGCTTCATTCCTCCTCAATTATGATGTTGGAAGGCACAGGCTGATACGATGTTGAAAAGCCCCCGCTATGTTCCTAGTTTTCACAAGTGATCAGCAAACACCCTGGCAGGCCGCACAACTAGGACTCAATGTTGCTGTGAAGAGTTTTGGGGTGCAGCAAGCCTGAACAGTGGGTTCTGGCCTTTGCTTTCTGGCTCTTCCTGCATTGCCGCCTCTAGATACTGGCTCATGGATGCATCTATAAGAAAGAAAAGGTGCCAGAAAGGCAAAGTTGTTCATCCCCACCCCTCTGGTGGTGCCATGACTTAACATGGTGCTTAGGAGTTAGCGTCTGGAGCCAAGGCAGCCTGCATCCATGTCCCCATTCCACCCTCACTCTCTGACCTGGGGCAAGCTTCTTATACTCGTGGCAGTTTTCTCATCTGTAAAGTGCAGCTAGGAAAGTTCCTACTTCATAGCAGAATGGGGCAACACGGAAGGGACCTTTGTTTGATTGTCACTCAGCCCTCCTCAGATTGCTATTGTGGGGTATTTTCCCCTTAAGTTTCTCCATGATATTTTTTTTTACATTTGTATACCTAGCTACCCACTCTAATTAAGCAGTTGTACCAGATTCTACTTCACCTGCCCCCACCCCCGCCCCGGCTCATGGAGGAGCAGGAGGAGGCAAGCAGGGGTGGGGAGTTGCCTGCTGGAGAGGCTGGTGTGGGACAGCCCAGGAGAGACCACGGTGTAGTAAATCTGTGCTGGAATTATGGAACATGAACTGAGGAAAGTAAAGGTCGAGTCAATGAGACCAGCCTCACGGTTTTTAGACCACTCCCAACCAGCAATGTCCATGTCCCAGACTGGGGTCACCTGGGTGGAATTTAGCCCGAGACGAGACTGGAGAGTGGACGGGGAGGTGGTTTGCAACTGGGGTGTACGTAGGTAGGTGCTGCCTTGGGAGCTTTCAAAAGCTGAAGATGTCCCATCCCCATTCCTGCCAATGACCTGGGCACTGAAGGGGACAGCGGGAGGCCAACTACAACCCCCTGCCCTGGTTGGTAACCCCTGAATTTGCAGTGTTGCAGAGACTGGAAGAGGCCTGGGGTTGGTTAGTTGAGGGGAGTGAGGAGAGGATTAAGGCAGGAACAGAGTGCTGTGTGTTGGGGCTGTGGCCACTCACAGCTGGGGCAGATCTGATTTGAGGCAAGGAGACTGAGAAAAAAAAAAAACCTTTAAACAGTGTCCAAAGGGTGCCATCTCTAAAGGTGGATGTCTTAGACAGGACTGGTCACACAATGTGTGGGACCCAGTACAAAATAAAAACCCACGGCCTGTTTTTCAAGCATATTAAAGTTTCCAAGACGGTGACAGAACCTCAAACCCAGCGTGGAGCCCAGCAAACAAGCATGAGGCTCAAACCCAGCGTATGACTGCCCAGCACACAAGCATAAGGCTAGCCCTGGTTAAGACCTTTCTCAAGGATTTGAAACATTTATTTTCCTTTTTTTTTTTTTCTTTTGAGACGGAGTCTTGCTCTGTTGCCCAGGCTGGAGTGCAGTGGCTCAATCTCAGCTCCCTGCAAGCTCCGCCTCCCGGGTTCATGTCATTCTCCTGTCTCAGCTTCCCAAGTAGCTGGGACTACAGGTGCCCGCCACCACACCTGGCTAATTTTTTGTATTTTTAGTAGAGAAAGGGTTTCACCTTGTTAGCCAGGATGGTCTCAATCTCTTGACCTCGTGATCCGCCCGTCTTGACCTCCCAAAGTGTTGAGATTACAGGCTTCAGCCACCGTGCCCAGCCTGAAACATTTATTTTCTTAATGGGAAAAATAGTTATGGCATGGGGTGCGATGAGGCTGAACCTAATCTAATTCCTTTTCTTCTCACTGGCAAACGTTTGCAATTAGAAAGAGCAGCATGGCTGTCACCTCGCCAGCTCTCCGGTCTTTTTGGGGATGTTAGTTTTGAGGGACACTGAGCCCATGGACCTTCTTCCTTTGCTGTCTGCTGGAAGGTCTCGCCACGCCTCCTTTCTGGGTGCCATCTGTTGCTGTCACACCCTGCTATTTTAAATGAGGGAGTGCACAATGGGCTCTCAGATGGGCAAGGAGGGGCCAACTCGTCACAGAATTCTTCCCTATAAGAAAGGCAGAAGATCCTGTTCACATACAAATTGACCAAAGGCTCACTGGAAGTGGGGTTATGCCCTCAGACAGGCTTGTCCTCCTTAGATAACTCCCCACCAATTCATTATTTTGTCTTTCAGATGCTTAGATGAGCCTTGCATTTAGATGGACACCTTAAAGTTACCTCACACAACATACACACTCCACCTGTCAACTCAGTCAAAGCAACACAAAGGGCCCACCGACCTCAGCAGCAGTTTGAATTTGCGTTTCCTTCATCTCCCTTCGCTGACCCACCTGGAGGAGGCTTGGTGGTGGAGTGCCTCCAGCTGAGGTCCATTTTCACAGGAAAGCCTCCTGTGTTTGCATAGCTTTTGCTTAAAACTTCTTAGTTACTTTTAGAAGAAAAAGTTTAAAACATTCCAAAATGAAAATGGAAACATAAAATATGCTGGGTAGATATTTTTCCTGTCTGAATGCTAATGATGAAATAGACTTGGGCATTCAACTTCTAGTTATCTTTTTGAATCCAATCTTGTAAAGACAAAAATTGGCCTATAAAGTCTTGTAAAAAAATATGAGGGCAAATGGTCAAATATATGGAGAAAATTATTCAAAAATTAAATTTCCCTGCAATGTGACAAATCAGCTATTTTCGGAAGTGCCTAATACCACGTCAGTACAGAACCAATCAAGAATTACATTTTAGCTTTAAAACAACAAAATGTTGGACAGTTTTTATAAAAAAGAAAGATTAAGAAGTCTATAAATCTGACTTCATTTTTGACCAGTTCAATTCTAGAATAAATCAATGCACTTCAGTTACTTTTTCAAATACTCTTTAATAGAGAAGCTTCATCTATGATGAGCCTAGCAAAGATACTCTCTCTTTAGTGTGAAAAAATATTAAGGGACAAACTAGTTGGTCTTGTTCAATTTTTTTATATTCTAATATTTTCATACATTTTTATATTTGTCTTGTCTTGATTCAGAAAGGAGTTAACCAGGTCTGATTTGATTTTCAGACATGACTCACATTTCGAGGCAGGATGTCTGTGGTCAACAGTCTAGCTCAGTTGTCATTCAAGGCTCGAATCTCAGCTCTGCAGTTCACTTGCTGTTAGAAGCTGAGTAGGAGGCAGTGCCTAGGAAGTTCATTGCTTAGTATGTGGGGCTTAGAAGGACATTCAAACAGTGCTTGTTATTATATGTATTTGTGGCATCATTCAGAAGATAGTAAGAATGTCGATTCTTGGAGTTAATGAAAATTATTCTAAGTTTTGGGTTTCATTATGGTAGCTACTGATGCATATTTTATAATAATTTTCAATATCATTTTAAGGAGGTAGTTGTAAGAGTTTATTTTTTATTTGATGTTTTACTTTTTCTTGCCACTTCATCACATTAATACTTTGTTATGACAAACTTGTATTTTTATTTTAAAATACAAGTAGATATCCTACAGTTTAGGATTCCTTCTCCTCAAGAAGGCAAGAGAATATTTTAAAGTTTTGAGTCTGTGTGTAGTCTAGTCTGGAGTCCATCTTACATCTTAGCCCTCTTTAGGATTGTGATAATATGGCCAAAAAAGGAACCAGGCAACATCATAATTTTTATTTACAAACATATATTTAAAAACACTTAACTCCTATATATGTTCAAAATCATTCACAATTTAATTAAAATATAAAATACCAAAAAAAAATTTTTTTTTTTTGAGACAAAGTCTCACTCTGTCACCCATGCTGGAGTGCAGTGGCACAATCTTGTCTCACTGCAACCTCTGCCTCCCTCCCAGGTTCAAGTGATTCTCCTGCCTCAGCCTCCCAAGTAGCTGGGATCACGGGTGCCCTCCACCACACCTGGCTAATTGTATTTTTAGTAGAGACAGGGTTTCTCCATGTTGGCCAGGCTGGTCTCCAACTCCTGACCTCAGGTGATCCACCCACCTCAGCCTTCCAGAGTGTGGGATTACAGACAGGCCTGAGCCACATGCCCAGCCCCAAAATATTTCTAAAAGGATATTGAACTCCTTTTCACTGAGTTTCAATCCTTTAAAATATATATTATATTTTTCAGAGCTCTAACATCCAATAGTCCTTGAAGTACAAAAGAAAAAATAGTTCTACCTATGAAAGTGTAGAAAAATGGATTTACCAATTAACTGCCATCAAGTGAGAGAAGACAACCCATGGTGTTTACCTAGCTGACAGAGGCAGGTGTGAGCCTGAGTGATGCCAGCCACCACTGTCCCATTGTCCTGGCCTTTCTGTGGGAAAACAGGAAGGCGGCTTCAGCAGAAAGTGCTGCGAAGCTTCACAGAGGGGCTAGTGACTGGACCTAATAATTTGTCTGTAGATCTCTGCTCCTTCGAAAATTAAAAGCTTTTCTATCTTTAAAAGTTCTCTTCCAAAATGCAGTTACTCTAAGGTTGTTCATACTTTTAGGTTGGTTTGTTGTTTTCATCAGACAAGACCTTACTGAAGTTTAGAGCAAAAGAGAACAGGCTAGACAGGCTGCAACTTGGACTTCAAAAGCCCAGTTCCTGCCACGGGGTAATGGACCTGAGGGAGCCTGGGCGGCGTCTCCCGCTGTGCAAGGAATCAGCGGTCATTTTCTGTTCCCTTCACCCTTCTTTCTCTTGCTCTCTCTCCTATTCAGTAATTCTGTTTTGTTTTATTTTTTCCTACTTGGTTACTTTTTTTTCTCTTAAATTCAGACTACAGTGTGGCCACCCAAGGATTGCTTTGAGATATCCCAGTCCCCAAACTGGGGCCTCAGATGCATTCTGTGCCCATTGCAAGCTCTGAGCAGACTTCACCTCCACCAGGACCAGATTTCTGTTTACCTAGCAAAGGCCAGCAGACTCAGACTAATAATCCAAGAGGTGCACAGACTCAATCCATGCCAGCGGTTCCCAGTCCGCCCTCCAAGAGGTGCCCAGACTAAATCTATGCCAGCGGCTCCCAGTCTGCCCTCCTCAGGGAGCAAGAAGGCTCAGCCCCCAAGTTCTTCAGGAAGCGTTCCAAAGTAACTCTGTACTCTTAGGATCCAAACCTTTCAAAGCCCCCATGAAAAACATCATTATTGGAAAGAAGCACAATTTAGGAGAAGAAAAGTGGGTACAGCAAGAAGCTTACCAAAAACAAGTATTCCAAGGTGCACAAGTTTTTTCCATTGTTGACCCTGCTAATAGGAGTTTTATCCAGTCACTTCTTGTTTTTATCATTATTTTCTTCTTTAAACTCACTTCTTTTTCTTTCTCTCTCTCTTTTAAACCATCACCATAATTGTTCAAATCATCACCATCAATAACGTACAATTCTGGGTATTGGAAGTGAGGACTAAGCCTTGATTTTTTTATCTTGCCCACATTCCTATCTAAGGGGTCTGGGGACTCATGTCCTACAAACCATAAATTCTCATCAGATGGATTTTATTTAACCATATATATATATATCGTGACTTGCTTTCCAAACTGACTCTGGCATAACATGATGAGACAAGGAAGAAAATCAAAATATTTTACCCAAAACATGCTTCTTTGCCATACCTTGAAATGGCCCTGCAAAGGTGTCCTTTGTGGGGGAAAATGTGCCCCTGTAAAGAATCTCTATTAACATAACAAGATCTTTTTCTTCCAGGCCCTCCCAATCCTGAAGAGGTTAAGAGTCTAGCACCTTTTTAAAGGTCTGAATAGGAAACAATTTGTCATCTGTTGTCTCTAAGGGCAGCCACTATGAGACTTCAAAAGAACCTTAGCCTCCACAATCTTTTATCTTAACCTGAACATTTCCCTTCTATTGATCCCAGGTCTTCAGACAAACTCAGCCACTTGTCAATCAGAAAATGGTTAAATTTACCTGTACCCTGGAAGGACCCCCACCAAACCCCCTTGGAGTTGTCCCGCCTTTCTGAACCATATCAATGTTTTTCTTAAATGTATTTGATTGATGTCTCATGTCTTCCTAAAATGTATAAAACCAAGCTGTGCCCCGACCACCTTGGGCACATGTTCTCAGGACCCTCTGAGGGCTGTGTCACGTGCCATGGTCACTCATATTTGGCTCAGAATAAATCTCTTCAAATATTTCACAGAGTTAGACTCTTTTCGTGGACAGAAATTTCACCCTTTCCTTTCCACTTTTCCATCCTCCCCTCTTCTCCACTCACTGTGCAAATGCGCTTTTCCCCTGTCCTGTGTCCCTTCTTGACTGACCTGGAGTGGTGTTGTTAGCTCAAAACTCTGCAAGGGAAAGATGGCTGTGTTAGAAATGATTATTCCTTCGTGACATAAAGAAATAGCACTTGAACATAAATTTAATTTCCTCAGCAAGGCCGTTTTTACTTTCTGCAGAAAGGGTACACTCACCAGCAGTTCTGCCATAAGAGTACACCGAAAAAAGGAGACAGGGTCATTTATAACCTGATGCATCCACCTCACTACTGTGTCCAGTTTCCATTGGCTGGAACAGGACCTCACATTCCGTATTTGTCCTGACTGGCTAGCAACTTGGAACTTTTTAAAAGAGGCAAAGGCAGAGGAGAACAAGGGAAGGAGGAAGTAACTTGTGGAATGCTGAGAAAGGTAAAAACACCTTCAAATAAGGAAGAGGAACAAGCTATGACCTAATGCTTGCTTGGACCAGTATAAGCATGCCAGGGCAAATATTTAGGCTAAATTGTGGGAGCTAAGAACATAAAATACATTGATCTCTTTATTACAGCTAGCAGATATTTAAGAATGTTAGTACACGTCTTTGAATAAATTTTGCTTCTAAGAGAAGTTACTATTTATTCCTAATTAGATGGGGAGGAAAGTCTTTGAAGAAGAACCTCTACTTTTTACAGCTGGAGGCAGTGTCTCACCTTAACTTATGCAGAAAGCCAATTCTAAACCCTCTCAGTCTGCAGTTGTGAGTCTTTTTCCCATATCCTGGGCCCTACACTAAGCGGCTGTAGGATTAGCCGTTGACTAAATGGAGCGCTTCTGCTCAGCACTTCTCTATAGCACCCAAAAAACAAAAAGATGCAAAGAAACATGGCAAAACTGTAAAATCATTTTCCACTGTCCTCAAACTCTCCTTCTACCAGCCACTCTTAGCAATGTGACGGCGAGACAACATCCTCTTGACTCAAAATTCCTCCCTTCCACTAAAGTAGAAAACATTCTTATTTTAGCCAAACTTAGCCATGCCAATGTATCCCTCAGCTATTCAAATCTTTATGCTTCTTATTTCAAATGATGGAATGAAAGGCTCTGTCTTTTGGTCTCAAAAGTTATTTGGCATTTCAGAGCCAGCAGTGTTGGTAACATGAGGAATGCTGGGAACCCATCCCACATGCCCAGTCTCTGCCCTCACCTTAGACTCCTGCTTCTTTCACGTCTTCGAAAGGAAAAGAGGGTAGAATCTGGACAAGAAATGAGGGTGTGGCTGGCAGTTTCCTCTGCTTCACCAAACCCTCTCATTTATGCTGTTTTAACAGCTCTACTGAATGACAATTGACATGACATAAATATATTTAAAGTATACAACTCTGTAAGTTGTGATGTGTGTAGATCCCCATGCATCACCACAGTCAAGTGGTAAACTTCATGCCAAGGTTTCCCCATGCTCCTTTGTAGCCTCTCCCTCCAGTTCCTCTCTGAGCTCCATCCCCACACAACCATGGAACTGCTTTCTCTCACTACAGATGAGTTTGCATTTTTCAGGATTTGGTATGAATTGTGTGGCATAGTATGTAGTTTTTCCTGTATTCTTGCACTCAACATAGGTATTTTGAGATTCACCCATCTTGCTGTGTGTATCAATAGTGCACTCCTTTCTATTGTCAATTAGTATTCCACTGCCTGTATATTACACAATTTGTTTATCAATCAACTGTTGATGGATATTTGTATCATTTCCAATTTATGGCTTTTTCAAATTAAGTTGCTATGAAATTTTAATGTAAACGTTTCTGTATGGACATATGCTCTCATTTCTTTGGGGTAAATATCTAGCAGTGAAATGACAAGTTCATAGAGCAGGAGTAAGCTTACTTTTATAACAAACTGCCAAACTTTCTCCAAAGTCTACCATTTTACATTCCCACCTGCAGTATATGAGCTCTCTTATTCCTCCAACTTCTTCACCAAGACTTTATGTGGTTGGTCTTTTTATTATTAGCATTCTAACAGTTAGTAGGACATCGTGTTGTGGTTTTAGTTGGCATTTCCCTAATGTCTACTGATGCTAAGCATCTTTTCATGTGTTTATTTCCTATCCATACATCTTCTTCAATAAAAGGTCTGTTCAGATCTTTTGCTCATTTTAAAAAATGTGGTGCTGATCTTGTTATCATTAAGTTTCGAGAGCTCTTTTTGTATTCTAGATTCAAGCTCTTTATGTGATTTACAAATCAGAAATGGATGTTGGATAGTGTTAAATGATTTTTCAGAGTCTATTAATGTGGATTTTCTTTCTTTCTTTCTTTTCTTTTTCCTTCTTTCTTTTTTTTTTTTTGTTGTTGTTGTTGTTGTTGTTGTTGTTGTTGTTGTTGAGATGGAGTTTTGTTCTGTCCCCCAGGCTGGAGTGCAATGGTGTGATCTCAGCTCACTCCCAAGTTCAAGCAATTCTCCTGCCTTCAGCCTCTCAAGTAGCTGGGATTATGGGTGGCTGCCAGCATGCCTGGCTAATTTTTGTATTTTTAGTAGAGATGGGGTTTCACCATGTTGGCCAGGCTGGCCTTCAATTTCTGACCTCAAGTGATCTGTCTGCCTCTGCCTCCCAAAGTGCTGGGATTACAGGCATGAGCCACCGTGCCTGGCTGGATTTTCTTTCTTTTTAATTTATTTGTCACAAGTTACATTGGTTGACTTTCAAATTCTAAATTAACCTTGATTAAGCTCCACTGGGTCATGATGCACTGTACTTCTTATACGCTGTTGGATTCACTGTTAAAATTTTGTTTAGAATTTTTTCATCTATGTTCATTATGGATATTTGTCTGTGACTTTCTTATCTTGTGGTATCTTTGATTTAGTTATCTGAGAAATGGTGGCACCATAGAATGAGTTGACAAGTATTTCTTTCTTTTAAATTTTCTGAAAGAATTTGTATTATTCATTTATTGAATGTTTGATGCAATTCATACCTGAAGTATCGAGACCTGAAGTTTTGTTTGTGGAAAAGTTGTTAACTACAATTTGCATTTCTTTGGTAGATAGAAGCCTTTCCAAGATACCTATTTCTTATTGAGTGAGCTTGGTACTTTGTGTCTTTCAAATCAAATTTTTCTATTTCCCCTAAGTTATTGAATTTATTCATTAAAGTGGCTCATAATTTTTGTTCATTATCTTTTTAGTAAGTGTAGGCTCACTATTGACATTTTCTCTCTTACTCCTGACATTGGTAATTGTGTTCTCTCTCTCTCTCTCTCTTTCTCTCTCCTGACCAGCCTGACCAGGGATTTCCCACTCTGATTGACCTTCTTAAAGAACAAACATATGACTTTGTTGATTTTTCTCTATTGTTTTCTGTTTTTTATTTCACAGATTTTTGTGCTGATCTTTATAATTTATTTTCTTCTATTTACTTTGGGTTTAATTTGCTTTTCTCTTTCTAGTTGCTTAAGGCGGAAGCTGAAGTCATTGATACTTGTTCTTTTCTGATATACGCATTTAATGTTGCAAATTAAATGCCCAGAACAATGCTTCACCAACCTCCCGCAAATTGATACCTGGTGGAACTTCTTTTTCATTTTCATCCAGTTGAAAATACTTTCAAATTTCTCTTCATATTCCTCCTTTGACCCATGGGTTATTTAGAAATGTGTTATTTAATTTCCAAATATTTGGGGGTAATTTTCTAAAAACTTTCATTATTATCTTCTTATCTAACTCCACTGTGGTCGAAACATGTACTTGTATGAGTTAAATCCTTTTAAATTTATTGAGACTTGTGTTACACCCCAGAAGATAATCTACCTTGGTGTATTAGGCTGTTCTTGCATTCTATAAAGAAATACCTGAGACTGGGTAATTTATAAAGAAAAGAGGTTTAATTGGCTCACAGTTCTGCAGGCTGTACAGGAATCATGGCACCAGCATCTGCTTCTGGGGAGGTCTCAGGAAGCTTAAATGATAGGAGGTGGAACGTGGAACTGAGAGAGAGAGAGAGAGAGAGACAGACAGACAGACACAAAAGAGAGAGAGAAAGAGGAGAGAAGGTTGGGGGAGAGGGTGCCACACATTTTTAAATGACCAGATCTCAGGAGAATTCACTAACATGAAGACAGTACCGTGCCATGAGGGATCCACCCCTATGACCCGAACACCTTCCACCAGGTTCCACCTCCAACACTGGGGAATGCAATTCAACATGAGATTTGGGGAGGGACCACCTCCAACACTGGGGGATGCAATTCAACGTGAGATTTGGGCAGGGACAAATATCCAAACTATATCACTTGGTAAATGTTCACTGTGGACTTGAAAATAATATGAATTATCTTGTTGTTGGAGGCAGTGTTTTGTAAACATCAGTTAGGTTTAGTTGGTTGATAGTGTTCAAACCTCTTATATCCTTACTGATTTCCTGTCTACTTGTTCTATCAATTATCAGGATAGGAGGGTTAAAATCTCTTGACTATAATTGTAGATTTGTCTATTTATCCTTGTAGTGCTTTCAGTTTTTGCTTCATGTCCTTTAAACTCAGTTATTACATGCATATTTAAGATTGTCATTTTCTTTTGATTAATTTATTGTTTTAAATGACCTTCTTTACCCTGGTAGTATGCTTTGCTTTGAAAGCTTCCTTGTCTGTTATTAACAGAGCCACTCTAGCTTTCTTTTGACTAGTGCAAGCATGATGTATCTTTTTTCATCTTTTTATGTTTAACCTACTTTTGTCTTTAAATATGTGTTTCTGTAGGCGATAGAGTTAGATCTTACATTGTATCTAATTCAACAACTTCTGCATTTTTATTACTGTGTTTAGATAACTTACATGTAATGTATGAATATAGTTAATTCTAAGTCGACCATCTTTCTATATTTATCCCATCTGTTCTTTATTTCCTTTTTCTTGTTTTTGCCTTGCTTTAGATTATTTGTCTATGATTCTGTTATTTCTTTCATAGGTTTATTATGCATAATGCTTATAATTGCTATTATCTTAGTCATCGCTTTGGATGTGTAAAATACATCTTTAATTTTTTACCATTAAGTTGTATTATACCACTTCACATGTAGTATAAGAATCTTACAATGTTGTTCTTCCATTTTTTCCCTCTTAGCATTTGTGCTATTATCATACATTTTATTTTTATATATGTTACAAATGACACACTACATTATTATTTTTAAACTATTGCTTAATTTTAAAGAGATTTAGCTACTAAGAAAAGTATATGATGCATTTATCCATACAGTTACTACCTCTGATATTCTTTGTTACCGTGTGACTATCCCAATTCGGTCCTATGTTCCTTCTGTGTGGAGACTTCATTTCATATTTCTGTAAGGCCCAGTCTGCTGGTGACACATATTCTTTCAGCTTCTCTATATCTGAAGAAGTCTTTGTCTTACTTCGCTTTTGAATGACATTTTTGTGGACAAAGAACTTTAGGGTAAGGGGATTTCTTTTCCTCTTAAGTACTTTAAAGATGGTGTTCTATCTTTCTATTTGCATTTCTTTTTCTGATGATATGTGTTATATTTATTATCTTTGATCCTTCACACCTTTTTTTCCCTATTATCTGCCTTTAAGCTTTCCTGTTTGTCGCTGGTTTCGAGAAATTTGATTATTTTGAGCTGTATGTAATTTTCTATGTGTTCTTGTGTTTGGGTTTTGTTCATTATTTTAGATCCGTGGGTTTGATGTTTTCATTAAATCTGGAGATTGTTCTGCCAGCAACTTCAAACATAGATAGATAGATAGATAGATAGATAGATAGATAGATAGATAGATAATTTGTCTCATGTTTCTTTTTTTTTTAGGTTATTCTGATTACATGTATATGAGACCACTAGAAGTTGTCCCATGACTCACTGATATTTTGTTCATTTATAATTCTTTTTTTCTCTCTGTTTCATTTAGATAATTTCAATTGTTATGTCTTCAAATTCACTCGTATTTCTTTCTGCAAGGTCTAATATGTCATTAATCATGTACAGTGCATTTTCATCTCAGATATTAGAGCTTTCATTTGTTAGAATTTGATTTAATTTTTTAAAATATCTCCTGTCTTCACTTAACTCTTTGAATATATAAAATACAATTATAATAATTATTTGTATTGTCCTTATAATTCTAACAGTGGTGTCAGTTCTGCAATGGTTAGATTGATTGATTTTTCTCCTCACTGTGGATTTTATTTTTCTGCTTCTTTTCATGCCTGGAAAATTTTAATGTAATCCCAGACATTGTAAATTTTACCTTCTGGGTGCTGGATATGTTTGCATTTCTAGAAATATTTTTGAGCTTTCCTCTTGGAAGCAGTTAAGTTACTTGGAAATAGTATGATATGGTCTAGCTTTTTACATTTGCTAGGCAGTAGCTGAGTAATATTCAGCCTATTACTAATTATTCTCTGCTATTAAGTTGAGGCCTTCTGAGTGCTCTGCTGAAGGCACTGTGAATATAAGGTTTAGCACCTGGCTGACGAGAACAGGCTTCATCCCCTGCCCTGGGTCAGCACTGCACACTCCTCCTGCAAGGATTTTCAGGTGGTTTTTCGGCTGGCCTCAGGCAGTCTCCTCATAGACTTGTGCTGGTCAATATTATGTTGGATACTGTTGGGGGACCCTCTGTGCACCCCCAGGATTATCTCTCTGCAGCTCCCTTCTCTGCAGTGCTCTGTCCTGAAGCCTCTAGCTATATTGGTCTCCCTGGACACTAAGCTCTGTCTCCTCAACTCACTGAGTTCACTGGCTCTCCCTGGGTTTCCCCTCCTGGCAACACATTCCAGAAACTCAAGGCAATAAACCAGGACAAGCATTTTGTTTTCTATCTCTCAGGGATCACTCTCCATTATCTTGTGTCTGGTGTCTTGAAACAATTGTTTTGTATTTGTCCGTTTGCATTTTTGCTTGGTTGGTTGTTCTGGTGAGAAGCTAAGTTTAGTAGCTGTCCCTGCATCCTGGTGGGATGCAGAAGTCCTATTTTCGTTAGTTCCTCTGTTTCAGTTCTTCCATCCCAAAGTCTCTGGTTGATGAGAATAAAGTCCACTCTGTGCCTCTCCCCTCTACTTATTTGCCTTCTTCCTCTCTTCCCCTCATGAAAGACAGATGGCCAGCTTGCTGTGGCCCTCAGAGAAGATGGACACTGGGGACCAGGCCTTGGGCACAGG
The DNA here is from genome assembly GCF_000001405.40 of Homo sapiens. Taxonomy (NCBI): domain Eukaryota; kingdom Metazoa; phylum Chordata; class Mammalia; order Primates; family Hominidae; genus Homo; species Homo sapiens. Next base: position 2,212,877 of record NC_000002.12, on the reverse strand, counting down.
GCACTCCGTTGCTGTGTCAAGGTTGAGAATTGAGCTAGGTGGAATGACAAACTTGGGAGAATAAAGTAACACCAGTTCTTTGGTGGCCTAATTCAAGATATTTGTTTTAAAATGTGTTGTTCTGTGCATGACAATGACTACAACCATGAGAACAAACTACACGATACTAGAGAAATGTTAACAATTAAGGCTAATGATAGATGATGGGGAAGTAAAAAGTGAGGAGGAAACAGATAAACATCTAATTTAGTCATGAAACAATATTACTAATTAGTACTAATCCCGTCTATACAACTTAAATACCATTTATACTTACTATACAGCAGAGCATTTATGGGAATTAAAATCAAAATGTGTTTGTATGTGTACTAAATTAACAAAAATATGTATTATTAGAGTAATAAATTATGAATATTGTGTTACATATATAACATTTGTTGTTATAAAATAGTATGTATTTGTTAATTTAGTTATTCATGCTTTTTATTAACAAATTTAAAAGCACTGGGATTTACAAATTATGTCTGAGCCTCAGCTAGGCACCACCCAATCTTCCTAAAATTTCGCCTGCTCCTTTATTATCGGGTAACTCATCCTGGGGGAGTTTGAATATCGATGTGGGACTCTAAGATATTGGTGTTCAAAGTTAAATGCCCATATTTCAGGGGATTCAAAGGTATCAGGTTATAAGAAAAATACAAATCTATTTGTATTAAAGTTAATAAATGTGTTGTTTCCAAGTATAAAGCTTATATACGCATATAGACACCGCCATTTTCCCAGCATCAGTCATGTGTCTAGATGGGGACTTGCAGACCATGGACAGTCTGAAATGCAGAGGCTTGACATTGGAACCCTGACTCTTCCACTGGCATTTGGCATTCTGCTCTGTATTGCAGTTTATGAGGGCCTCAGTGAATAGATTTATGAGAGTTATATTATAATATTTTATAATACTTTGTAATGAAATGGGATGACTGTGAAAATCATTTGTACCACAAAGAGTTCTGCTTGTTATAATGTTCTAGAAGCATTGTCAGTTTTTTTTTTGTTTGGTTTTTTTTTTTTTTTTTTGACATGGAGTCTCTCTCTGTCCCCAGGCTGGAGTGCAATGGTGCGATTTTGGCTCACTGCAACCTCTGCCTTCTGGGTTCAAGCGATTCTCCTGCCTCAGCCTCCTGAGTAGCTGGGACTAGAGGCGCCCGCCACCACGCCCAGCTAATTTTTGTATTTTTAGTAGAGACAGGTTTCACCATGTTGGCTAGGCTGTTCTCGAACTCCTGACCTCATGATCTGCCCGCCTCGGCCTCCTAAAGTGCAGGGATTACAGGCATGAGCCACTGCACCTGGCCAGAGTTGTCAGTCTTAAAGATGAGTTATTTTTCTCTTGTAATAAAGACATGTGCTTCAAATTTGCTATTAGTGGATGACAGTGGCTAAAGGAGTACTAACAGAATTTTTTTAAAAAAAACGATACATGAAGATCATGCTTCAAAGCAAAATTAATGTTAAAACAATTAGTAAGAAAGAATTACTTTAAAAAGAACCTTGTCCTATGGAAAGAACATTTTGAAAATGGATGTTTAAAAACGTGGTCATTGTTATGTGATTTTCAAAATTTTGGCTATAAGGGATGTTTAAACTCTTAAAAACTTTCAGATTTAAAAACTTTCAAATTTCTAATCAAACATGCATAAGCAATTATACCTATTTGCAGATGATATGATTTTATATTTGGAAAAATCTAAAGACTTCACCAAAAAACTATTAGAACTGATAAATTCAGTAAAATTGTGGGATACAAAATCAAAATACAAATCAGTAGCATTTCCATATGTCAACACTGAACAATGTGAAAAAGAAATCAAAAGAGCAATCCTATTTATAATAGCCACACATAAAATTAAATACATAGGAAGTAACTTAACCAAAGAAGTAAAATATCTTTACAACAAAAACTATAAAACACTGATTTTAAAAAAAATTGAAGAAACAAAAAAATGGAAAGGTATTCCATGTTCATGGATTGGAAGAATCAATATTGTTAAAACGTCCATACTACCCAAAGAAATCTACAGATTTAATGCAATTCCTATCAAGATACCAATGGCATTTTTCACATAAATAGAAAAAATATCCTAAAATTAATATGTAACCACAAAAGACCTAGAATAGCCTAAATTTTGTGAAGCAAAAAGAACAAAACTGGAGGAATCACATTACCTGACTTCAGAGTATACTACAGAACTATACAGAATCAAAACAGCATGGAACTGGCATAAAAACAGACACATGGATGCATGGAACAGAATAAAGAATCCAGAAGCAAATCCTTATACCTACAGTGAACTCATTTTTGACAAAGGAGCCAAGGATAGACACTGGGAAAAGACAGTCTCTTCAACAAATGGTGCTGGGAAAACTGGACAAACTTGACCCTTATCTCTTGCTTTATACAAAAATCAAATTAAAGTGAATTAAAAACTTAAATTTAAACATCTCAAACTATGAAATAGCTACAAGAAAGCATTGGGGAAATGCTCTAGGATATTGGTCTGGGCAAAGTTTCTTGAGTAATACCCCATAAGCACAGGCAACCAAAGCAGAAATCGACAAATGGGATCATATCAAGTTAAAAAAGCCTCTGCGCAGCAAAGGAAAAAGTCAACCTATCTGACAAGGGATCAATAATCAGACTATAGAAGGAGATCAGACAAATCTATAGAAAATAATCTAAAATGTCAATTAAAAATGGACAAAAGATCTGAATGGACGTCTCTCAAAAGAAGAAGACACACAAATGGCAAGCAGGATTATGAAAATGTGTTCAACATCACTGAACATCAGAGAAATGCAAATCAAACCTGCAGGGAGATCTCATCTTACCCCACTTAAAATGGCTTATATCCAAAAGGAAGGCAATAACAAATGCTGGAGAGAATGTGGAGAAACAGAAGACTATTGGTGGGAGTGTAAATTAGTACAACCACTATGGAGAACAGGTTGGAGATTCCTCAAAAAACTACTAAACATAGAACTAGCATATGATCCAGCAATCTCACAGCTGAGTATATACCCAAAAGAAAGGAAATGAGCATATCAAAGAGATATCTGCTCTCCCGTGTTCACTGAAGGACTATTCACAAGAGCCAACATTTGGAAGCATCAATAGTGTCCATCAACAGATGAGTGGATTAAAAAAATGTGGCATACATATGCATACATATATTTTTTAATTAAAAATTTAAAAATATATGTATGCACACAATGGAGTACTATTCTGCCATAAAAAAGAATGAGATTCTGTCTTTTACAAGAACATGGTTAGAACTGGAGGTTATTATGTTAAGTTAAACAAGCCAGGCACGAAAAGACAAGCTTCACATGTTCTCACATACTTGTGGAAACTAAAAGTCAAAACAATTGAACTCACGGAGATAGAGTAGAAGGATGGTTACCAGAGGCTGGGAAGGGTGGTGGGGCAGGGGGTAGGGGAGTTGGAAGGTTAATGGTTACAAAAATAGAAAGAATGAATAAGACTTAGTATTTGATAGCACAACAAGGGGACTATAGTCAATAATAATTTAACTGCACACTTAAAAATAGCTAAAAGAGTATGATTGGATTTTTTTTGTAACACAAAGGATAAATGCTTGAGGCGATGGAGACCCCATGTACCATGCTGTGATTATTATGCACTGCATTTCTGTATAAAAATGTCTCATGTAATCCATAAATGTGTACACCTACTATGTGCCCACAAAAATTAAAAACACAAAATGTTTTAAAAAGCATAGGCAATTTTAAAAACTGGCAGAATGAGTCATTTCAGTGGCTTTGAATCTATTTGGGGTGTGTGTGTGTGTGTGTGTGTGTGTAAATGCCTCCCTGTTTAATTTCAAAAGCAACCTATGACATTTGAAAAATGATGGAAAGTGATTAGCTAAATTTTGATAAAAATTTGGGATAGCCCATAGATAATAAAGAAAAATAAGTATCATGATCTAGTTATAGTAACCAATGTATAGGTTTACTGTTTTTCTATTTTAGGTAAATGTGCCTTTCTGAGGTATCATTTCTACTATGATAGAGCCTAAAAGCAAGTATCAAGATAAATTAAACTTAAAAATAGAGATTAAAATTGCTGTAACATAAAATGTCAGGCAAAAATTTAAAAACTAATGTCATATTTAAAGATATATCTCTCACTTTTAAAACATTCTTCATACCTTTCAGAAGAAAAAAGGTTATTTATAAATTAAAGTTTTTTAAAGTTTTTAATTGTTATTGTTGTGTATGATTCAGTTATTACAGTATGTCAGTATATGAGAATACAAGCCTACATACATATATGCAAAGGAGGCTCAGTCCCTTTTTTTACTGAAGGAATGCCCAAACTGTACCTGCTTGGATGGCACTGCACCTGCTTGCACATGAGGGTGGGACTCTGACAATTTGGATGTCCTGCCGAACTGCTGGCTGTGACAGGTGCTCTGCCTGCGTTATGTCATGTAGTGGTTGCAACAGGTCTACAAACCAGACACGTTTACCGCCACATTTCATGGCGAACTTTTTAAAAAGTGACTTTTAAAACAGAGTATCACAAGCCTGAGCCCACATTCACTGGGAGTGGATAACTCGAATTCAATCAAACCCAGTGTCCTTTTGCAGCAGGGCTCATGCTCTGTAACCCTAGTTCTTCCCCAGTGAATGAATGGTGGGCTTCCCCTGAGACGGCTGGAGAGACACTTGCTTGGATTGTTGATACTTCCAGTATCTACACCCTCAGGTTAGTGCACCTGAGTCACTGCAGTGTACATGGACAATGAAACTTGTTAAATCCTAATGAACAGGAGGGTTTGCCACTGAGTGGGGCATGGAGTGGATTGAACCCAACCTACCAGAGTGGACAATAGGGGGCCCCAGTAGAAGGGAGTTACAGAGAGAGACGTGCTTCGGGGTGGGCAGGGCTGGAATACACCGCACATCATGCCCAGGTTCCTGGTGTAGGTGCTTCGATGGCATCAGTCCTAGGGTTTCTTAATCTGAGTTAATAATCACCCAACCATACATGAGTGTGTTTCAAGGATTTATAATCCTTTAGAAGATTTGTGTAAATGTGTGAGTTTCTGCATTTGTGTATTTTCTGGAAGAGAGAGCCCACAGCCTGCATCAGATCCTGAGAGAATCTGTGATGCAAAACTTGTCTCACTGTAGGGCCTCTAGAATAATTGTCAACAGTTAGTTATCAGTTTGATTTTTCAGTGTTCCAGGCTTAGTGGTGAACCAAATAGACAGCCTTGCCCCATTCTGTCTTCCAGAAGGTACAGCGTTTGATGAATTCAACTTGTTTAGTGATGATGCACTTAAAACAGATGTCACGACATTGTTCTTGACGGTGTATTGTACTACGTAAGCTCAACACAGGGTGAGGCTGGCCTGGGTTCAGGCTGCCAATTCCTCAGGGCGTTTCTGGACGCTTCTGTCTTTTACAAAGGACAATGATGGGGAAAGGAAGCATAAAGGCAGCTTCTAATCAGTGTGTTGGGTTTCAAGCAGGAAAGTGCGCATTATATGTGTGTTTTATATGTGTAGTGTAGATATAGAATATATAATACAATCAATTTTTGTTATTCATAGTAATCATGCTTTCCAAAGTGGCTCTGTACACTTAACAAATTAGAATGAATAAATCCTAAACCATTGTACCTGGGGGAAAGAGAAGGTTGGGTTCTTGTGAACCTCTGGCCACAATATTTTCAACAACTGATCAATACATTATCTTGTTTTATGTGTGTTTCTGTTTAAAGACACCTTATGTAAACCATATTGTTGATTCATTAACACTGAACTCACCACCAACAGCACCATAACTCATTCCTGAAGGAAGCTTCTCTAGCAGGAATGCTTTCTCCATAGGGAATGAAGTCTTCCCACTGGACTCCTACAATGCAGCCTTCTTGCATGTAGGGACACTAGATAGCCCTTCAGTACCGTGCTTGGCGGCTATTTTAAACAGAAGAAGAAGGACATAAATGAAAAACGTGGCTCTAAATAGGCTATGGAAAAGACACTGGTCTATAGTAGGAGAGTAAGTAGGCAAATGGGCAACTACAGAATCTGCTAACAGGAGGATGAACTGTGGATTCGCTTTGGGGGTTTATGGAGGATGACTTTCACAGTGGCAATGTAGCATCTAACCTAACTGGATTTTGTCTGTATTAAAGGACAGACTAAGAAATGCTCCTCTTTTCTCTTATGCATTTCCATGTTTTAATTTCATTTTTGAGATTCTGAGTTATTCCAGAGATTGCATGAGGTAATGAGGAAAGAAAGATCTGTAAGGCTCAGTTTTACCCCCAACCTAGTTGCTTATTGACCAGGTGGGGAGACAGACATAACCAAATTCAGTACAATATAGAAGTGTGGACAAAGTAACACCCAAGTTTTCTTTCTAATATCATGGACGTTTTATCAAAAGGATTTCCAAGTGGGCTGGTTTTTAAAGGATAACTAAGACTTCATTAGGTAAACAGCAATAAAAGAAAAAGGTGAATGGTACAAATAGATGTTCAAAGACATGAAAGTATGGTACAGCTTGGCCGGGCACGGTGGCTCGTGCCTATAATCCCAGCACTTTGGGAGGCAGAGGCCAGTGGATCATCTGAGATCGGGAGTTCGAAACCAGCCTGGCCAACAAGGTGAAACCCCATCTCTACTAAAAAAAATTAGCTGGGCGTGGTGGTGTGCACCTGTAATCCCAGTTGCTTAGGAGGCTGAGGCAGGAGAATTGCTTGAACCTGGGAGGTGGAGGCTGCAGTGGGCCAAAATCATGCCACTGCACTCCAGCCTGGGTGACAAAGTGAGACCCTGTTTCAAAAAAAAAAAAGAAAGAAAAGAAAAGAAAAGAAATTATGGGACAGCTTAGTGCATAGGAAAATTGTGACGACTTTGATATTGCCATAATGTAAAACGTTATGTGAGAACAAAGGAGCTGATACTGGAAAGATTGTTGAGAACCACATTGAAAGGGCCTTGGTTGACCACGTAAGGATTTTGGACTTTAACCCATATGTGAAGAGAAGGGGGATGGAAACATCACTAGAAATGTACCCTAGGTGGATATCAACCCTGTAGCATTGCTCTAGGTGGATATCAACCCTGGTAGCATTGAGGAGAGTGGTTACCTAGATGAAGGCATTTGCAAGTTCTAGACACCAGAAAAATGGCTCTTGACATTGTTCAAGTGAGACTGGCAGCAGTGGAGAGAGGGAGAGACAATTTAGAAATAGATAAAGCCTAAAGAAAAGGGCATGGGAATCTAGGAATGAGTATGATTGAGTTTGGATGTTCCCCTGACTACATTATATGCATTATTACATTTATAATTCAGTCTTCCTTTTTTGTTTCTTTCAAATCAAAAACATAAATGATTGAATTTAGGGAACATTACTTACATCCTACTAGAATCAAAAGGACCAGTGGGCATTTTAAGAATTGTTTAAGGTTCACATAGTAAAAAATGAATAAAGGACCATTTAAAAACAAGAAAAACTATTATATAATTACTGTTTTCTTTTTTTGTATATTATAGTTTTTTTAATTTTATTATTATACTTTACGTTTTAGGGTACATGTGCACAACGTGCAGGTTTGTTACATATGTATACATGTACCATGTTGGTGTGCTGCACCCATTAACTCGTCATTTAGCATTAGGTATATCTCCTAATGCTATCCCTCCCCCCTCCCCCCACCCCACCCCACAACAGGCCCCTGTATGTGATGTTCCCCTTCCTGTGTCCATGTGTTCTCATTGTTCAATTCCCACCTGTGAGTGAGAACATGCAGTGTTTGGTTTTTTGTCCTTGCGCTAGTTTGCTGAGAATGATGGTTTCCAGCTTCATCCATGTCCCTACAAAGGACATGAACTCATCATTTTTTATGGCTGCATAGTATTCCATGGTGTATATGTGCCACATTTTCTTAATCCAGTCTATCATTGTTGGACATTTGGGTTGATTCCAAGTCTTAGCTATTGTGAATAGTGCTGCAATAAACATATGTGTGCATGTGTCTTTATAGCAGCATGATTTATAATCCTTTGGGTATATACCCAGTAATGGGATGGCTGGGTCAAATGGTATTTCTAGTTCTAGATCCCTGAGGAATCGCCACACTGACTTCCACAGTGGTTGAACTAGTTGACAGTCCCACCAACAGTGTAAAAGTGTTCCTATTTCTCCACATCCTCTCCAGCACCTGTTGTTTCCTTACTTTTTAATGATTGCCATTCTAACTGGTGGGAGATGGTATCTCATTGTGGTTTTGATTTGCATTTCTCTGATGGCCAGTGATGGTGAGCATTTTTTCATGTGTTTTTTGGCTGCATAAATGTCTTCTTTTGAGAAGTGTCTGTTCATATCCTTCGCCCACTTTTTGATGGGGTTGTTTGTTTTTTTCTTGTAAATTTGTTTGAGTTCATTGTAGATTCTGGATATTAGCCCTTTGTCAGATGAGTAGGTTGCAAAAATTTTCTCCCATTCTGTAGGTTGCCTGTTCACTCTGATGGTAGTTTCTTTTGCTGTGCAGAAGCTCTTTAGTTTAATTAGATCCCATTTGTCAATTGTGGCTTTTGTTACCATTGCTTTTGGTGTTTTAGACATGAAGTCCTTGCCCATGCCTATGTCCTGAATGATATTGCCTAGGTTTTCTTCTAGGGTTTTTATGGTTTTAGGTCTAACATGTAAGTATTTAATCCATCTTGAATTAATTTTTGCATAAGGTGTAAGGAAGCGATCCACTTTCAGCTTTCTACATATGGCTAGCCAGTTTTCCCAGCACCATTTATTAAATAGGGAATGCCTTCCCCATTTCTTGTTTTTGTTAGGTTTGTCAAAGATCAGATAGTTGTAGATATGTGTCATTATTTCTGAGGGCTCTGTTCTCTTCCATTGGTCTATATCTCTGTTTTGGTACCAGTACCATGCTGTTTTGGTGACTGTAGCCTTGTAGTATAGTTTGAAGTCAGGTAGTGTGATGCCTCCAGCTTTGTTCTTTTGGCTTAGGATTGACTTGGCAATGTGGGCTCTTTTTTGGTTCCATGTGAACTTTAAAGTAGTTTTTTCCAATTCTGCAAAGAAAGTCATTGGTATCTTGATGGGGATGGCATTGAATCTATAAATTACCTTGGGCAGTATGGTCATTTTCACAATATTGATTCTTCCTATCCATGAGCATGGAATGTTCTTCCATTTGTTTGTGTCCTCTTTTATTTCATTGAGCAGTGGTTTGTAGTTCTCCTTGAAGAGGTCCTTCACATCCCTTCTAAGTTTGATTCCTAGGTATTTTATTCTCTTTGAAGCAACTGTGAATGGGAGTTCACTCATGATTTGGCTCTGTTTGTCTCTTATTGATGTAGAGGAATGCTTGTGATTTTTGCACATTGATTTTTTATCCTGAGATTTGCTGAAGTTGCTTATCAGCTTAAGGAGCTGAGACGATGGGGTTTTCTAAATATGCAGTAATGTCATCTGCAAACACGGACAATTTGACTTCCTTTTTCCTAATTGAATACCCTTTATTTCTTTCTCCTGCCTGATTGCCCTGGCCAGAACTTCCAACACTATGTTGAATAGGAGTGGTGAGAGAGGGCATCCCTGTCTTGTGCCAGTTTTCAAAGGGAATGCTTCCAGTTTTTGCCCATTCAGTTGATATTGGCTGTGGGTTTGTCATAAATAGCTCTTATTATTTTGAGATACGTCCCATCAATACCTAGTTTATTGAGAGTTTTTAGCATGAACTGCTGTTGAATTTTGTCAAAGGCCTTTTCTGCATCTATTGAGATAATCATGTGGTTTTTGTCTTTGGTTCTGTTTATATGATGGATTACATTTGTTGATTTGTGTATGTTGAACCAGCCTTGCATCCCAGGGATGAAGCCCACTTGATCATAGTGGATAAGCTTTTTGATGTGCTGCTGGATTCGGTTTGCCAGTATTTTATTGAGGATTTTTGCATCAATGTTCATCAAGGATATTGGTCTAAAATTCTCTTTTTTTGTTGTGTCTCTGCCAGGCTTTGGTATCAGGATGATGTTGGCCTCATAAAATGAGTTAGGGAGGATTCCCTCTTTTTCTATTGATTGGAATAGTTTCAGAAGGAATGGTACCAGCTCCTCCTTGTACCTCTGGTAGAATTCGGCTGTGAATCCATCTGGTCCTGAACATTTTTTGGTTGGTAAGCTATTAATTATTGCCTCAATTTCAGAGCCTGTTATTGGTCTATTCAGAGATTCAACTTCTTCCTGGTTTAGTCTTGGGAGGGTGTGTGTGTTGATGAATTTATCCATTTCTTCTAGGTTTTCTAGTTTATTTGTGTACAGGTGTTTATAGTATTTTCTGATGGTAGTTTGTATTTCTGTAGGATCGGTGGTGATGTCCCCTTTATCATTTTCTATTGCATCTATTTGGTTCTTCTCTCTTTTCTTCTTTATTAGTCTTGCTAGTGGTCTATCAATTTTGTTGATCTTTTCAAAAAACCAGCTCCTGGATTCATTGATTTTTTGAAGGTTTTTTTGTGTCTCTATTTCCTTCAGTCCTGCTCTGATCTTAGTTATTTCTTGCCTTCTGCTAGCTTTTGAATGTGTTTGCTCTTGCTTCTCTAGTTCTTTTAATTGTGATGTTAGGGTGTCAATTTTAGATCTTTCCTGCTTTCTCTTGTGGGCATTTAGTGCTATAAATTTCCCTCTACACACTGCTTTGAATGTGTCCCAGAGATTCTGGTATGTTGTGTCTTTGTTCTCATTGGTTTCAAAGAACATCTTTATTTCTGCCTTTATTTCGTTATGTACCCAGTAGTCATTCAGGAGCAGGTTGTTCAGTTTCCATGTAATTGAGTGGTTTTGAGTGAGTTTCTTAATCCTGAGTTCTATACTTCATTTATAGTAATGCTTATTTTTCTTCATTAGCTCCCAATAAAAGTCTGTATTTCTTGCTGCTCAAGTAATGATTAAGTGTCGTTAAATATAAGGCTTGGAAATATTGTTTAGAAAAGTTTTAGTGTTTTGAAAACCCAGAAGTTAATATATCATTGTTAGTAAACTACAGATTAGAGAGTTTAGCTGAAAATACCACTTGAAAGGTTAAACTTTAAAACACTTACGATTTTTTTTTTTTTTTGAGGCAGAGTCTCACTCTGTTGCCCAGGCTGGAGTGCAGTGGTGCAATCTCAACTCCCTGCAGCTTCCGCCTCCTGGGTTCAAGTGATTCTCCTGCCTCAGCCTCCTGAGTAGCTGGGATTACAGGTACCTGCCACCACGCCCAGCTAATTTGTGTATTTTCAGTAGAGACAGGGTTTCACTGTGTTTGCCAGGCTGGTCTCAAACTCTTGACCTCGTGATCCGCCTGCCTTGGTCTCCCAAAGTGATGAGATTACAAGCATGAGCCACCGCACCCGGCCAACACTTATGATTTTTAAAGAACCTAACCATTAATGACAAAAATAGAAGGTTATTGAACAATTGATAAGATCATTTTCAAATTGGAACAACTGGCTGGACCATGAGGAGTGCAGATTTAAGCTAAGTACATTCTGGAGCAGTTGTGTAAGCCAGGTCACCAGGTCCTGAAAACAGTCTCCAGTAATTGACTTTGGACACCATTGTCAAAATGCAGCTGATATAACTGCTTAGTTCACATCCCAGTTCTGAACAGACACACTTTTTTGTCTGTTTCAATGTTAGGTCTTTTCAGAGTTAGGATTTATTTTTTCCACTCAGTAGTTGGCATGGCAATGTATTAGGCCTGGTGTAGAATGCAACTCTAGTTCTCTCACAGTGAGTTAGGGCACTTGTGCATCATACACAATTCATCATATCTTACTGAGTAAAGATTAATGTGCTTTGTTAACTTCTCCAAAAGCTCATTTACTTGAAGTGGATCATATACTTGTAGGAATCTAATCTGCATGTCTCAGGAAGGAGGCTGAGCACCATGGCACTCCCAGGCGCATTTGCTTACCATGCTGGGTGATTTTCCCTTATGGCTCCAGCGTGAGAGCTCTTCAGCAACACACCGGAGCCGAACAGCCATGAGCGCAACCCCCTGGGCTTTCTCAGCCATTGCTGGCATTCGAGAAACTCCCTTTTCAGAAGAGTAGAAAAATGTGGCCTTGGAAGGCTCAGACTTTCCTCCTCAACTCTCTCTCTCTCTCTATGGGTGTGGTAGGCAGAGTGCTGTCACCCATGGCCCATGTCCACCTTCCTGGAACCGGTGAATATGTCATCTTACAGGACACAGGGATTTTGCAGAGGGGATTAAGTTCAGGAGAGTAAGATAGAAAGGTTATTCTGGATCAGGGACAGGCCCAAGGGCATCACAGCAGTCGTGTAGGAGGAGACGTGGTCATGGAGACAGATGTTCAGGTGATGTGTGGAAGGGGTCGGAAGCCACAGAATGCCGGTGGCCTCCAGAAGCAGAAAAACGCATGGACACAGAGGTTCCTTGGAGCCTCCACAAGGAAGGCAGTTCGCTGACACCTTGATTTCTTTATTTTTGCCCTCCAACCTAGTAATTGTGTGCCATTTTCAATCATTAAGCTAATTTGTTGTAGGAATAACGTTGCATTAATTTCCTAGTACAATGGCAAATCATGACCTCTTGAGCAGCCCCCACCAAGTACCTAAATTTATTTGTCATGAAACCTGCAAATCATGGACCTCTCGAGCAGCCTACACCAAAAATTCACTTGTCACGAAACCTGCCTCAGCTTCCTATAGTGCCACGGTGGGAAGCATGTGACGTATTTATAGACATGCATTTTGTAAACCGTAAGGCCCAGCGTGTGTATGAGGGCACAGCCTAACGAGGCTTACCTGGAGGAAGGAATGGCACTGCACGCTGCTTCCTTGGCTCAATCTGAGTGCTGTGTGTTCAAATCCTGGATGAAATGTTGGAGCACTCTGAGCTGCATTTTATTTTCAGAAGTTCCTCCCCAGAGGTGTCCGTGCTGCCTGCCTCCGTGAGGGGTACTGTGTGTAGTGGGAAGCAGGTTTGTGTGTCTGCATGAGGACTGGGCAGGCAGGTGACACTGCTGTTGAACAGTCCCTTGGAGGAAAGAGGAAGAAGTGCTTCAGAGAGAAGAAGGTAGCTGGGCCAGAGAATTCAGCTCCATCAGTAAGACCCAAGGTGAGGAGGAGCCAACTCTAAAGACAGAGGAGACTAACTGCAGAACACACAGCCTTATAAAGTCGGTGGCTTCTCACATTAACACTGTGTCCCTCACTCAAGTCCTGTGAGCCATCAAATGCGAGGACGGGGTTCTGCCCCACAGCTGTCCTGGTCCTGAGACCCTCACCCTTTTCTCCTGTGGCTCCTCCCTCTCCCATTGACTCGGGGGAAGGAGAGTGTGACGGGGGATCACGCTATACCCCGCAGATAGTCATGGGTATCTGCATTTCACGCAGTCTACACCATCCCTTATGGCAGGGAAGGCCATCAAATTGTGGCCGGCAAGAAGGCAGTGCCCAAGTGTGCAGTCTGTCCCGCACAATTTTTTTGTAAGCATAGTTTTTCTGAAAACGTTGGTTAACTTTAGAAATTGGCATTTCAAAAGATCTCCTATCAAAAAGAATGTTTGTTTTTCAAAGCAAAGGATGAACTTTTTATGAAGAAGCAGTCCCACACTTTACTTTGTTATTAAGGACAATGTTTGTAAAGATCTCATTGTGATGTTCTTCTCCCACTTCTGAACCTTTCCAAAGCCTACTCATTTTTTTAAAATAATCTAACTAAAAAGCCTCTGATTCTTTGAAGACAAAACTTAGTCCTGTCTCTGAAATTGACCTTTCACTCCTTTGGTCTATGGTGTTTTTATTAGTTAATTTTTATTTATAATTGACACGTGGTAATTGTACATGCTTATGGAATATGGTGTGATGTTTCAATGCATATATACACAGTATCATGAAATTGGTCTTTCACTCTTTTGGTCTATGGTATTTTTATTAGTTAATTTTAATTTTATTTTTTTTGAGACAGAGTCTCGCTCTGTCGCCCAGGCTGGAGTGCAGTGCTCACTGCAACCTCTGCCTCCTGGGTTCAAGCGATTCTCCTGCCTCAGCCTCCTGAGTAGCTGGGATTACAGGCACACACCACAACGCCTGGCTAATTTTTGTATTTTTTAGTAGAGATGGGGTTTCACCATGTTGGTCAAGCTGATCTCAAGCTCCTGACCTTATGATCCACTCGCCTAGGCCTCCCAAAGTGCTGGGATTACAGGCATGAGCCACCCCGCCCTGCCTAATTTTCATTTCTAATTGACACGTGGTAATTGTACATGTTTATGGAATACAGTGTGATGTGTCAATGCGTATATACATAGTATCATGATGGAATTGAGGAAGTTACCATGTCCATCATTTTAAACTTTTACCATTTATCTTGGTGGTAATAATATTCTAAATCTTCTCTTCTGGCTATCTTGAAATACGCAATACCTTGTTATTTGCTCTGGTTATCCTACTGTGTAATAGAATACCAGAGCTCGGTCCTCTTGCCTAACTGTAACTTGGTACTGGTTGGCCAACCACTCCTGGGGCCCATACCCCTGCCCCTTCCTAGTCTCTGGTAACCACTGTTCTATTCTTTGCTCTCTATGAAATCAACTGTTTTAGCCTCTATGTATGAATGAAATCATGCAGTGTTTGTCTTTCTGTGTCTGGCTTATTTCACTTAACATTATGACCTCCAGGTTCATCCATGTTGCCACAAATAACAGAATTTCCTTCTTTTTTTATTGCTGGGTAGTGTTCCATTGTGTACGTGTGTGTGTATATATTATATATATAATATATACACATATTCATTGTGTATGTGTGTGCATGTATATATATGTATGTTATTTATACCTATACATATTCATTGTATGCATGTGTGTGTGCATGTGTATATATGTGTGTATGTTATATACATCTGTACACATTCGTTGTGTGTGTGTGCATGTGTATATATGTGTGTATGTTAGGTACATCTCTACACATTCGTTGTGTGCGTGTGTGTGTGCATGTGTGTATATATGTGTGTATATGTTATATACATCTCTACACATTCATTGTGTGTGTGTGTGCATGTGTGTATATATGTGTGTGTTATATACATCTCTACACATTCGTTGTGTGTGTGTGCATGTATGTATACATGTGTTTATATTATATACATCTCTACACATTCGTTGTATGCGTGTGTGTGTGCATGTGTGTATATACGTGTGTATATGTTACATATATCTGCACCTTCGTTGTGTGCATGTGTGTGTGCATGTATGTATGTATATATGGGTGTATATGTTATATACATCTCTACACATTCGTTGTATGCATGTGTGTGTGCATGTGTGTATATACACCTGCAGATAGATAGATATACCATGTTTTTATGCGCTCATCTGTGGTTGGGCACAGTCAATAGTATTTTATTCTGTCCCTTGGGTAAGGCCTTTTCCTTTTCTGTCTTGTTTTGGAGATACTTCTGCATATGTACATAAATTTTAAAATTATAAATCAAGGAAACCCACCTCATTTATTATTATCTCATAGTAGATGTTCCTTAAACATTGAATAAATAATGACTGAAAGGACTGTGGTAAATCACTTTCTTTTCTGACCTGTTTCCTCTAAAACAAACAATTCAGACTAGATATCTATTTCTCAGCCATATTTGTTCATCAGAAATTACCAGAAACAGTTGTAATAATACAGTTGCCTGTTCCCTAACCAACATTCAAAAATTCATAATAGCCAATGATGGGCCTACACATCAATATTTTTAAAAATTTATAATAATTTTCCTTAACATTCGCACTGTAATATATTTCTTCTTTTTTTATCTTCAACCTTTTTGTGTCCTTACATTTCAGATCTGACTCTTGAAAGCAGCATTTAGTTGGGTTCAATTTTTAATCTGGTGTGATAATCTTTGACTATTGATGGTCCTGTGTACTACTTTCACATCTCAATGTAATTATTAATGGGTTGCATTCTCCAGTTTACTATTTTCTAATTTTCCTCCTTTTTTATGACTTTCTTCTTAATCTTATTTGCATTTAGTATTTTATATTATTCCTTTATTCTGTCTATAACTTTGATAGTGATAGATTTTTTACTAGGTTTTATTGACTTTCTAAAATTTAATATCAAGGGTAGTTTTACCATTTTACAAAAACACAATGAAATTACCAATGCTTTAACTCCAACTACTTCCCCCTATTTGTGTGTTACTGTAGGTGAGGTTTTATAAATATTAAATATGTTATATGTTATATAATATAAACCACATATTATAATGTGATATATGGATATATATATTGAATGTAATTTTTATTATAAATACACTAAATTATAAGATATTATTGTTATTTTATACAGTCAATGATTATTTCATTTTACCCACATACTTACAGTATTTGTTGTTCATGTCTACATGTATCTCTGGATTACAAGCAGATAATTTTACTTCTGACTAAATAATTTTTTAGCATTTCACTTAATGCAGATCTGCTGATTACAAGTGCTTCTATTTTTAATGTATCTAAAATCCTTTACCTTCATTTTTAAGGATTTTTTTTTCACCCACATAGGCAATCACTTTATTTAAGCATTTTTAGTATAGAATCCCATTGTCATCTGAATACCATCATTTTTTGCTGAGAAATGAGCTGTCAGTAACTGCTGGCATTTAAAAAATTTTTTCCTGATATTTGATTTCCAGAAGTTTTACTATGATATGCCCAGATGTGATTTGCTTTGTATTTATCCCCCCTTGAAATTTCTATTGCTTGTTGAACTTGTAGGCTAATGCCTTTCATCATGTTTGAAAAATTCTTACATTTTATCTTTTTAAATACTGCTTTTGCTCCTCTTGCCTCTCCTTATGGGACTCCTGTTTTGCATGTGATAGGGTTTTATACTGTGTCTTATATATATCTTATATTCTTTTATGTATTTTCTACCATTTTATCACTATATATTAATATTGGTAGTTTCTCCTAGCCCATTTTCCAGTTCACTAATTCTCTCTTTGGCCTGTCATATTCTGTTGTTAATCTCATCAACTGAGATCCTAACTTCAATTATTATAGTTTTTAATTCTAAAATTTCCACTTGGTTTTTAAGATAAGTTTTATTTATCTCTTGAAATTTAACTTCTTGTTAAATGTGTTAGCATTTTCATCATAATGAGTTTAAATTTCTGTGAGTCTCAATGTATTTGTTTCTATTGGTTGTTATTTTCTCCTGAGGTTTGGTCAAATCTATCATGTCATACTCCTTGTTTCATTTTGCTTGAATTTCAGACATTGTAGATGAAAGATTGTAGCCTTACTCTCAGCCTCTGTATTATATTATCTTCTTACAGAAAAGATTTGCTGCTTCTAGGCATCTAAATCACAGAAAAACACCTCAATCCAATCATGAATTGATGATTCAAAGCCATGGTTTATTACCTGTGAGAGCTGAGCTATTTTCAGTTTATCCTTCTTCCTAGCATGTAATCCTATGGGATCCCAACTGGAAGCCTATGGTGTTTACCAAGGAGCTTCCCTCTCAGGAGGCCATGAATCTTAAGCTTATGCCCCGCATGATGCAATTTTGACAAACCTTCTGTTCAGATATTCAGATCATCATGAAACTCTTTGGTATCAATAAATGCTGTAAGCAGGAAAGATGTGCTACACCTAGGTCTTACTCTCTGGATTTCTCTCTGCATGCAATGTTGACTGTGCACATCATGACTGATTCCCACTGCCTTCAAATGGGTTGTGTAGAGTCTTACATTTCTAATTATTATCAGCAGGGGGATTATTCTGAAACAAGATTGTTTGTCTTTGCAAAAGCAGAGCCACTTCTTTCTCTAATCCACAAGTGACTACATCAGGTAGTTAAGTTTGAAGATCATTCACTGGAGTAGATGTTGTCTAAGACTCTTTATAGCATTTATCCTTAGCATTCCATATTAGCAAAGTGACAATAATAACTTCATTTGACAGTATACATTTATCCAATTTTTAAGCTATCAACTTGGTTCTTGGCTTAAAGTTGGTCTTTAGAGTTGTTCTTAAAGTTGTTCTTGAAGGTTCTTGGCTTTAGAGTTGTTGGTGCAGGGTTAATGAAAGGATCTGATGAGGGGGGAAGGTCTCACAGCCAGCTGGGAAACTTCTTGAGCAGCCAGACAAGTGTCAGTTTCCTGGAGTGACAGACACTCTACTGCTTCTGAAAAAAGGAGCAGGACAAGTCTCCCCACTGGCCTCTCAAAGTGGGCATGTACACACAGCCCAAAGCTTCCAAACGGCAGCAAGGTGGTCCCAGCAGAGGAATGTCGCACCTTTCTCCCCATCCTGTATGTAACACTTCTAAAGGAATATAGCTATACATTTTATATCTCAATATCATACAAAAGCTCTTGGTATTAACAAGTTTCTGTCGTGTTCTAAAGGGAGATAAAATATGAATAACTACAGGCCAGGTGCAGTGGCTCACTCTTATAATCCCAGCATTTTGGGAGGTTGCTTGAGCCCAGGAGCTCAAGACCAGCCTGGGCAACATAGCAAGACCTCATCTTTACAAATAACTTAAAACTTGGTCAGAAAAAGGGGCTTGTGCCTGTGGTCCCAGCTACTTAGGAGGCTAAGGTGGGAAGATCACTTGAGCCCCAGGAGTCAAGGCTGCAGCGAGCCATGACCACACCACTGCACTTCAGCCTGGGGGACAGAGTGAGAACCCATCTCAAAAATATATATATATATGAATAATAGCTATAAAATAACCATCAGGTGAATAATCTTACAGATCATTGAGGAAACATTAATAAATAAAATATCAAAAAAATTTAAATCACTATAATGATTTAGAGAACAAAAACATAATTTTTATTAAAAATAATTTTATATACAGATGTTGTTCAAGTATTTTATTTTAAATCCTAACTACAAAATGAAGCCTTGGACTGTTTCATATTCAAGAAATTTCTCCAGCTCTAAAATAATACAGAAGGAGCTGATTCACCCCTAGGTGTCTAAAACGTCCCTCATAAAACCCAGCGTTCACTGTTTCCTGATCCAAGTAGTAATCTGCTCAGTCCTGCCTAGCTATCCAAATCTGATCAAAATCACAGAACTATGTAATGAGGCAGCAGACGACTGCTCAGTTATTTTCAATTCTCACTCTTTTGTCTTTTCTTAGAATTTGCCAGATATAAGTGGCATACCAAAGATGAGATTATAGATTGTATGGTTGAAGTTCCAGACCCAAAATGGATCAATAACATATTCCACAGCTTTACAGATGGGACTGTGGAGAACAAACCCTACACATTTGCCTCATTTACTGAAGCCAAAAAGCCCAAATCCTGGGGAGACAACTGACCGTGTGCAGCCGCAGGAGGACATTCTGACTCCAGGGCACATGACTTTGCTGTGTTTTCAAGCACTTAAGCATTTCTGTGATTCATAACTAGCAAATCTTTTTGACAAAAGTGTTGTTTTCATTTTCAAAGTCCAGAAAGACAACATGATTTTCTAATCCAGACACTGACTTTATATCTGGAGTCTCCGGGCATGGTGTCTCATGCCTGTAATCCTGGCACTTTGGGAGGCCAAGGTGGGTGGATCACCTGAGGTCAGGAGATTGAGACCAGCCTGGCCAACATGGTGAAACCCCGTCTCTACTAAAAATATAAAAAATAGCCAGGCGTGGTGGTGGGCACCTATAATCCCAGCTACTTGGGAGGCTGAGGCAGGAGAATCACTGAGGCAGGAGAATCACTGAGGCAGGAGGCAGAGGTTGCAGTGAGTTGAAATTGCGCCACTGCACTCCAGTCTGGGTGACAGAGTGAGACTCTGTCTTAAGAAAAAAAACAAAACCTGAAGAGCCAGGGAGTATACATTCCTTAGTATGGAACTGGTAGTTCTGCCTTTGAAAAGCAGAATCCCCAACTTGTTAGGGTTAACAGACAGGTCCTCAAGCCTTGACTCGTTGGCTAGATTCCCAAGCCAACTGCACCCTCCTCCCCTAAAGGAGGGGCCATTCTGTGGTGAATCCCAGCCTCTGCTCCCATCACCGTCCCCCAATTGCAGTCCTCCCAGCCCCAGAGGGTAGCTCCTCCTTCACAATGAGGGACTGTGGAGACACTTGGATGAGGCTTTGTGCTCTGCTAGGATCAATTCAAATTTGGGTGAGACAGAAAGAAGAGATGAACAGCCAGACATTTGAGAAGAAAGAAAACAGAGCCAGCCACTGAATGACAATTAAGTATGTGACGATATCCACCCACTGCCAGGACCAACAGACGCTCTCCGTATTGTACGCACTGGGAAGTTTAAGATATTCTGCTGCATGTTTTCATAATGAGACTTCTTTTCAGAGAGGGAAGCTAGAAAGCATCATCCTATATGAAAAAAAAAAAAAAATGAAACTAACATGAAACACTGAATAAAAGGATAAAGAAAAAAGAAGCAAAGCTGTAGCTGCGCATTTGAGTCATTATCCTAGAAACTTTACGTGTTACCTTACTGTCCCTTACAACTGCTCTGTAACGTGTGGAGGGAGGAGTGGAATTCTAGATGGTGTTCCGCCAGACTGCACTCCGAGTGCATCAGCACCGCATGTTTTATCTGAACTATATTTACAGTGTATAAGATGATTCAGGTCAGCCTTCTATTTCAGAAATTCACAATCTATGGGAAAGTTCTGGCAAAGTACACACCAGAACTAGATTTAAAGACAAATATTCCAGCTCCCAGCCCAGGATGTGCCCCAACACAGAGAGGCCTCTAGAAAGAGACTGATTTCTGCCAGGTTCCAGTAGGACTAATTGGCTCTTACTTTCCTCCAGACAAGGATGCCGTCTGCAGTCTGTCATCTCATCTGTATGGATAACGTAGGGTCTGCTACAGAGTACAACTTTGAAAAATATTTAGGAAAAAATTAACAAACTATGCTGGAGGTTGTGCAGCAACGCTGAATTCATAAAACCTGGGCTAATCTATGTCCTGAAGATTCTTCCTCTAGGCCATCTTCTGCTTAAAAGGATGAGAAATGGTAAATGGGATTTAGGAAAAATTTGAGTTGGAAATAAATCGATTCCCACACAGGCTGTATATTTGCATCTACATATTCAAAGGGTCTTGATTCTGCTGTGGTTTACTGACACGTAGCTGGCTTTAATACATATTTACTGAAGCCCTACCACCTGCAGACGTCCTGACCCAACTGTCCACATGCACACCAGTCCCAGGCTCATGGCATTAGTGCACTTTCCCAGCATTTCTTCCCCTGGGGATGTGAAAGGATTCTGCTTCCTGTAGGATGCTGAGGTCCCTGCTGTAGAGCAGTGAGGATGGGCGGCTTCGGGTTGGCACCCTGTGTGTTTACTCCGAGTCAGATTTTTAAAAATGCATCCCAGAGTGCTCTCACATGTTCTTCATAATGGATATGGTTCTGACATTTTCCCTGAGTCTCTAATCCTGATGAAAAGCAGATGGTATTTACTTGCAAAACTCCAATCTGACCTGCCAGTGTTATCCTCTCCTGCGACCTGGCTCTTTGCCATTGGCCCTAAGAGGGATCCTAGCAGGCACAGCCTTCTCAGACTCAACCATTCCCATCCCTCCTTCATCCTGTGCTGGGAAGGGAGCCATTCCATCCATGCCTAGGGGTGGCTTCTGGAAGTTCCCTCTGCCTGACACATAACCAGTGCACCCTGCCGTCTTCAAGCAAGACCTCACTTAAAACAACCTGGACAGCCAGGCGCGGTGGCCCACGCCTGTAATCCCAGCACTTTGGGAGGTTGAGGCGGGAGGATCACCTGAGGTTGGGAGTTTGAGACCTGCCTGACCAACATGGAGAAACCCTGTCTCTACTAAAAATACAAAATTACCTGGGTGTGGTGGTGCATGCCTGTAATCCCACCTACTTGGGAGGCTGAGGCAGGAGAATCACTTGAACCTGGGAGGTGGAGGTTGTGGTGAGCCAAGATTGTGCCACTGCACTCCAGCCTGGGAAACAAGAGTGAAACTCTGTCTTAAAAACACCACCCTGGACACATAAGAACCTGCCATACGCTTGATCATGGCAGAAGAGTCAGAACATTTATTACAATCACCTATTCTGAGTATGAACAGGTTATCTCATTCATTCATCCATTCACTTATTTATGAGATGTTTAAAAAGTGCCCCATGCAGTAGACACTGTGGTGATACTGAAGGAATCCAGGACACAAGTACTTTCTTCTGTGAGCTTTCTTCTTCTTTTTTTTTTTTTTTTTTTTTTAACAGGTCTTGCTCTGTGGCCCAGCAGGCTGGAGCTCAGAAATATTAACATCTGCCTGAGACAGATCCCCAGGAAGTCTAAAGGCTGGGAAAAAAAAAATAGGCATACAGACAGTTTGGTTTCCTTCTCATTACACCATCTGGTGTGATCTCGGCTCCCTGCAACCTCGACCTCCCAGGCTCAAGTGATCCTCCTGCCTCAGCCTCCCGAGTAGCTGGGACTACAGGCGTGTGCCACTGCCTGGCTAATTTCTGTATTTTTTGTAGAGACAGGGTTTCACCATGTTACCCTGGCTGGTCTCAAATCCCTGAGCTCAAGTGATCTGCCTGCCTCATCCTCCCAGAGTGCTGGGACTACAGGCATGAGCCACTGTGCCCGTCCTTCTTCCAATAAGAGGAAAAGTAAATAAATAATTAAGAAAATATTAAAAATCAGGGCCCTAAACATGGGAAAACAGCAGGGCCAATACAGAAAGCGAAGGATGAGCCCTATGGGAGAGAGGAGAAACACTGAGGTGTTACCTGGGCTTCCTCTCAGAAAAACCAGCTGTGCAGTGGCCCTGAGGAAGGGAGAGCTCGGTGTGTGCACACAAAGAAGGAACTGTGTGGTCCCGAGAAGGCGCTTCTCCCCGTGCGTCCTGAGAACGCTCCTTCTCCCCGTGCGGTCCTGAGAACGAGCTTCTCCCCGTGCGGTCCTGAGAACGCTGCTTCTCCCCGTGCCGTCCTGAGAACCCTGCTTCTCCCCGTGCGGTCCTGAGAACGAGCTTCTCCCCGTGCGGTCCTGAGAATGCGCTTCTCACCGTGAGGTCCTGAGAACGCTGCTTCTCACCAGGTTCAGTTACAAGGGCTCTTCATAGGCTTAATAGTCTGAAGCCCTCGCAGAGATTTTGTTCATGAAAGTTATAGCTACCACATTAACAATTAAAACTAAGATATTTTAAAACATTATTTGCTTTTTAGTTATTAAAAATATTTTTAAAACCCAGTACCTGTTAATATAAGTGATTATATATTTATGAAAAATAATATTTTCCATAAAAAAGACATTTATTGAAAGAGCGTCATTGTTTCACATTTAGCAAATGTCTTTCATGCGTGTCTTAATAGAGCAGCTGAATTCTCATCTGCCTCTGCACTTAACATATTGCATAAGTTGTTTTGGCTGAAGCATTTGAAGATAATCCAACCCCACAGATGATGTAGTTGCATGAGGGAAGACCCCCGAAAGGCCATGAAAGGGTGGAGGGCACCCCCACAGGCTCACGAACCCCATTTTGGGAACTGCTCCAGGAGAACATTGTGAGCAACACAGGAGTCAGGAGGGATGAGGAGGAGCCGCCTCTTACGCTGCGGTGGCGGCATGGCCAGGAGTTCAGGTTTTGGAAGCCCCAAACGCAATCAGAAGCTCTTATATAGTATGATGCAATTTCATTTTTAGAACGATGGTCCTGCTGCTGTGTGGAGAATGCACTGGAGGGGAAGCAATGGATTGGAGAGGCTGGTTAGGAGGCTATGTTCTTGGCTACGCTGGGGAGGAAGGCGGCAGCAGCTCAAATTAATTTCCTCTCCCTGTAGTCTCGCAGAGTAAACACGCTCACTTGAAGCATGTGTGAGAGGAGAAGCTTCCCAGGTCTTCAGCAACCATCTATCCTAGGGAAATCAGACTGTGGCAGGACAAAGCTTTTGTATTTTAATTTTGCCTTGGAAGTGGATTTCAAAACTCACATCACTCAAAACTCTGACCCACCTGCATTTGGCCAGCTTGTCAGCAAGATGACAGCTTCTTCTCTCTGATTTTCTTAAACTCCTACCACTTCCCATAAGCAATAAGCTTGGAAAACATGAGCATCTGCCCGAGACAGATCCCCAGGAAGTCTAAAGCCTGGGCAAAAAAGGGAGAGGAAGGGAATACACAGAACATTGGATTTCCTATTAGGGCTGCACCCTGGCTTTCATTATGCCGTCTGTCTGACTCTTAATAGACCTAGCCCAGGCACACAGATCAGGACTTATTTTCTAGGCCATTTTAAATAGATTAGGAAATGTAAAGGTCCCTTAAATGACATAATTTGGCATTAAGCACTGCACACGCTTGTGCACGGCTCCTATCGGCGTGAGCGTGTGCCTGCTGGTAAGTTCGTGCATCCATCAAAGCTCAGCTTGGGGGATTGGCAGTGTGTGTTCCCCCAGCTTGAAAGGAGATGCACCTCTTAATTCCACATCCAGGTGCATAGCACCCCACCAAATAGCAGAATCGTTTTTAGAATTCTAAACAAAACAGTTCCGAATTCATGTTGTTTTGGGTTTGTCAATATTACCATTAACTTTCGGTAATACTGAGTAATATGCCTTTTTGTGTTAGGTTCATACACAAATATAGGTGTTTTGCCATGGGAAGGAAGTGTATGTGTGTGTGCATGCATTTGTGTGTGTAATTTTTAGTAGTAAATGAACCATTTATTTTTACTGTAGAGGCTTTATTCAAAGATGTTAGAGCTTGCCATTAAGTGTTATTATGCCAATCTCTAAAAAATATTTTGCACTGAACATTTGTTATTTTAAGGTAGACAGAGGCAAATATGCATATATATTTAATATAAGAGAATATAAATGATAAATGCATACATGTTTATTATATATATGGAGAGAGAGGGATAATCTGAGAACTTTTTTTCAGAATGTTCTTAAATTGCTTAAAAAGAATTGGGGATAAGAACAAAGAATGTACTCATAGGTGTATTGAGACTTGTGGGAGCCTTTGGGAAATGCTGTGAGCAGAGAATAACAGCTTCAAGAACTTATCCAGTAAGATATATTGGCCAACTAAACAGCCCAGGCTGAAGTAGGTATACCTGTGTTGAATTCAGCCATGAATGCAATGGGCCTCTGGAAACGTATTTTTAGCCAGCGTTTAGGTACCAGGTCCCTCCCTCCCTTCTAAAATTATTTTTTAATTCCCTGGAGTGTGCCCCCTTCTGCCACTCATCTGCTTGTTTGGTGCCTGTTCCTTTCCACGGGGGCGAGGCTGGCTTCCTCCCTCTGCCGCTCATCAATACTGAGCTGATTTGGAACTAAGCTGGGTAATAACATGCCTTTCAGCAGCCAGCCCCGCACGCGCCGTGTAATTAAGGCCTGATGGTTGTGTTGACGGCGAATGAAAGAAAATGGCTTTGTTCTCCTTCCCCGGGCTTGATTGTGGGTTCTCGCTCTCACCTGAATTCGACCCACTCTGCATTGTGCCCGTGATTGCTGGAGTGCCAGTAATTGCTGTCCTGGCAGATGACATTTCCATGAAGCACTTTCTGTGCAGCTCCAGAGGGAACGGACAGAGCTGATGGCTGGGGGAAGCTCATCAAAGGCAGATTTAGGAAAGGCCTCGGTGGAAGAGGGAGCCCACGACCAAATATAAGAGCATCTCCTCTGACATTTGCTTGTCTGTCACTCACTGTGCCTGCAACCTGCTTACCCTAGGCCTGCAATCCATAAAGACTGGATTGTGTGAGGATGAATTGCTGTTTAAGTTCATTAAGGCCAAGTTTCGATCATACCTTTTTTAGAAAAAAATTCTTTATTTTGTTTTCCAAAAGGAGGATCAGAGCAAATAGAAATAAATGAAAGGAACTTATCTTCAGAAGATGATATTGCACACAGATCTTTTTAAATCAGTGCCAATAAAGACCAAGGTGAAGATTAGGTTACATTATAAATTGATCTTAACCTTGCTACAGACACTCATGTTAATTTATAATGCAAAGTTTACAATATTTTCGAATTGGAATTTAAGAGTTTATTCGTTGTAGAATTTTATAACAATCTGTTAATTATAGATTTTTGATTCTGCGATGCTTATGCAAAAATTGGGTCAAGAGTTAGTAAGTGTAGGCATCCAGAAAAACCCAAGGATCCTTATTTACTAGAGGGAGTGGCGGGACATGGGATGGTTGACGGGTCTGCAGAACGTGACTTCTTGGGGAGACATGGAGACTTTACAAATGCCTCTCGCAGAAGCTGCTTCCCTCCAATGGTAGTGATGGGGGCAAAGCTAAAAACGTAATTCCAGGATGGGTGCATGAGATTCTCCCTATTATCTGTTCATCGAGGTCCATATTTCTTTTGCGGTGAGCACGCTATCTTGGCTTCAAAAAACGAAAAACATTAACAGTGCGGGACTACAGTTAACCAGTAAGGACCGCAGGACTCGGGAAGGCCCGGCTGCGTCCCCCTCACATAATGACCGCGGAACTCGGGGAGGCCCGGCTACGTCCCCCTCACGAAAGGAACGCGGGACTCGGGAAGGCCCGGAAGGCCTGGCTGCGTCCCCCTCACGTAAGGAACGCGGGACTCGGGAAGGCCCGGAAGGCCTGGCTGCGTCCCCCTCACGTAAGGAACGCGGGCGTCTGGGAGGCCCGGCTGCGTCCCCCTCACGGAAGGAACGCGGGACTCCGGAAGGCCCGGAAGGCCTGGCTGCGTCCCCCTCACGGAAGGAACGCGGGCGTCTGGGAGGCCCGGCTGCGTCCGCCTCACGGAAGGAACGCGGGACTCGGGAAGGCCCGGAAGGCCTGGCTGCGTCCCCCTCAAGGAAGGAACGCGGACGTCTGGGAGGCCCGGCTGCGTCCGCCTCACAGAAGGAACGCGGGACTTGGGAAGGCCCGGAAGGCCCGGCTGCGTCCCCCTCACGTAAGGAACGCGGGCGTCTGGGAGGCCCGGCTGCGTCCCCCTCACAGAAGGAACGCGGGACTCGGGAAGGCCCGGAAGGCCCGGAAGGCCCGGCTGCGTCCCCCTCACGTAAGGAACGCGGGCGTCTGGGAGGCCCGGCTGCGTCCGCCTCACGTAAGGAACGCGGGACTCGGGAAGGCCCGGAAGGCCCGGCTGCGTCCCCCTCACGTAAGGAACGCGGGCGTCTGGGAGGCCCGGCTGCGTCCGCCTCACAGAAGGAACGCGGGACTCGGGAAGGCCCGGAAGGCCTGGCTGCGTCCCCCTCACGGAAGGAACGCGGGACTCGAGGAGGCCCGGCTGCGTCCGCCTCACAGAAGGAACGCGGGACTCGGGAAGGCCCGGAAGGCCTGGCTGCGTCCCCCTCACAGAAGGAACGCGGGACTCGAGGAGGCCCGGCTGCGTCCCCCTCACGTGTGGAGGCCAATCAGGTGAATATATTAGTTTGCACGCCACACAATTTGTGGTGAGTTACTCATATTTGAACAGAGCTATTAAAATACAAGGAAGTAACAAAAACCACACAGTACTGAATGACTAGTTACATTTTAATTAAATAGCACAAATATGTTATATAAGCTTTGTGTGTTGAAAGTGCCCTCATTCCCATTTACCTTCAATGTGTTTGCTATTATTATTATTTTTAAGTCTAGGCCTTTTATAAGGAGGCTTGTATATAAGAGTGGAATGCTTATTAGGTGCAGAACAGAGAGTTATTGGATGGATATGGAAGAGTTGCTGGCTGGTGACTGGAAGGTTTGCAGCATGAGGGCATTTTCTAAATGCAGGAGCTGTGCTGTCTCAGTGGATCCTCTGACAAGCCTTCTAAAGTAGACGCAATTACTATTTGCATTTCAGAGATGACAAAAGTAAAGGCCAGAGAGGTGGCGAAGCTTACCCGAAGCAATGCAACTACTCATGGGGTGGAGCTTTGCACAGTTGCCAGCTAAAGTGCCGAGCTGCGGCCTCTCTTGGCGGGTCCCTTTCTGGGTAGCTGGAAACCTCAAGCCAACCCCAACCACCGATTTAGGCAGGAGTCTCTCCTACAACTGAAGCTGACGGATGAGGAGAGGCTTATATCATCACAGGAAGAGAACAGAGCTTTCCTCCCACAGCTGGGGAAATCTGCCGGCTCTGCTGGAGAGGCCGCCAGCCCATTGGTGGGCGTGCGGTGCGGGGAGGCTTAGGCGGGAAGAGGAGGTCTTGCTCAGATGAGTGTTATTCCTTTGTTTGGACAGAGGAGGTTGGGCAAATTGGAGTGTAGGATATTTTTGCCTGGAGATTTTTACTTGATGAAATCATCCCATGAAAAAAATCCCCAATTTTTAAAAGCATGCTACTTTGACACATTAAACTCATCATTTTAACATTGATAGAAAGTATTTAAAATGGGCCTTTGCCTGAAAATAAACGTCAGTGGATTGGAAGCACTGAGGGCCTTCGTCCGTTCTGTCCCAACCTTTATGGGCGCTGCACATTTTCACTGTGGAATCTACAGGGACGAACTCTGTCTTGTGTTTACTTTCTACTTGTTTCTCTTGAACACACACATGCATTAACACTGTAATGTATTTATTACTTTGTATGTCATTAATAAGAATATATTTAGATAATATTGAAACAGTATGATTTATTAGTGATTCCTTCTAGGTAGATATCAGCTGTGTTTTTTAGACGTTTAAAATTGTGAACAGCCTCAGCATGACCTACATTATTCAAGCCATCTACCTCCTTCCCTTCTTTTCTTTCCCTCCCTCCCTCTCTCTGTTTCTCTCTCCCCTTTTTTCTTTCTTTCTTTTTCTTTTTCTCTCTTTCTGTCTTTCTTTCTCTCTTTCTCTTTCTCCCTCCCCCTTTCTCTCTCTCTTTCTTTCTCTTCTTCCCTCCCTCCCTTTCTTCCTTCCTTCCTTTTTTCTTCCTTCCTCTCTCTCCTTCCTTCCTTCCTTTTTTCTTCCTTTGTCTCTCTCCTTCCTTCCTTCCTTTTTCCTTCCCTCCTCTCCTTCCTTCCTTCCTTTTTTCTTCCTTTGTCTCTCTCCTTCCTTCCTTTTTTCTTCCCTCCTCTCCTTCCTTCCTTCCTCTCCCTCCTTCCCTCCCTCCCTTCCTTCCTTCTTTTAGTTATATCTCCAAAGTATTTTTTCTAGTATATAGTTTGCAAGAAACTACATGTGGGATTCTGAATTGTCATATGCTGATAACTTTTACAGAGAGCTGCAACTATGAAGAATATGTGCTAAAATATGGATCTCTACCTCATCACACTGAGAACCTCATCATTACCTTACAGGGCCATCAAGTACAGCATGATTTCAAACATTCATAATATTACTCTCTTGCAAGCTTTGTGCACTGGAAGGATGTTTCTTTTATACTGCTTCTAGAGTCATGGAAACAAAGCAAGCTTTAGGAAACAGGATGGCTTGGTTCCAGGCTCCTTCTCTCTTCCTACCGCCTGGCCCCACCCTTTCTCTCCTCCCCTCCCGTGGGAACTTATTCTCCCTGCACAGAGGTGAGCAGCCTCTCTGTGACCAGGCTTCACCCCAGCAGCTCTCTCGTGGTCTACTTCCCCCAGGTTCGTTCCTCTCTGTCTCTTCCCCTCCTCTCTGTTCTAAAACAGCAACCTGGCTCTTCACTACTCTAGGGGAGGCCAGGAGGTTCGCTGGGTCCTGAGGGATACAATTCAGGCTCCCCCAGGACTTACCATCCAAACACACCCTTCCCTCCAACTGCTCCATGCTTTTTGTGTTACTGTTTTCTGTCCAGGAGATCTCCCTCTGTGACTCACCATCCATAGCCTGATGACATGACCTTCTCAAAGCTCAGCTGCTGCTCCTCGGAAAACCTCCCCACCTCTGTGGCAGAGTCCGCTCACCTCTGCGTAACCCTGAGCACTGTGGGCATCCCTGTTGCAGCCTTCCTTACTT
Organism: Homo sapiens; assembly: GCF_000001405.40. Classification (NCBI taxonomy): domain Eukaryota; kingdom Metazoa; phylum Chordata; class Mammalia; order Primates; family Hominidae; genus Homo; species Homo sapiens. Next base: position 2,182,925 of record NC_000002.12, on the reverse strand, counting down.
AGAGGAGAAGCGATGACCTCCCTCCTTCTCTCCCCTGCAACTCTGTCCTGCCTGGAGGCCCAGGCTGTGCGAGTCTTTATCTACTGTGATGTTTATCCATCTCAGTCCCTGCCATTGTGGGCCGCGCTGGGACTGCACTGCTCTTTGGTGGTGTTTGGTAGGAAGCCAGCAATTCCCAAACCACTGCTCCTTCCCCAAAACCCAAAGGGAGACATCCACAACAAACAGTGGCCAAATGAAAAAGAGAGCATGCCTTTCTGGTTAGCTGCAAAGCGCATGCTGTGCTTTGAAAAACCGACGCAATGCCTGCTTCTAAGCCTCCAGCCCTCCCTAAATCCTCCATCCAAATCCAGGCAATTGCTACTGTCTGGCTTTCTTCCTTGTGAAATACAGACTGAAAATGAGAGAGAAAGAGTGTGGGGGGTACATGGGTGTGAGAGAGGGACAGAGAATGAGGATAGATGCTGGCCATACTATTGCAAACATCTTCCTTGTTCCATGAAAAATTAATATCTTTTTAATCAATAGTGACTCAAAATATCAGCTAGCCCAGAATCATTTGCACTTATAAAGGTAAATTCTTTTAAAAAAGTGTTCAAGTAACTGGATTTCCAATGGAAGGGTTTCAGCGATTGGCATGGGTACTGTTCTAACAATCTGGAGGACAGGCCCTTCCTAAGCCACTGAAATCAGATCCTGCAGAGAGGAGGTCACCTCTCCATGGCCACAGTTCCAAGACACAGTGCGGTCAGAGTGGGGCGTGCTGTCCGTGGCCACAGTTCCAAGACACAGTGCGGTCAGAGTGGGGCGTGCTGTCCGTGGCCATGGTTCCAAGACACAGTGTAGTCAGAGTGGGGCATGCCATTCATTTTTGCTCTGAAAGCTTGTTACATATGGGAGTTGGGAGGTGACTGCCAGGGTGGACACTTGTCAATGTCCAGCCTGGAAACCTGGGTCCCCATCCCAGCTCTGTGACCTCAGGCAAGCTACCTTTCTGAACCTCAGTTTCTCTCTGAAAATAGAGCTAATAATATCTCGGTTGCCTATTCTCAGGGTTGTTCTGAGGATCAAATGAAATAATGAGCATGGAAGTGCTGGAACGTGGAAAGTCCTTTTTCTCTCACTTGGAAGCAGTTAGTTGGAGGATGTATTTATGCAGATGAATCTCACTTCTCGGCATGCACCCTCCTGTGGTTGCTGTGTGAAGGAAAAGGCTGCAGGTTTAGAGAGCAGGGGAGCACCCCCAGTCCTTGGCACTGCATCCGGGAAGACAAAGCGCTTCCACGTGGTCAACTCTGTCACAGATGAAGGGCCTTAAGTACACTCATGCCCCTACCATTAGGATTTTCTAGTTGAAATGTGTGGCTGTGCTTTAAGTTAAACTCATAGCACATTTAAATCACACTCTGCATCCACAGCCTCTGACAGACGGTAATTTCTATATATTTTAAGAGCGGGGCTTACTGCTAGAATTCTGATTTTCTTCCCAAGGACTCTCTGAAAATTGAGGAGAGTTCAGCTAGCAATCAGTAACATGATTTCATTCATGAAGTTTCTGTGTGTCAGAGACAACAGAGAGCCAGGTAGACTCTCATGTTTTCAGTCTCACTTCACAGACACATAGGTACACACACAGGTGCACGCACACGGGTACACACAGGTACAGATACATGTGCACACACAGATATACACAGGTACACACACAGGCACAAACACAGGTACACGGCACACATAGATCATAGGTACAGATACATGTGCACACACAGGTACATACTCAGGCACAGACACAGGTACACAGGCACACAGGTACAGATACATGTTCACACACAGGTACACAGGTACATACACAAGCACACACACAGGTACGGTTACAGGTGCACACACAGGCACATGCAGGTACAGATACAGGTGCACACACAGGTACATACACAAGCACACACAGGTACACACACAGGTACGGTTACAGGTGCACACACAGGCACATGCAGGTACAGATACAGGTGCACACACAGGTACATACACAAGCACAGAGGTACACACACAGGTACGGATACAGGTGCACACACAGGCATACACAGGTACAGATATAGGTGCACACACAGGTACACACAGGTATGGATACAGGTGCACACACAGGCACACACAGGTACAAATACAGGTACAGGTACATGCACAAGCACACACACAGGCACACATGCAGGCACACAGGTACAGATACAGGTGCACATACAGGTACATACAAAAACACACAGGTGCACACACAGGCATACACAGGTACAGATACAGGTGCACACACAGCTACACACAGGTACATAAGCACACACACAGGTACACACATAGGCGCACACACAGGTACACACACGGGCCCACACAGGTACAGATACAGGTGCACACACAGGTACACACACAGGTTCGCATACACCTTCAGGCACAGTTTCCACACACCCACATCGAGTTGTCTCTCTGCCACTTGCACTCACTCCTAAGGTAGCACCACTGATTCAAATGATCACTTGCTCTCTCGTCTTCTTTCCTGATACAGGTTGTTGTTTTTTTTTTTTTTAAGAGCTTATGTTTTTCCATTTGATTAGTAATTATTTGAGAGTACATATTATGTGCTAAGGACTATGCTAAACAAATGAAGAATTCACCAAGTAATAAACATCTTCTGTACTCTCAAGGAGCCATGAGTTCCTTGGGGGGCTTGGAAGGAGGGTGAAGTGAACTCTATTATCATTATTGTTATTCAATTCATTCATTTAATGGATTCTCTCTCCTCTGGCCCCTGGTAATACAAAAATGAACAGGTGCAATCCCCATCTTCAAGCACCCTAGTTTCTTTGATAACAACAGTGGCATTAGCAGAAGTGGGCAAACAGTGGAATCACTGGCTGGCTGTGTGAAACAGTGTGTGAAGGTATGAACGGATCAGCGAGAGGATGACCTCATTGATCATTCAGAGGAACAGCCTCCTCCTGAGGGCCAGAATGATCTAAAAGTCTTTGAGTAGAGAAATGATGGGATTTGATGTGAAGGCTGGTAAATCTTTGAGATGTGCATAAAGAGAGGCATGGTGTGAACCAAAGTGAGGAAGTATAGTTTATATTTGAGGAACATGGAGAGGACAAAGCAGCTTAAACTAAAGGTCACATAAGGTGGTGGTAAGTCTTAGGAATTGAGAAATAACATGTCACCAAGCTTCGGGAGACCTAGGAACCAGGCTACAGTGCGTGCTTTTAGTTCCAGCTCCGATTCCTACTGTTCCTCACTCACTAAAGCAATGCTTGTGGAACTTGGGATTCCTCATCTGTAAAACAGGCATAATTCTACCTCCTTTACGTGTTTGTGTGTGAAATAACTTTTAACTTTAAATTGGAATACACGTGTAAGGTGTTGTCATGATAACGATAATAATACAAATCATGGTCACTATGTGGACTTATTCTTGGTCAGAGGCATCCACAACAGAGGCATGTTCTTAGAGATTCCACTCTCAGCGTGAAGGGAGGAGGAACAGGTTTCGGGGTCTGGTAGGGAGGGTGAAGTGAACTCATCTAAGCTAACTCAGAACTCAGTATCTGAGCCTAGGGGCTTCCCAGGAAAGAAAGGAAGGCAGGGCTATGCCTGAGTCCTCTGACTGGGATTTATCTGGGCATTTGCCTCTTGGGAAGCTTTGGATTCAATGAGATGCAGAACCACTGGGTTCTCCAAAATTCAGAAGGCACCTGCAAGCCTTGAAAGCTCTGTGGATGGATGAGCCACTTCCTTGGCCATGTCCTACAGCTGCTGGCCAGGGATGTGTGTGGGGGCATTGGGTGTTCGTTCGCAGTACCCCAGGTTCCTATGCTCAAGGGCTCCCAGAGCAGGTATTGCCTGTAAGATGTGAATGGCAGAACCCAGTTACTGCTCTTTGGTTAATGCTATTCCTCACTTTTTCTAAGCCCCATGGAAACGTCTTCTCCCGTGTGCCCTGAAGACTAAAGCTTGTTATTAATAAAATTCACTGCAATTAAATCTTAGATTTCCTTAAACTACTTTTCACTTTGTTGGAGAAAGGAGTGATGGGGACTGCATACCTGTCACCCTGTCCTGGGCCTTCTGCTCACTTCTCTTTTGACCCTGTACAGGTTCGTTAGGGTTTCTGGACTTCAATGACCAAATCTAAAAATGAAGAGGCAGGCTGCACTATCCTTACGATTGCTTTCACTGCTGATATTCAACAATGCCAAAAGCCATTCTACCAAGTGTGTTTCTTGCTGGGTCTGCCTTGGTGATAAGTCCTCACTATCCATGAGTGGGCTGCAGGCAAACAGCAGACCCTGAGGGGACAGAGAGAGCCCCAAAGGCCCACCTCACCAACACCTTCCTGCAGAAGGAAGGAGGGCGAGGGTACCAGACAACCTTCTGTGTTCTGACACGGCACCAATCCGCCTTTGTTCTAATTGCCTCTATTTTTCTTTGCTCTTCTATATCATTTTGCTTAACATGGAAGAAGGTTTTTTAATGAGCTAGAATGATCTAATCAGCCACAAATGTGATGTCCTTGCCACATTGTTTATTGGTTTGTAGACAGCCAGTGCATCCCAGGGCCTGTCTTCAACTATATTGTAAAGCAGCAAATGGCTTGGGGGTCTGGGGAGTGCAAGTTGCTTACAAGTATTACGTGACTTTGGGAGTGTAAATTTCTAACCTAAATTTATTAGTCATTTTTTATAATAATTGACACATATCTTTTGAAAATACTAATAGATAAATCATTAAATTTTTCAGTTTATTTTGTTACATAAATGTTACATGGATTTTCTTTGGCAATCAAGTAAATTATTACAGTCTGTTTATATAAAATAAATATTTTATCTATTTATAAATAAACAGTATATATATGAAATAAACAATTAGAAGTATTTGCAGTAAAAAGTGAAAGTTTTTCTTAGTTGTCACAACCCTACTCCTGTCTCCAAAGATCATCTCAGCTATCCACTGGGTCTGTGTCCACACTGGCATCTTCCTCTGTATTCACACACATGCACATGTAAATATAAGACATGCCCCTATTATATGATTAGGCTCTGTGTCCCCACCCAAATCTTATCTTGAATTGGAAGCCCCAGGGGTTGGGGAGGAACCTGGTGGGAGGTGATTGGATCGTGGGGGTGGTTTACCCCTACCCCATGCTGTTCTCATGATAGTGAGTGAGTTCTCATAAGATCTGATGGTTTTATAAGGCAGTTTTCCCTGGATTCTCTCAAATTCTCTCTTTCACCTGCCACCATGTACCATGTGCCTGCTTCACCTCTGCCATGATTGTAAGTTTCCTGAGGCCTTCCCAGCCATGTGGAGCTGTGAGTCATTTAAACCTCTTTCCTTTGTAAACTGCCGAGTCTCAGGCAGTTCTTTCTAGCAGTGTGAGAACAGACGAATACACCCTAGGTTCTAGGTTGTCGTATGTGAACAGGTTACACTGTGTATGCTTCCCTGTACCATCCTCTAGTCACTTTGCTACACATCTTAAGGATTCTGCCTTGTCAGTGCTTATAGGTCAGTCTTAGATTGCCTATTTACCACAAATAATCTAACCATTCTATCACTGAAGAGTTTTGATTATACACAATATTGCATTGAAACATTTTATGCAGGTATCTATGCATATGTGTGACTAAATATATATTTGGTAGATACCAGGAACTGGAATTGTCAGGCTAGCATATGCACATTGAAAATTTTCATTCACACTGCCAAATTCCCGACACAACAAGGTTGTTCCATTTACATCCACGCAAACCTGTGTGACAGTCCTGTTGACGACATCGTCCCCGCTACACAGCAGACGGGGAAGGCTCTCATCCCCTTCCTCAGCAGTGGGAGTGCTACCGGCCCTCTCTGAGCCACAGTGGGAAACAAACCTGTTTCCACTTCAGTGTTAGTTTTGTGAAACAATGCAATTGTGGCTTTAGGTACATGTCTAAGAATAGCTAGTAAACTAGAGGATAGATTATTCATGTGATGTCTTTATCTATACATACTTCCAGGTTACAAATTGCATTTGCTGGTGTCCTTTTATGTGGTTAGTTGACATGTTGGAATCAGTGGTGTCTTACTTAGAAGTTGAAATTAAGGTTATATTCTAGGCCAGGCATGGTGATTCATGCCTGTAATCCCAGCACTTTGGGAGGCCGAGGCAGGCAGATCACTTAAGGTCAGGAGTTTGAGACCAGCCTGGCCAACATGGTGAAACCCCGTCTCTACTAAAACTATAAAAATTAGCTGGGTGTCTGGGTGAGCACCTGTAATCTCAGCTACTAGGGAGGTTGAAGCAGGAGAATCACTTGAACACAGGAGGTGGAGCTTGCAGTGAGCCAAGATCGTGCCACTGCACTCCAGCCTGGGTGACGAGCAAAACTCCACCTCAAAAAAAAAAAAAAAAAGTTATGTCCTAAATATTGATATTGCACAGGTGATCTACGGCAAAAACTGAGATGGGAATGTCCGTGTATGGGAGGTAGACCCGAACCTTTTTAATTGCCAAAAATACTTTCCAATGTTCCAAATAATTGAAGCCATCCCACAAATATGTAACTGACCTAGACTTAAAGCAAAGGGTACATGAGTGTTTAAAAACGAGAAGGGTGATTTTAAAACTGGCTGTACATTCTTTTCCTGATTTCCTACTTTTTCTTATTAAGATGTCCCTATTTATTTAATTATTTGATTATATATTTCCTTTTCATTGTCTATATGGTCATTATTATCTTCTGAAAATGACCATTTCTTTCTTTTCTCTGAAAAACTGAAAGTGGACATATCCTAAATCTCATCTCCAACTAGAAGCTGAGTGACTGTCTCATGAGCACAGCCTAATGCAAAGGCTGTGAGCAACGCAGTGAGCTAACTGAAATCCGTTTAACTTGGTACAAAGGAAACAAGCTCCTTATTCAGCCAGGAAAGGCTAATGGAGAACCTGCTATGTACTCCATAGTACAGGCAGCTTATTCATCTCAACCCAGCCCCCGAGCAAGGAGCTCCTACGGCTGTTAGTCAGTAGAGATGAGCTACAGAAACAGGCGGAAGAGCTGGAGATGCACCTGCCAATCACAATGGGGACAGGCGGCCAGGACTGCCCTCCAGCCCTGCTGCTGTGATGTGCTGTCCTCTCCAGCCATTATGGATCCCAAATTTGATTGCTGAAGGACACAGAAAACCTTAAAGCAGTTTTCCTGTTCAGACAGTATCGAGGCAAGGGTCCAGGAAAGTATGTAAAACCAGGCTCGGGCATCCTTGCCTTGCAGAGGCTCCTCTGAAACTCAGTTCACAGAGGATGGTTTCGCCTTCTCCTTACGGTGGTGTCTGAGGTGGGCTTTTGTCAGGCATTTGTCTGGTTCTTGCTGTTCAGTGTTATACGTCTGAGAAAGAAGCACTATCAACGTGTAGCTCTCATCTTTTAACCAATCTCACACGGAGCTTTTAGGGTGAAAAACAAAGAGCGTGACCCATTTCCACTAGTAGCTAATCCTACAGGTGTGATTCAGGTTACCAGACAGGCACAGGCACTGCCGTTTCAGCAACACTTAGCTAAACAAAAGGTCTTCTTGACAAGAAATCTTAGAAAAGCAATGATAGCAGGAAAGAATATGTGCACCTCAGATGCTGATACCTCCAGGAAAAGTCACCAGGAGCTGGCTTCTTTCCATCTGTGTCCCACAGGGGTGGTGGGCACCGCCCTGGCAAGAGAGGGTGGAGGAAGACAGGCTTGGTTCTTCCTTCCTTCAGCAGTGCCCCACGGTGGAGGCCCTTCTCAGAGAGGACATTTGCATGATAATTCCCGAAACCACTGAGCCAAGACTCAAAGCTACGAATTCACACTCAACATACAACACACATAGAAAGGAGGTCTGAGTGAGCCTCACAAGGAGAGCACCACACTTCTCTACTCATGGCTCACTTGCTGCCTGGGGATTCATATCAGGTGCCACAGCAGTGGGATTCTTACTTAAAGCATTTGGTGCTAAAAAACAGATTTAAACTTTTAGCCTAGCCCTGCTGTTGTCAGATACAGAACCTGAACTTCAGAGAGATTTATTCACTCAACAAATGTTCACACCAAGATTGGCTGAGATGGGTCTTGCTAACCCAGCAGTAATGACAGTCCATACAATCAATAACATTTGATGAATAGTTATATTTTTAAATCATAATATTATGTCAGTATCAATAATGTCAAGTTTATATGCTAGTTGCCTTAGTATAATCTGATTGAGGAAGTAGGGACCCAGTTAAAAAGGTCAAAATAAAAGAGGCCACCTCACAGTGAGTACCCACTAAGCGCACATTCATCCTCATCAAACTGCGTTGTCTGGGAGGGAGTCTCCACATGCGCTGTCACGTCTGTCTCTGTCTCACAAGGACGTGGGTCTGAATTGTGAGCATTAATGGTCAGAGTGCAAACCTAGGTAAAAGAAGCCATTGTTTGTCCAGGGTGAATGCTCCTGAATCTTTGTAGATGATTTCAAGGTGGTATGTCTGATGCAAAAATGTTTCAGGGGCATTTGCCTGAGGAAGAAACTGCAAGAATTCCTTGCATTTATACTATGTGGGTGTTGAGAAAAAGCCATAAAACACACCATTGTTATCAGAGATTTTCCAGTGTAGATAGCTGTGCACTGCTATAAATAAAACCCCAAATTATAATTTGTATTAAAAGCTAAGTGTATATTTTTAAATGTTACAAAATAACTCCAAACTGATATCTGTAGACTTTGCAACAAAACGAATACGCTAACTCTCATTCAAATTTTGAACCTTGATTTTTCAGGGTAATTTTAAAACCTCTCTAGCTCCATGTATCTATTTTGGCATTATTTTGTTCTTTATGTGTTTGTTTTAGTAAATTCTTATTAGGGGAAATAATAATAATTGTTATGGTTGCATTTTATTGGCTGCCTTTGTGTTTCCTAGGAAATCTTGTGTTATCTTATTTCAAGTTCCACTTGCTAAGCACTCTGGCTATCATCTTATTACAGGCGGGAAGTACAGTATCTGTTAGAGGATTTATGGTAATGCTGCTGCATCTAGCTGCTCATAAACAGCATGGGGAGCCCCTCAGGGTCTCTTCGTTCTCCTGACACACTTCACTGAGGCCCATTAACACTTGTCTGTTATTGCCATAGACGCACTTTAATAAGCCTCTTGGAATTAGGAGGTTTGCACCAGAAACAATGGCTTCCCTAACTGAGGCATCACCCTCTCACTTTCTGATTTTCTAGCTCATCATTTTGTTTAACAAAATAAATTCTCTCTTTGATAGTAGACTTTGAAATAATATGGATATTTCTTCTTCAAATTAAAACAGTCAATGGTTTCTAATACTGAGATAACATTGCAGAAAAACATGATAGAAAGTTAATAATTTCTACATTTCCATTAATGAAGGTAATTTCTTTTGTTGTTGTGATAGTAAGATAAAGTTGAGCTGACATTTGGAAGTGGCCTTGTCATCAGCAAACTATATTTTCTTATGAATGAAATTCTATTATTTCCAAAAAATAAACATGCAAAATATTTCTCCCCTATTAAATTGTTTTCTAATTACATCAAAGCGTTAAAGAAGCAATCATCTGAGAAATGGGCCAGTAATGGCTCAACCTAAATATTAAGTGCATATGGTTTTACCTTCAAACCTAGGACATGTATTTAAAACTCCTCAATATCTTAGGTTTCAAAGTAAATTAACTAAATGTGTAAAAAGTACTTCTAGTTAGCCATTATTAGAGTTTATATAACAAGGTTTCTGAGTAAAATTATTTACACATCTTCTCAAGGTGCAGTTACCTATCTTGAAATGTAGCTGTTGTGAGTGTCACAGCACAGGGGAACAAACCCTCCTTATGCCCTCCTCCCTTCTCTTACTTAAGGTATTTTGTGTTGTCGCTCTATCCTTTAGAAAATGAACTCAGAGGAGAATTGGTGAATTCCTATCCAGTGGGCATCTTCAAACCCTGGTCGACGGCGGAAGAATATCAGGTCCTGAGATCACCCACCCGGCGCGGCAACAGTGCAGGTACCTCTGCCCAGCACGGGGCTCCTGGTGACAGAGTGCAGGTGCCCCTGCCCAGCACGGGGCTTCTGGCCACAGTGCAGGTACCCCTGCCCAGCAAGGGGCTCCTGGCGACAGAGCACAGGTATCCCTGCCCAGCAAGGGGCTCCTGGTGACAGTGCAGGTACCCCTGCCCAGCACGGGGCTCCTGGCGACAGAGTACAGGTACCCCTGCCCAGCACGGGGCTCCTGGCCACAGAGTGCAGGTACTCCTGCCCAGCACGGGGCTCCCAGGATTGCTGCAGGCAGCCCCTCCTCTGGTGCTTGTCCCATTTGCTGCTTTGAGTAAATACTTTCATCTTAGCTGCCTGGTGCTTCATGGCTTCCGGGAGGCAGTTAAAAGTTGCATTGCGCATCCTCTCCAAAGAGACAATTCATGCCAAAAAGAGTCCTTTGCAGTTAAATTAGATGAGGCATCACTGCTGAAGTTCTATAGGGCAGGAATGATGTGAGCCTCCTTGTGGGTGCTGAGAGGATGCCTCGGGGTGGCCAGTGGGGAGGGAATGGTGCCCATGACCCTCACGTGGAAATGGCTCATGTAGAATCACTGCACACAGAATCTACACTTGCAGCAGAAGGAACTGGTTAGTAAAGCATGTGGGGTCTGATTTGGAGGATTGGGGAGGGAAGAGATTGGCGCATACCTAGTGGCTGCTGCCTGGCAGCACATATTTTTAGGGCTGGAGGTCGACAAGACTGAAATATGGCCCAAATCTCAGATCCTGTAAAGTCGTTGGTTCTGAACGAGTGAATGGAATGGGAACTCTGGTATTATCTTCTCAATACTCACATTTAGAAGTACTTTTATATATGTTACTCTGATGAATAGCAGAAGAAAATTCTGGTAAAAATGGCAATTTCTCAGCATGCTCTATAAGGAAAGCTGTGGTGTGCATTTTAAGGTTCACTGTGCAATTGTGATTTATTTGTCTGCCGACCGCCCCATTTGCCTGTCTGATAATAGAACTACTTACCACTGCACAGAAATTAGAGGCTGGGATTGTCTTCCATATGCTGCAAGCTTGTGGGTGCTGCAGGCTTTGAGAGCTTTATGAACTGCTGTAATAGGTCACAGTTGTTCTAATTATTTTCTCATCTATACCCTATTCATTTTCCCTGAAGAAACTCACTGCACTCATTGGTTCCGTTTGGGGAAGGCATTATGTTTAATCGTACATTTCCCCGAGGTTAAAACAACAACAACAACAACGACGACGACAAAAAGAAAAAAACAAAAGAAGCTATTCACATTGAGTGTTCATGCATACTTGGCTTCAGAAGCAGTTAAAGTTTCTGAACTGTAGGTGTTTCATACATCCAAGCTATCTTGTTTATCTCATCTCATTGAATTTTAGTAATAAGTTAAGGACGTTTAGTGAAATATTTTATAAGGGTGTAATGTTTACATGTGGCTTTGTTGAACTGGCATTCTGGCATTGAGTTAGATGTTCACATTTAAATAAGGATGCTCAATGTAGTTTGAGATAAAGCATTCAAATACAAATCTCACCCAGAATTAAATGAAACCACAAGGAGAAAGAGTAAGCTGGTTTTGCAAGCAACATCCATGTTTATACTTGGCTTTCAGTAGGGTTCTCAGCTGAGGCATCACCTTTGATTTTGAGAGATGTCCATTTTCAGGGTGGGAGAGCAAGTTGGACTTGGTTAGGGGAAAAAAGAGATCTCGAGGTTCTAGCAGCTGAAATCCTGTCCTGCTTTGCCCTGGAGACTGCCATCCTCAGTGGAGTGTCCGCCGGGACCCCTCCAGCCAGGCCCCGGGTGAGCAGACCCTTCTGGGTGTAAGACAAGCTTGTCACCCAAAGGTCTCCAGGGGCCTCCAGATCCAATTAGATAATAATAAGAGCAAGACGCACAACCAGTGCTTGCATTTCACGTCGATCTTTCCACTCAGTCCTCACTCTCTTCATTCAGTCCTCATCAGTCCTCACCAATCATTTCTCACTTTCGGGGCTATGGTAACAATGCATAAAGGTCACCATGACAGCCACACACTGTGAAGGGCGCAGACATAGAGCCTCTGATTTCTGGGATTTGTTATCCATGTTCTCATTTTTTAAAGATTAGTGTTTGACTCTCAGGGGATGGTCAATATCTATTTTCTCTATGTATGTCATAAGTACTTTAGTAAATGGGTGATAGAATGAAATATATGTAAAACAGTACATAGAAATAAATAGATTTAGCATTATAGAATGGGAATACATTGCTATGTTAATGAAAATACATCTTCACATAATAAGCTATAAAATGGCAATTTGTAAATCATCGTGTTACATAGACCTGGTGGGCCAACATTTTTTTGTAGAACCAGAGATGATTTTAGACTTTGTGGAGGGAGTGGTCTCCGTGCAACTGCTCATCACTGCCACCGCTGTCTGAAATGAGCCACAGGCAACAGCGAGCAAATGGCATGGCCACCTGACAATAAAACTTTATTTACAGCATCAGTAGAGAACAGATTTGGCCCGTGGGCCTAAGTTTGTCAACCCTTATTTACAGCGTCGGTAGAGAACAGATTTGGCCTGTGGGCTTGAGTTTGTCAACCCATGGTGAAGACTTAAGTTCCCAGTTCTGAAATAGCCACAGTCAGTTTTGGAAGAGAGATGTTCCCTGACTCCTCCCTGGGTGAGCAGATCCTTGCAAACTCGCATGACAGTCTAAAGCTACTGTCCACAGATGTGCTACTCCCAGGCAAGCCCTTTGCTGATACGTGAGCGTGGTACCCAGGGTGGAGCTAGCAGAAGCTTCCACAAAGTCTGAAAGAAGGATGAAGAGAGCAAGGTTGCCACCTCTGTGGAAATCAGAGCAGAATTCAAGAGACTCAAAAGATTTCAAGAGGAGAAAATGTTTCTAGTGCGTTTATGCCTGTATCACCCTGTCTGACTAGAAATATCATCCTGAAAACTGTGTGGGATGTGAAACCAAACTAAATCCAACTGGAAGGGGTGTTTCCACGCCTGGATACAGAGGGAGTTCTGTCCATAAAACCGCGCATAAGCCAAAAGAAAACATCTTCCCGGAAGGGTGAGGGATGCCGGTCAGCAGTCCGTGGGGCAGAGCCGGGCGTGACCACTTGACAGGACCAGGCCACACAACCGGGTGGGGTGGGATTCCATTCGGCCTGTTTTCCCACATCCTCTGCAACTACAAAACAAAAATGTAAACATGTGAATTTAAAAAAAAACCATAGCAAACATGGAGAATAAAATACCAAACACAAAAGAGAACGATTTCCGGTTGCAGGGGACTGTATGCCACCAGCTCGATAAAAAGGTTAATGCTGAAAAAGATGTTAACGATGCCGTAGATGTTTTTAAAGCCTCCTTATGTTTGCCTCGGACTTTAAAAAATCTTATTTGGCATGTGAATCTGTATCATATGTGATTTAGCCAAAACACAGAGTATTAGTTGACATTTTCCACTGAGATGACTTGGTAGAATCTGTGTATCTTTAAGGTAGTATTGTACATGGTAATACATTATTACAGAAAAAGCCAAAAGAGGTGATTGAGAGAGCGGAAACACAACCTGCAGAGTGTGCTCCTACCACACTGCCCAAGGAGCTTAGAGAGAAAAGGTCTGCTGTTCCTGTAAGTAGTTCAGTGTCCAGCAGATATTTCCTAGAAAGTTATAGGATGTCAGACTGGAGAACAAATCCTAATTCTACCCCATCATCTGCAGAGAAGTTGCTTGTCTCCTTGAACCTGAGTTTCAGTTTCCCCATCAGTAAAATGGACATAATAATTGCTTCTTAATAGAACTGTTACAAGGATTACATGTTATAAGTGTCTAAATCACTAAATTTAGTCCTTGAAACACAGAAGATGTTTTAGAATTTCCCAGAACTGTATTGTTTTTAAAATAAGAAGTGGACAGAGGTACCAGGTTCCCCTTCAGATAGCAGCTCCCCAGTGAAGACCACCAACTGCATCACCTGGCTCTAGGGCCTCGGGACTGAGCATTAGAAAGTTTTGAGTTGGGTCTGGCCTCCATTATTTCTTGGAAGTAAAAACTCTTGGAAAAAGGAGAATTGCTCTCAGGTAGCAGAAGCACAAACAACCGAGAACACTGATTCTGGATTTGGAGTAAAACACGCTCAGGGCTGACCACTCTCCATGTCAGCATCTTTTATCCAAAGCACTTCAGGGTCATCTGAAGCATTTGGAGAGCTTGGGGCACTGAAGGTGGAGAGTGGCTTATTTGTGTACCCAGCTCTCAGCACATTGTTTGCTATGTCTATTGTGTAGAGACACCCAAAAAATATCAGTCTCAGCAATGGATGAGTGCGTTACCTTACTGTGTAAAGCCTTGTTTTCATTTGCTCACAATTTAGAAACAGCTGATGTGCAAGGACCTGCAGTAAGTGTATGAAGTGTGAAAGTAAGATCCAGAACTTTCCATATGCACCCCAACACACCTAACAAGTGCTTTTAACTGAAGGTCAAAAGTAGCAGAAAGAATTACTTTTTATGTTCGGCTATGACTTGTCACTTGGCTTCCTAGCATGCACACGTAGTACTCTTTTAAATGAAACACAATGCACACCCTCATCACACAAACTTCCGTCTTTTTTACTGCACATCCCTCTGACCTGGAGCCTCTGGGATGCCTGTGCTTCCTCCTCCTGTTGAGCCCACACCGTTCTGCAGAGTTACTCATAGATCTACATGTGCCTCATAGGTCTACACACACTGATCCCACCGATGTGAAGTCACCTGTTTTTTTGAGTTTCTCATTTGTGGTTGTTTGTAGGTGCAAGTGAAGGGATAAAATTTTAACACATATCTAAATGAAGTAAATGCCTATTTTTTTTTAAAATAAAATGCATTGTTAAGTGAATTATTTGAAATGCCCCATCCATACACACAACCTATGCATTTATATAACGTATGTTTGAGTCAACTACTACATGCCAGATGTTATATAGAAATGGAATCAGAGAATTCTGCAGAAAAGCTGTTCTTGTTGAGCCATTTAATAAGGGTGAGAGTATAACAACAACCACAACAAGAGAACACCTGGAGAAGGAGCTGCAAAGTCAGGAGGATGAAGCCACCCCAAAGGGGAGAATCTGAGTGTTCCTGGAGAAGGCGTGGAGGGCTGGAGAGTTACCTCCCAGGCTGGCTCCAAGGATGTCTTCTGACTTAGACAAGCACAGTTCAGATGTGGTAACAGCATCAGGAAAGGCCAGAGGTTTGGGAGCGGGAAGCGGGAGGGAAGGCAGGGTGGGCGTGGTGAGTTTAGGTTGAGCTCTGTAGATGGTGAGAGACCATGGGTGAGTTTAAGCAAAGAGGAGACAGGGTTTGATTTCCCAGTGTGAAGTGTGGATTGGAGGAGCTAACGCCAGTGCCTGGAGGACAGGGAGCTGTTGACAGAGTCCAGGAGAAGTTGTTCAGGGTCTCCAGGAAGACAGAGGTATTTGGTTTGAAGAAGGTGAAGGTGTGTGTGGTGGGCTTACAGTGCAGCAACGCTGTGCAGATCCAGGTGGGATTCAGACATCATTGCGTCCAACAGAGGAGAAGAGCAAAAAGGCTTCACAGTACAGCTTTGAAAACATATACAAATTCTACACTCACCCCTCAAAACCTGGGGGTTTCATATGTAAAACAGTGAGTGTTTCCCACGTCACAGGGTCATTGAGGGTTACACACACTAATGCCTGTAAAACCTGCAGCGCAGCGGCTGGCAAGAAGCACCAGCCCTTTAAACCCTGGTTACCCTCATTATTATTCATAAAGAACCCAAGACACACTTGCCTCGCCATAAAAGACGGAGGCGGAAGTGACCTGATTTACATCTGTGTTATGCTTTATGCTATTCAATCAAAGTGCCTTCACTTACTATGCAGCTATGTGGAAAATGACGCACTCTGAACCCATGCAGAAAGATTTTAAGAACATTTTGTTAAAGAAAAAAGCAGGATGCAGAAGAGAAGCAAAACTATGACTTCGCACAAACATATGTATTTGCTTGTATTTGCATAAAAAATATAGGATAGACAAACTAAAAAAATGTTTTTATGTGGGGGTTACTAAAGGGAAAGGCAGGTTGAGGGGAAATGTTTTCATTGTTCTTGTTCATTCATTTCTTAATTTGTTTCTTTATTTTTGAATGATGTAAATGTATCTCATATTCAAAAAACAAAATTTAAAAGAAACGTGAAAGAGTACTTTCCCATAACCAATCTAATGTATCCTCACTGGCCCTTTGTTTTAGGTAGAAAGGGATTATTCATGCAGTTTTACAAATAAGGAGACTGAGGATCCATAGCTTAAATGACTTGACCAAGGTCGCAGCCAGAGAATAACAGCTCTGGATTTCAATTCTGACTCTGAAACCCATGCATTGCCACCCCTTCTCCCCTCATTATAATACACAGTTATGCATGTAGAGTCTTATTCAATATTTATTGCTAACATAGAGATGTATCAATCTAAATAGGATCAGAGCTAAGTGACAGGAGTAGATAAACAAAATGGCAGTGATGGTGGTGGAGGCTGGGAGGGAGGCCATAGGAGAGTGTTTGAAGAGGGCTTCCTGTTTAATGAGGACTTATCTGAGTGACCTGTAGACAAAACAGCCTCGCTGGTTCATGAGTTTATAACGGTGGGAGAGAGAGGAGGGAAGGAAGAAAACAGGGAGGCAGGCTAGATAATTAAGAAAGGAAATAAGGAGACGAGGAAGGAAATAAATATAAGAAGAGGGAGAAATTCTCCTATCGGATTTTCTAGTTAACAACGTCTGCCTAATAAACACAATTACCTTTTAATGACTTTAGTTTTCCCCATAGCTCTCATAATATTTCATGCATGCTCTTCTTTCTAAAATTCTGTACTTTAAAACTTTACAAAGTAGAAAAATAAAAGATTTTATTTTTTTACAAAGTAGAAAAATAAAAGATTTTATTTTTTTACAAAGTAGAAAAATAAAAGATTTTATTATTTACAAAGTAGAAAAATAAAAGATTTACACAGTAGAAAAATAAAAATTTACAAAGTAGAAAAATAAAAGATTTTATTATTACTTATTTACTTCTTCAATAATAAAGATCAGAATCTCAAAATTATTTCTAAAAAGTATTTTTGAATACAACATTCAAGAAACAGCTATGAGATGACAACGTGAGAAAACAGCAGCAATTGTGGAAGAAATTCTTTAGAATAATAAAGGAAAACTTTATTTTCCTTTTATATATCCTAGTTATGTTTTATACATTAAAACAGCTATAAAGGACATATGGACAGTTGGGGAAATGTGAATATTCCCAATATTCTGTATATTTTATGATTTAAATAATATTAACTTCCTTTTCTGTTGAAATTACGCATTGGTGATGTGAGAGAATGTGTTTTCTTCTTAGAAGATAAATGTTGACATATTTAGGTGTGAGCTTGCCACAATGTCTGTGAGGTTCAGGAAAATGTGTGTGGCATGTGGATGTCTGTGGTCACCTGTGTGCACGTGTGTGTGTGTGTGTATGTGCATGTGTATGTGTGTATGTGTGCACGTGTGTGTGTGTGTGTGTGATTGGTTTGTGTACCCCACCCGTACTTGGTGTCTAATATGGACAAAGTTGCAAAGTAACCTTACTGCATCCATTTCCTTACAGACATACTTTAAACTGTCAGAGGTAGATCATAGAACTTGAAATCTCCTTTCCAACTTAAGGAAATACTAATTGTCTTTGGCTGGGGAGGCCCGTGAGCTCCACTTCTGGTGCCCCTGGAGAGCTGGCGCAGGCCCCCCTTCCAGCAGAGACTCATCCAGGAAAGCAGCTGGCAGGCCTTGACTGCCCCTTACCTACAGGTTAGGAGGAAAGAGCCCCGCCAAACAGTTTTCTAAGCCAAAGTGTTTATTGGTGAAGCTGCAGGTGAACTTTGAGTGCCCTTCTTTCCTTCTGTCACAGTGCATTGATGTGTTCCATGTCCAATTCATGAAAATAAACTGTTCTAGCAGGACACTGTGTTTGGAAACTTGTGTACATGGAATGCAGTCCTAAAGGCAAGGGCTAAAGGCAAGCTCTGTCTTTGAGCAACGGCGTGTATGTGCTTCTGAAAACCATGTCTATCGTCTGTTGACAGCACGTGTCTTTCTTTCATATGCCCTGAAAGCACGTTGCAGAATGTCACAAGTTTATGCAGATGGTATTTCTTCTCATTCATTCCCACACAGAAAATAAAAAGGATAGTTGGTCAACTGACAATCTGGGGTGGCTACCCTATGTGAGGCATTGTGCTAAGTCTTGGAAAGTAACCAAAAAATGAGAGCCAGTGTTGACACCCTCAGTGGCTCAGAAGTCAGGTGTTTAGGAAACTCGGACAGCTCGGACCCACACTGATGAAGCAGCAAAGAGATGTCATGATCCCCACGTGTTTTGTTCATAGTCGTGCAAGCCACCCTCATCCAAACAGGATGCATAAAACAGGTGTTAGATAAAAACAAAATGAAACACAAATGGCAGCAGGAAATGATAAGTTCCAAGGGAATACTTAAAAGACCTAAAAAAGTAAAACCACAGGAAGGAAGAAATGAAGAAAGGGAAAGAGGAAGAGGGTTCAGAAGACAAATAATATGGACATAACTATAAGAAAAAAACACAATGAAAAACAAAAAACAAACGCCTATTCACATATATGGCCTTAAACACTCCAACAGCTTTACTGCATCACCACAATCAAATCATCTGAATTAGCCAAGTTCATTAAAAAGAGCTAAATTACGTACACTATTTCTGTTTAATATCCATAAGAAATTAAATTTATATAAATTATATGTATTCTTTTATAAAAATATGTGTATTGCTGTAGGGGATGATATTGAGGTCATTTTTCACTACAAGAAACATGCATGAATAAGAATTATGAGGAAAAAAATTATTTCTCTCAATGAAAAAGAGAAGCAAGAACTTTGCTCACAGACATAAAATTTACACCTGGTCCCATTTCCTCTTTGTCATGGACCACTAACAATTTCCTGGGCATGTTGAGGCAAAGAATCCATTCAGATCTTATGACAGCACAGGAGGTCGAAGTCTTTTTGTTTGTGTTGTTTTGTTTCTTTCTTTTTTTTTTTTTTCTGAGACGGAGTCTCACTCTTTCACCCAGGCTGGAGTGCAGTGGCGCTATCTCAGTATCGGCTCACTGCAAGCCCCGCCTCCTGGGTTCATGCCTTTCTCCTGCCTCAGCCTCCCGAGTAGCTGGGACTACAGGCGCCCGCCACCGCACCCCGCTAATTTTTTTTTTTTTGTATTTTTATTAGAGATGGGGTTTCACCGTGTTAGCCAGGATGGTCTCGATCTCCTGACCTCATGATCCACCCGCCTCGGCCTCCCAAAGTGCTGGGATTACAGGTGTGAGCCACTGCGCCCGGCCTGTTTTGTTTCTTACTTAATTGCAACTACTGTCAGGCAACATAAATTGTATTTCAGTGATAAGTCTTCAAAATGCCTTGTCACAGATTTGCAACTGATGATTTGCTCTTACAGAAAATATGAATAAGTATAACTGAGGCAGGTAGGGTAAGAGATAGCATCTTAGCCAGCAGGGTGGTGATGAAGGCCCCCACCTCGGGTCTCGAACAGAGATCAGAGCCCCATGTAGAAAGAAAAACAAGGTTGGGGGTTCTAATGGAGGTGGTCCCAGAACCGTTCTTTAAACAATGCTCATTTAGGGTCAGGTGGTCCTGCTGGTAGTTTCAGAAGCAGGTGTACTAGGTGGAGTTTATTCTGCAGATAGACCCACTTAGCCAAGATCTTATTTCTACATTCTACCTGGAGCTCTGATCTCCATTGAAGACCTAATGGGGTGGTAATGAAGGCCTCCACTTCTACTTTTATCAGTGCGGGCAGTAAATTTATTTGCCACCTTTCCAAGGTCACGGGGTTACAGATCAAGAGGTCACAGGGTGGCAAGTCAAGTTACTGCGAGCACTGATAAAAGTAGAAGTCAAACAGCCACCTGAGAGCAAGAGAACATTTCCGACGCCTGTAAATGTGGCCAGGATCCGAATGAGTTGGAATAGACTAGGCTGTTTAAAACATGAATTCAGAAATGAACTCAGAAAGCAGAACCCAGATAAAAGTTTATTCCTTGCTCATGTCACAACTTAATGCCAGCTGGGCAGCCCCTTCAGTGTGTGGCCCTGCCCTGCGGAATCTGAGTCTTCCAGAAATTAGCAGGGCCATGAAAACCGTGCAGCACGCTTTGGGCCAGGCCACAGTGTTCCCTTAGTCAGAGTCAGATCCAGACCCCAATCCACTGCCCTGGAAACTGGGAGGTGCAGGCATCCTGTGTGCCCAGGAAGAGGGGTGACCTGGATATGAGCAGAGCCTCAGCCCTGCTGCCCTCTGAGGGGTGAGTCAGCAAGGGCTCAGCTGCTGTGGACCACGAGCACCACCTGCATTCCTGCCCGACCTCCTTCTCTGTGGACCGCGGGCACTGTCTGTATTACTACCCGATCCCTTTTCTCTGTGGACCCTAGACACCACCTGCATTCCCACCTGACCCCTTTCTCCGTGGACCCCAGGCACCACCTGCATTCCCACCTGACCTTCTCTGTGGACCGCAGGCACTGTCTGCATTCCCTACCTACCCACCCCACTTCCCGTGTTCTAACTTGGTTCTGTTGCTAATATCATCTGGCGCCCCATGGAGGTCTGCCTTCAGGGAGGACTCTGGTGAGCTTGCTGGTCTGAGCTGAGTTTGGAGTCCAAATTCATTTGTGTTTCCTGCAGAGATGCACAGACTGACTTCTGGCCGGAAACACTGGTCTGTGAAATTGGACATTGGCTAAGCGAGTCTATCCTGAACGTAAACGCCACCAAGTGTGCCTGCTTCCGAAACTACCAGGAAGATCACCTGGCCCTAAACCAGTATTCAAAGAACGGTTCTCGGACCACTTCCGTTAGAACCCCAACTTTGCTTTTCATTCTCCTTGGAGCTCCATTCGAGTCCTAAGGTATCAGAATTTCTAGTATAGGGCCTGGATATAAAAAATTTTAATAAGTACCCCACAAATTCATATGCACATTAATGCAGAGTTCCTGCCCAGAGTGACAGCACATTCACTGAGCTGATGCATCCACCTCTGAGGCTGCTGGGAGCTGGCGTCCCCAGCACCATCTTGCTCTATTGCCGCATACCCAGGGAGCTGGGTTCTTTGTCTTTGTTTCTTCATTTAATTTTGTCAACTGAGACCTGGGAAATGTAATGACACATCCTTCTCATTTCAAGTTCTTTATGTTATGTAAAATGATAAAAACATTTTACAATAGAAGGATTCAACATAGGCACAAGTGGGGCTGAGCCCCAAATATACATCTTCAGGCTCCCAGAGTGGCCTCACTTGTTTCATTGATACCCGACCATTCTTCCTCGTGCAGGCACGGGTCACTCTGAAGCAAATCCAAGTGAGCATGTAATTTTAGCTAGAAATAATTTAGCATAAATTCCTAAAAATAATAGTTCTTTTTACAAAAACATAACCACCCATCAAACATTACAAAAAGTTCTTGTTATCAAATATCCAAGCAGGATACACATTTCCCATATGGTCTCACAAATATATTAATACAGTTTGGTTTTTGTTTTGTTTTGTTTTGTTTGAGATGGAGTCTCTCTCCATTGCCCAGGCTGGAGTGCAGTGGTGCAATCTCGGCTCACTGCAACCTCTGCCTCCCGGGTTCAAGCAATTCTCAGCCTCCCGAGTAGCTGGGACTACAGAACGCACCACCATGCCTGGCTAGTTTTTGTATTTTTTTTTAGTAGAGATGGGGTTTCACCACGTTGGGCAGGATGGTCTCAAACTCCTGACCTCAAGTGATCCGCCCGCCTTGGCCTCCCAAAGTGCTGGGATTACAGGTGTGAGCCACTGTGCCTGGCCCAGTTTGTTTTTGAATTGGAATCTAAATAAGATCCACAGTGGCATCTTACTGACATGTGTTTTGAATCCTCTTCTTTGGTCTACATGGCCTTTCCTTCCTTCTCCTCCCTGCTTTATGTCTTGTGACTTATTTCTTGAATAAGCTGGGCAGAGGGTACCCCAGTCTGTGTTTTCCTGAGGTCACTTCTTTGGTGCCATTTAACATGTTCCTCTGACCTCTGAGTTTCCTGCAAACTGGTGGTTAATGCAGAGACCTAAGCCACCGCAGCTTTGATCTTGTGGCATCTTCTTGAGAAGATGGCGTGCAATGTCTGGTTGCCTCCCATTCTGTAGCCTTACAGTTGGCAGCACAGGGACGCATGTTGCCCAGGTTGTCAGCCTGACCAAACTATTAGGAAGTCTCCCCTCAACCCTCTCACCTCATGGCTTTAGCAGCCAGTGATGCCCATGGCCTACATCCAGCATTTATCCAAGGTTACAGATGATACTCTATCATTCTTAATTTATTATTCAGAGGACTTCTCTACAGAAAACGTTCCTTCATCAACCATTTGGTTTCTATTATATAAAAATCAAAGTAAATGCTTTTCTTGCTTTACCACTTTTTCAAATAATAGTATTTTTTCTCTTCCAATGAGAAATACCAACACTAAAAATGTGAACAGACATGTACTGAAGCAAACATTTGGTATCTCCTGAGGTTTTGTTTTTGTTTGCAAAGCCTACATCGTCTTTCTTGTGCACATGCTACTCACGATGATGAAAGTCAGAACTAACATGCAATGAGTGTGGAAGATCGTCATGTGCTATGTGAGAGGCACATGTATTACCTCGTTAAACTTCTCCACACCCCATGAGGTTGATACTATGATCATCCTCATCTGCAGACGAGGAAACTGAGACACAGAGAGACATGGGTTGCCGCTCACCCATGGCCACACAGCTGTTACGTGACAGACCTGGGTGCTATCGCAGGGTGTCCAGCCTGGAGCTCCTGCCCAGCACCTGAGCACTTTGGGCTTTTGAATTCACTCACAGCCTGCTGAGTGTTTATGAGGGTAAGGAGAGAAAGAAGAAAAAGTAGCAAACAGAAGAGCCCCCCAGAGGAAATGCAAATGATCAACAATTTAATGCAAAGGTACTAGGCAAGGTAATAGCACAGGGCTTTTCAAGGTCATCTGCTTGGTTATCTGGGCCGAAGGCTGCGAGGGCTTTAATGGCCAGAAGTTGCTAATGGCCTTTCTGTCCTTTGAAGAGATATTCAATTCTCCAGGGGCATCCAGGGGGATCCACGCCCCCTCGCTAAGGCAGCTCCCAGGCTGGCATCGGCCACCTCCTAGTCGGCAATCTCAACACAGGCCTGTGGGTGAAGAGGGTGCTGGTCTGAACACAGCCCGCGCTCAGCAGCGAGGTGCTCCCCAGCGTCTGGGGATGGGGCAGGAAAGCCAGGCGAGATCCCACACCACACCTGGTGTGTGTTAATTAAGGGAGTTTCCGGAGCTTTTGGTTTGAGCGCCTCTCACCTCCATTTAAAGCACATCTGTGCACCTAATTAAAACACGCATTTGCAGTGGAGAGGAGGGTGTGTTCAGTGCCGACACCTAAGAGTTTTGAGGACCCCGAAGAGACCATGAATACTGGACCCTTGACCCCATTTCCAAGTTAGCGATTCCCATGTGGACTCAATAAGGATTGCCTAGTATGCTGCCTCCCTTCCTTTTTAGCACAGGCTGAAAAGCAGGTCTGTCACCGTCACCCCGACAGCCCCCTGCTTCACCAAGTATTTTCCTGGGAGTCTCAGGAGCTCTTCACATGTCCCCGTGCCGGCTGATTGCTACAGCAACCTGCGGATTGTGGAAGTGAGATGTGGGCAGGTGGAAACTTGTCATGATGCACTGAGTGTTTTAGATGTTAGGTTAGACTTCTTCTCCTACAAGTGCTGCATATGTGCTGTAACACCGATCCTGAGACAAGGTACACAACAAAATGCCCTATAGGTAAGCGTGCAAATGGCACGAGGCCCTGGAGCCCTTCAGCAGGAAATACCAGCATTCACCCCACCCCATCACCCCTTCCCTGGAGCAGAGGCTCTGGGTCTGCCTGCGCTGTCTGCCTGTCGGTGAAAGACACGTGTCATCATAGACCATTGCTTTCTGCTTGCCTAATCCTCCATGTTGATATTAAGGTCTTTATATCCAATTTCAAGTGTGTGTGTGTGTGTGTGTGTGTGTACTTGAATGTTTGTGCATCTGTATGTGCAGTGTGTGCACCCGTGTCCACCTACGCGTGTGTGTGTGTGTGTGTGTGTGTGTGTGTTTATGCCATGGGAGGAGAGAGAGGAGCAGAACTGTGACTGAATAAAGAGCCATGTGCCGATATGAATTGCATTTTGATTCAGGACAGTGACCAACCCCAGCTCAAGGTTTCTGCTTTTAGTCACTTAAGTGCAAAGAAGAAAGGAGCGATCTCATGGTGCGCATTTGTGATAGGCCCCTGCAGGCCTTGTCAGGCGCAGCCCAGGAATGACAGCCTGGAACATGCAAATTACTGCTGAGGTGACTGCATGCCAAACACACTGTTTCACAGCTCCCCGGGAGTCTGCCAAACCTTTCCTTGCAGATTTTTTTCTAGGAAACAATGGCAGGGAATCAGAAGTGGGTTTTTTTTCCTTCTTCTTCTTTTAAAATAAAATCTGCCTAGCAAGGGCCA
This sequence comes from Homo sapiens, assembly GCF_000001405.40. Classification (NCBI taxonomy): domain Eukaryota; kingdom Metazoa; phylum Chordata; class Mammalia; order Primates; family Hominidae; genus Homo; species Homo sapiens. The sequence goes on along the minus strand of NC_000002.12, from coordinate 2,158,225 downwards.
GGGCATATATAAAGTTAGTCTAACTGATATTGCTTCAGAACCCACTTGCTACACTGTGTGGTCTCGGTGTGTCTGCACATGGTTCCTGTCTTGCAAGGCTGTGTGATTGTGGACAAAGGCAGATGAAATGAGGCTTCAACCCATATGGAAGGTAAACTGAGTCTCCAGAAGGAATGTTGCTGAAGAAAATATTGGAAAGGGCAAGAGACCTAGGAATGGAGAAAGGAGCCAGGAGAGAAGCTCCCTGCAGAGCTGAAGCCTGACCTAGATATGAGGTCTCTCTGGTGCGAGGCCTCCACAGAGTCTGGCTCTGTGGATCCGTTGTCTGCTATGAAAATTTAGGGACATAAGACTGGATCTACCCTTTGAGAGATGCTGACTGCTGCACCAAAAAGCCCAAAGACCTGCTGGTGTGATGCAGTCTCAGTGTGGAAAAATATTTCTATGACAACAGACATTTTCTTTTAAAATTAAATGAGAGCAAAGCAAACCATGCATATCCTATAAAAGAAGCAGATGAATGCATAGGAAGGGAAACAATGGCAGTTTTGCTCCAGTGGAAGGCCCAGGAGGCGTGTCTCAATGTTTCATCTCCTGCCTTTCCTCATATGCTCAGCACATGTATCATCTGACTTTCTCACTGGCCTCTGACATTGCCAAGAATGAAGATAAAAAGATACTACAAGTCACTGCACTTTGTGAAAATTGTAATGAAATTAAAATATTAACCATTGAACCTGAACTAATGGCAGCTCCCTCCCACCTCTGCTTTTCCCCTAAAAGTGACAAAAAATCTCCAGAATAATAAAGAAATTATTATTAAATGGTTATTTTACAAAAGTCTAGTCCATGGACATATTAAGTTTGTTTAAGTACTTGGTAAAATTATGAAGTGCCTGATATGTCATTGTTAAACTAATGAAGCAAAGTTATGAATAATAATAATGCCTTATATCTATATATACCATTTTTACAGTGCTTTCACATAGATTATATGATTTCATTATATTTTACAGGCTGAGATAAAACTTAAAACGTAATTATTCTTACAATTTTAGACAGTAGGTTCACTGATCTGCTTGATTGTTTTATTTTATAAAAATGTACTCTGTGCTTCTAAATGAGTAATAAGCCATTCAGACTGTGACGTCATCAGCATTTCAGCAGGACACTTATTTTGCCGAACCCATTGTAACATGGTCAAAACTCTGTTGTGCCTAAACGGGCTTGAATGAAATCTTGAGATTTTCCCCCAAACGGATGGAAACAAATGGAAAACAAAAACAGCTTTGTTTTCTAAAGAAACCTTGACAAGGTCCCATTAAAACATGTATATTTTTCCTCAGTCTCCCTCGAGACCTCCCCGATGATCCTGCTGTCTCAGCAGGGCTCTCCAACAGCCGCTTTGCTCTGTTCCCAAGATGACAGCTCTTGCTCAGCACTGGGAGGGACCCTCTTGTGATGTCAGGTGTCCCTGGGGCCCCGGAGGCCATTGCCCCAATAGTGTAGTCTGAGGTTCAGCAGAGAGTGCTACCTCCTTCCTTCCTTCACCTCTGCCAACGTAAGCGTAGATATAAAAAAGCAGAAAGCCAGCCTTCGTCTCCTCTGGTAAGGGCAAAAACACTTTAATGGCACCAATGAATTGAGCACAATAAACTTCTAATCTACATTAAATTTTTAAACTGGACTTTTTTCAAATTTGCTTATGAGAAAGGAATAAGCTGAGATTTAGTAAACATATTTTACATAATTTGGCCAGTCAGTGCCTTGTGCTCTCTTGCTATGCGAGGATACAGCTGGCAGCTACGTTGACTTTAAGACTGCACACTCAGTTCTCTCCCCTGTTGGGGGCTGCAACCTGTGTTATTGTTTAATATAGTCACAGCTTCTAGAAGAACATAACTCCTCAGCAGCCTTGCCTTCAGGTTGGAACTAAAAGTGTAAGAAGTCACTGGAATATCAATAGGTTTCTGATAAACAAGTAAATGTCCCTGAGTCTATGAGCTCTAATTCAGCCTCCTCCTAGCACAGCTTCCCAGCCGGGATATTCCAAATTTTAGGTTATTTTTACAAGATTAATAGGTTTTAATATATATTTTACAAGCTCACTTTACACTAAGGAAGAACACATTTAAGGTAATAATACCTTTTTAAAATTTATTTATCCACCTACATACCTGTCTATTCTGCAGCCGAGAGTGCTTAGTGATTTTTTGTCACTATGGGTCACTATAGGGTCACTATGAAGACCCTAGAATTAGATCCCATCTCCTTTTCATATGTGACAGAGTGGGGCTTAGCGAGGTGAATCACAGGGTTGGAGTTGCACACACAGCAAATCATGGAACATGGTTTTGAACCTCCAGATGCCTGGAACCAACTCTCATGACAGGAGTAAGGAGTGATGTTGATGGCTCCGTGGTGAAAGATGATGTGAACATTTAAAAAGTTGGTATTAGTGGCTCCATACAGCTCCATGAGGACGTCCAGCATCCCCCCGACACAGTGGGCATAGCAATTCCTTGAGTCATCAGCAGAAAGTAACCTTGTGTCTGGGGCATCCCATTTAGCATGCAATAAAGCTTGTAAATTGAAGGCAACATATTGCAATGGGGAGATTGAGGGTTTTAAATTTAGCAAGACCTGGGTTCAAATCTTGACTCCAGGACACACTGGTTTGAACAAGTTTGACTTCATGAATAAACGAAGGATTGTGCTGAGAATAGATGAGATGACATACATCATAGTTCTGGTTTGGTGTCTGACACATAATAGACCACCAGGAAATTATAGGTGTTAATAGACAGAAAAATATTTTCATCTTACATGGCTTATATTAAAAAACAAGATTTCAAGAAGATGGTTGGCTCCTGTCTTAATGTTCAGAAAGGCAGAGGCTTTGCTCTCGTTTCCCTGAGTCCCATCTGTGCTATCCAGGAGCCACTTTGGATACTTTAGATATTTGGTGATCACAACACAGAAGTTTTTAAATTTACCAATTATAACAATTCAGTCCAACACTTTTAAGAGAAAAATTTTTCTGTGGTAACTTCTATGAATTTAACTCTGGCATTGATTGATTGATTGATTGATTGATTGAGATGGAGTTTCACTCTTGTTGCCCAGGCTGCAGTGCAATGGCACGATCTTGGCTCACTGCAACCTCTGCCTCCCAGGTTCAAGAGATTCTCCTGCCTCAGCCTCCCGAGTAGCTGGGATTACAGGCATGCACCACCATGCCTGGCTAATTTTTGTATTTTTAGTAGAGATAAGGTCTCTCCATGTTGGTCAGGCTGGTCTTGAACTCCCAACCTCAGGTGATTTGCCTGCCTCAGCCTCCCAAAGTGTTGGGATTATAGGCATGAGCCACTGCACCCGGCCGCATTTATTTTCTTAACTTTTAATTTCAGGGGTACATGTGCAGGTTTGTTCCATAGGTAAACTCGTGTCACAGGGGTTTGTTGTACAGATTATTTCATCACCCAGGCATTAGGTCTAGCACCTTAGTTATTTTTCCTGCTCCTCTCCCTCCTATCACTCTCTACCCTCAAGAAGGCCTCAGTGTCTTTTGTTCCTCTCTATGTGTTCATGTATTCTCTTCATTCAAGTCCCACTTATAAGTGAGAACATGCGGTATTTGGTTTTCTGCTCCTGCATTAGTTTGCTAGGATAATGGCCTCCAGCTCCATCCATGTTTCTGCAAAGAACGTGATCTCATTCTTTTTATAGCTGCATAGTATTCCATGGTGTATATGTACCACATTTTCTTTATCCAGTCTACTATTGATAGGCATTTAGGTTGATTCCATGTCTTTGCTATTGTGAATAGTGCTGCAATGAATAGACTCTAGTATCTATTCTTTATTCCTTAGTTTTAGATGTCACCACGGGTTTTAAGTTTCCTAGCTATTGAGTTAATAAATCTTCATTAACCTAGGTATCATTCAGGTAAAGTAGCTCACCCAACAGATGGTGAGTGGGTTTCAAATCCTGGGACTAAGAAACCTATGAGTTAGGAGGGTTTCTTCTTCCTCCCCAGCGTCATTGGGCATCAGCCCTCCCAGTGCAAACAGGAGTAGAGAACAGGGACGTAAACCTCAGGCGGAAGTGTCACCAATCTTCAAAACGCCCGCTGAGCCCCTTAGGAGGACAAAACATTTACAGTGGACTAAGGCTCCAGAGCCAGCCCCTCGGGCAGCACCTCCTGCCATCCGGTCCAGAGGCCCTCTCCCATCTCTTCTTCACTTGCCTGCCTGTCTGGCCTTGTCCCTCTCCGGCACTAGTCCACCAGCAGCCTCATCAGCACACTTCTCAGTACCTCTCACACGCTGCACCCGGGGGTTCCTCCGTGTTCGTTCTGCTGTTCCCTCCCTCAGCCCTTGCTGCCAACCTCTTCAGATGCCACCCGACACCAGCTGCTGGCGAGCCCACCATCCTCTCTCATGGAAACCCACTCAGAGAGTCTTCCTTTCCTCTATTCAGGCCGGCCTCCAGTCAGCTGGCTTGCTGGAATACAAACTCAGTATAAACTGAACTCACTAGCATCACTAGTTGAGTTTCTAATTTCCAAATCCAATAGACATTTTAAAATTACTTTTGATGGTCTTCCAAGCCACACCTGACACCATCGATCCCTTAGTAAAGATTTTCCTCTTCCTCACTTTCCAGCCCACCCCCAGCCTCTGCCTTCCTCCTCTTCCCGCATCAGCCCCTGCGCCCCCACATGAGCCCTCCCATGATTCTCATCCAGTCTCACGTCTAAACAACCACCTGTGTGTGTGCAGAGGGACTCTGGCCCAGCACCTCCAGCTCTGACTGCTTGGGCAAAGCCCCAGGTGGTATCTGTTTCCCAGGATCTTAACACTGATATTCCTGAGACATCTCAAATGCAGCACCTGAGCTTGGCCATCACCTTTCTTCTGATGGCTGCCCTTCTTGCATTCTTTGTTTTTGTTTGTTTTTTGAGGCAGGGTCTCGTTCATAGCTGCAGCCTCCTTCCCCTGGTCACAAGCCATCCTCCCATCTCAGCTTCCTGAGCAGCTGGGACTATAGGCACCCACCACCACATCTGGCTAATTGTTTAAATCTTTAGTACAGACAGGGACTCACTATTTTGTCCAGGCTGGTCCTGAACACCTGGCCTCAAGCAACCCTCCCACCTTAGTCTCCCAAAGTGCTGAGATTACAGGCACAAGCCATGATGCCTGGACCTCTTATATTTTTTAGCTCAGTGGCATCAATATCTGTACTGCTATAAAAGCCAGGCTCACAGGAGTATCTATTCCCCTTGTTCAGTAGATGGCCGTGTGCTTCTGAAATCATTTCCCAAAAACTTCCACCCCTACCCCTCACCAGCCCTGACATTCACACCCTCATCCCTGGCATGGACCCCTCCAAGGAACTCCTAACTAAGATAGCTTGTTTAATAATCTACATAAATCTTAACTTATCCAGGCCACGCCTCTGCTTAAACTCTTCCACTGCCTTCTCATCACCAGTAGAATTGAATTATTTAACATGTCCAAGGGCTATGATTATCAGGCCCCTCTCTGCTGCAGCTTGACACCATGCACGGGGCTCATCTACTCGGGACGCCTCTGATTGCCAGGCCCCTGCACCTGTTTTCTGTCCTCTGCACAGAATGACATTGTTCCATTCACTCTGTCGTTAACCATGTAATCGTCTCCTGCAGCCCTCACCATCTCTGCGTCTGACCCTGCCCCTCCCTCAGACTGAGTTTGGGGATCAGCGTAACTGGTCTGGAACCTACGGTATTCTCCCCTAGTTTCTGGTTCCTTTCTGAGGTTTCAACTACTCACCACAGTCAACCCCAGTTTGAGAATGCCAAATGGAAAATTCCAGAAATAATTCATAAGTTTTAAATTGCACTCCATTCTGAGTAGCCTGATAAAGTCTCACACCTTCTCGCTCCATCCTGCTCTGGACCAGAATTGTTCCCTTGCCCAGCGTGTGCACGCCCTGTGGGCTACCCAGCAGTTCGTCCCTAGTGGCTGCCCAGGTGATCAGGTCAACGGTCACAGTGTCGCAGCACTTGTGTTCAAATCATCCTTATTTGACTTTATAATGGCCCCGAAGCACAAGAATGGTGATGCTAGCATGTTATTATAGTTGTGCTATTTTTATTTCTTTTATTGATTGATTGATTGATTGAGATGGAGTCTTGCTCTGTCACCCAGGCTGGAGTGTGGTGGCGCGATCTCGGCTCACTGCAACCTCTGCCTCCCGGGTTCAAGTGATTCTCCTGCCTCAGCCTCCCCAGTAGCTGGGATTACAGGCACCTGCCACCACACCTGGCTAATTTTTTGCGTTTTTAGTAGAGACCGGGTTTCATTATGTTGGCCAGGCTGGTCTCAAATTCCTGACCTCAGGTGATCACCCACCTTGGCCTCCCAAAGTGCTGGGATTACAGGCATGAGCCACTGCCCCCGGCCTATAGTTGTGCTGTTTTTATTAGCTACTTTTTTTGTTAGTTACTGTTGTTAATCTTTTACTGTGCCTAATTTATAAATTAAACTTTATCCTAGGTATGTATATATAGGAAAAACAGCATAGACATGGTGTGGTACTATCCGAGATTTTATGCATCCACTAGGGGTCTTGGAACATATCCCCCATGAACAAGAGGAGCTAATGGATTTCAAATGTCATATTGCACTTCCTATAGTATTTTCACTGGCTATTTTTCAATGCTGGACTCAGCTTCTTAGGGTGTGGAATGAATCTTCTGTTTGGCTTTGGCCCCTAACGTCTGTGAACATGCCACATGGTCAGTACTCAGTAGTCCTGAAAGTACTCTCGGTGTGGACATTGGGAGGGAGTACATCCCTCCCCAGCTGTTTTTCTTCTAAGTAAGCTGCATGTACTTACTGACTGACTATAGATTTTGTTTTCCTCCTCCTGTCCTACTCAAGAGAGGAGTCCAATATTCATAAAAGCAATGGTCTCTTCTCACAGTATTCTATAGCACCACAGAAAAATCTTAATGTTTTTTAAGCTGCAGTGTTTTAGGCACTGAGTTTTTACTAAGAGACTCTAAAGCTGGTCGAGTTATAACTCCTTCCTTTTAACATATCCAAAGAGTGATTTCTACCAGTTTTCTTGGCACAGACTCAAAGTTTTTACTGTCATTTTACTTACTTCAAGAGTGTAAAGAGGTGCTTAGTATAGCATTTTCTTCTCTCCTAAACTTTGACATCCTAACTGACAGTTTTCCTCAGAGCCAGCCTTGAAATTTGTCACATTGTCTTTTTCCATTCTTTTGTCTTCCCTCCATCTCCCTCCCTCCCTCCGTCTCCCTCCCTCCCTCCTTCCCTTCCTTCCTTCCTTCCCTCCCTTCTTCCCTCCTTCCCTTCCCTTCTTTTCCCTTCCCTTCCTTTCCTCTTCACTCCCTCTCTTTCTCTTTTCCTTCTTTCCTCCCCTACTTTCTTCTTTAAGAATATGCTCTTCACATCAAAAGCCTAGTTGTACATTTCGAATCTTTGTAGAAAAATAGGACCTAAAGCGTTGAGCCATCAGGATGATAAGGTAGAGAATCTAAGGTGTAAGAAAGAGTAGATGATCCTTTTAGGTTAGAGATCAAAATAAATTATTATCATGATCTGTGCTGTAATTTCTAAAAAAAATTGTAATTTAGTCAAAACTGGTAGCAATTGGTCTTAGTTGGAAAGAGACCAGCACAGCCAGGATGAAGAGAGAGACTGCTTTAACCCTGGTGTTCAAACTGTACTTTGCAAGTTAAACACTGACTTATTTTTTTCAAGTTATGTAACTTACTGCAGTAGATGGAAAACTGAAATCTACATGGAATTTTCTTACTAATATTAGTAATGATTGTCTTTGTTTAGTTTTAAACTATCTCAAAAAATCAAGATGAAACATATATTGCCCATACATGTGAAGACATGGTGTTATTTTAGTGCTTTTTTTATCTTCTTGAAGGTAGAGAATAAGCAAGTCCCAGAGCAAGTTCACCTTAGAGAGCCTTACGGTATCTTGCATTCACTTGGCTTCAAAGGCCGTCTTCCCCAAGACAGATCAGTGCCAGGCACCACGGCTTCCTCTCCCTCCATTCAAAGCATCTGGGCTTCTGGAGGCTGACTCTAAGACAACCTGTCCCACCGGTGTAAAGGGAGGTGGAAGATGGCAGAGCCCAAAGAGAGAGGCGAGGTGAGAGAGGAAAAGCACTTTTTAGGTGGATACTGGGATGTGAATTTGGATGTGATCACTATGTTGACAATATGGTGACTGGGTCAGGGCATGGAGAGTGGAGGTAGGAAGCTGTGGTCCAGATGAGAGACAGGACTTCAGGATCCCACACATGCAGTTGGAGAGGGAAAAGGCAGTTGAGTTTTGGAAATGCAGACCTGGGATGGCAGCCTAATTTGAGACCAACTTGTCTGCAGCCTGAAATGCAGACCTGGGATGGCAGCCTAATTTGAGACCAACTTGTCTGCAGCCTAATAATGCACTCTCGGGAACTTCTGTTCCTTCTTCTGCAAATGAGGGTAACAATGCGTTCTCAGCAGAATGCTTGCAATGCCAGAATGAAACAGCCCTGGAAAGAACCCTGTATGGCCTGACAGGTAGTGTGGCCACTGAACCAGACATGACTGAATTCTCCTCCTTCAGCTGTGACAGACTTTGAGTAAGGGAACAGAAACTTGGTAAACCCAGCTCTGCATATGGTTCTGAGAACAATGAGGTTGAGCTCAGAGTTGAAATAATGAATTAGCCACTTGGCCGAGGTGGCTTTGGGCAAGTCAGTCCCCATTGCTTTCCTCATTTGTGCCTCATGCAATTGTTGATAATCTCCATGCAGTGCCTAACACAGCACACATATGCAGTGCATGTTAGCTGGCCTTGGGATTGCCTTCCCACTTGGTGTTTATATATGCAGCACTAGTTACTGAATTCATTATTCTTTTCCGCTGGTTTTAAAGACACTTTTCCATTAAAGTCCCTTATTGCTTACAGGAATCTCTAAGGATAATTTTACATGATTTTTATATGTTATTGAACTTGCTCTGCTGAAGAACATAATTGAGAAACCAAGGGAGAGAAAAAAGAACAAAAGAGAGGAAGGAAGGAAGAAAATAAGGAAGGAGGGAAAGAAAGAGAAGGGAGAATAAACCTGCATAGAGCAAACTAAGAGCAATATTGTCTATGGGATTTTTCCCTCTTGGTGACAGCCGCCTCCAGAACATATCATGGAATAAGAGCAAGGCTTGTAACAGCCTGATGTGAATCTTACTGGAGCAGGGGGAGGCAGGGCTCCTTACAGGACTGTGAGTTCACAAGAAGGACACAGCATTTTATTCTTGAGCAACCTATATGCCACATAAGAAGAATTCCATAATAAAATAATCCGGGTGCATCAAAGACAATATCTGCCTTTTGGAGGCTCATGCTGTGCACTAACTTACTAAAAGTGTTAAGAATCCCATAGTGGAGAAACCTGTTCATGTTGTTTACCCCAAGCTTCCAATCTTAATGGACTCTATTTCTGTGAGATGTCTGTTCATACCTCGTGCTCTGAAGAATACAGACAGGAACGCCATGCCCTGGAGACAACCGTATTCTCTAATCCCAGGTGCCCCTCAAGCCCTTGGCACCTTTCTGTGGTTTGACTTAGGATCTAAAGGGAACACCTATTATACTCATCTCTTTCCTTTATGCCAGGTGTCCCCTGTCCCCAAACCACAGACCACTACCTATCCGTGGCCTGTTAGGAACCCAGCCTCACAGCAGGAGGTGAGTGGCAGGCCAGTGGCATTGCAGCCTGAGCTCCGCCCCCCATCAGATCAGCAGGTGGCATCAGATTCTCATGGGAATTCGAACACTATTGTGAACTGAGCATAGGAGGGATCTAGGTTGTGTGCTGTATATGAGAATCTAATGCCTGATGGAACAGTTTCATCCCGAAACCATCCATCTCCACCCCGTCACTGTCCATGGAAAAATGATCTTCCAAGAAACTGGTCCTTGGTGCCAAAAAGGTTGGGGAGCACTGCTTTATGCCTTTAGTAAAGAGATCATTGCTAGATATCTCTGCCAGTCTCCTTGATATCCAGATAAGTCATGCGGGCACCAGGGAAATGGAACTGGTGAGCCCTGGAGGATGAGAGGTGTGATCCTGCATCCTGCTTAAATTAGAGGTGCAGGCTCTCCTCAGGCGGCCTCTCGCCAATCTCCTCCAACAGCATTCTCTATCTGGCTCCTAGAACTACAGATTCAGATGCAGTTTAAAGTCTGAGGTGTCTGTGGCTCTTTCTTGAGCAGGAAAGTGAAAGACAAAGTGTATTAAAATTCAAAATTGGAAATCCTGGTAACCAGGAGACACGGTACCAGATGGACCTGTGTCTTTAAGTGACAGTGATCTGCCGTCTGCTGCGGGGCTCCCAGGTGGACGGGCTGCTTGCTATGTGCCCCAGCTGTCCTCGTCTGGGACGCAGACACCCTGCCTTCTTGTGCCTTTGGCTGCCATTTCAGCTCTCGTGAGCAGGTTGGCAGCTTGTCACACGCTGTCAGCCTCTGAGCCACCCACCCGCCCCCCGTCCTGCGGGTGCAGAGGACTCAGGCTCCTTTGGAGTCACTTGTGAGGCCGTGAGCTGAAGTGTTGGTGGCAGAATATGTGGCTTCTGCCTTGTGCCTGAACAGACAGTCAGCTGTGGGTTCTCGTGCCTCATTTACCCTTGGAGTTCCTCAAGGACAAACCACGCTTGGGACATAGCCGAATGGCATCTGATGGAGGGAACGGTCCTTCCTGGAGTCCTGCCTGAGTGCTAACTCCAACAGAACGCCTCTGCCCAGGGGCTTGGAGCCCACATCGCCAACAGGCAGTGTGCCTGCTGTGTGCTCGCACCCTCTCAGCCATGCAGAGTGGCATATTTATGGATGCATCCTGAGTCCTTCCAGGTTTTGTTTGACACCAACGCTCTGACACAGACTTGCAAGCATCCAGGCTGAGGAGGCTGTCTGATTGTGGTGCTGTTCATTATCATTAGATGTGAGGTTTACATGGGGAGGATGATTTGGTCATGGAGTGCTAGTCTCCAAATGCCTGTCTGAGAGATTTGCAAGGCACTGGGTCTTTTCAAGCCTGCTAGCAGCTGGAGTTCAGCTGCAGCTTTGCATGGCTTTTGAATGCTAATAACTGCAGCAGCCCAATTGTCACTGAGTCTTGTTGCTGAGAAATGCCATCATGAGGCAACTCCTAAGCTAAGAGATGATCTCAGATGAGAGTAACAAATACTCCAGACCCCTTTCCTTTCTGCTCTGTGGAACAAATGGACAAAAAGCCTTATATTTAGTGCTGATGGCTGTGAAGGATGTTCAAGGTCACACAAGACATTGCCTGGAGTTTTGCTGCAGAAGCACCAAAGGAGATGCATTGTAAAGTGACTGCATATCTAAGGTGGCCCCTATTTAATAGGGTGTCAGCTCATTGATTAATCTACGAAAATTGCACCAAGAAAATTAGGAGTAAGCATGGAAACAATAGGAAATTGTTCACTGTGTAGATGCACTTGTTAATTCTGAAGTTATTTGTTATTCATGGATCTCAACAATAGCTCCTGAACAAGCCGGCCCTCCTTTGGACACAGGGGACAGCAGCTTGGCATTTTAGGTTGCATCTTTTTGCTCATTTAGATCTAGGGGTCGTATCTGTCTCCAGGGGTGGGCTGAGAAGCAGACAGCAGCACTGAGCCCAGGAAGGGAGGCAGGACCCCTGCAGATGCTCCATCCTCCGCAGCCCTCACCTTAGGAGGATGGTGCTTACCACCCACACTCACTTCTATCGTCCCAGGTGCTCTGCCCGGCCACACTCTCCAGGCCCTTGTGCCACACTCACTCCTATCGTCTCAGGCGTCTCTGCCCAGACACATGCTCCTGGCCTTTGTGTGGTCTCCATGACAGAACAGTTATTTCATTGTAATGCCAACAAATCCATATACCTGTTTTCTTCATTTTTAAAAGAAAAAGATGCATTTATAACTAAGTCAAATTGCATAATATTAATATTTTGTAAACATTATTTGAAAAAATATAAAACTCTATCCTGATGTGCTTAGTTACTGTTACAGATTTATGTACTTCTGTGCAACTTGCATAATGGCCATTGGAATCAGCCTTGGGCACCACACAGTCCTTAGACAATGGTACTAATAATTCCCTTTGTTAAGATGGGAAAATGCACTCACAGTGTTCCAGATCGTCAGCATTGGCATGAGATCGGGGGGAACACTTCTGTTTCCTCACATTCTAAGCAGAAAGGATAGAAGTCCTCTGAACATTACATCATTTTTTTGAAACAATCATTTTATAAAATGCTTGCATGGGCATTTTCTGCCTGTTTGACCTTTTCTAAATTGCTTTCAGTTTTAAGCCAAATTAATTTATATAATTAACATATATTTGTCAAAACATTATATTAAACTCTATACATTTATAACAAAGTTTTTAATTTTTTTAAAAGTCTGCTGTAAGCCACCATTACAGGTATCTTTTTCTGGCAGTGTGTGTGTGTATATGTGTCTTTGTGTGTGTGTGTGTGTGTGTGTGTCTTGTGTGTGTGTATTTTTTTTCCAGTGGATACTGAAAGGTGTTCTTCCCTTCTTTCCCACACCATCTTCTACCCTTTTTACTTTAGAATGAGCTCTCCTTCCTAACTTTCCAATTTAAATCTGGCCTTGTGGACACCCTTTGTATCCCACCATGATATCATGGTGTGGCAAGTTTAGAAACACCAGGAAGGAAGACATGGAGACAGGACTATTTTTATGACACATCTTTTATCTGTAGTGCCACTTAGGTCTCTGTCTCAGACACAGGTTAGAGCGCTGGACGGCGTGTTCAGGAAGCGCTGGAGAAGATGCATTGCTGATTCCATTTCACAAATTCAGCGGCACTTCTATGCCCCAGACGGCCATGGAGGCATCTCCTTTGCTTTCTCCAGAATCTCCTCCCCACGGGCCATTTGCTCAGGTCGTACACAGACAATGAGGCCACACCTTCAGAGCCATGTGTATGCCAGTTCCATGAAGTCACCTGCCAGGAGCTTCCTAAGGCGTGGGCTCCTTCAATGGCCCTGAAAGACGTCTCACAGGTTCTTGCCCTTGTAAGAGATGTGTGTATGTTTTTGTGCATTCACGCACACACAAACACACATACTTTTCAACAAAGCAAATATTAAGATAGTCTTCATGATCAGAGATATTTTTACAAGTAAAATTACATTTTATATTCAGCCCATTTTATTTTTTTCCAGAGAAGATTTATAAGAATAATGATATAATTAAAGGTATAATTCACTGCAATATTCTTTGAGGTTTGCAGAGCAAGAGAAAGGTGGTGAGGTGTGGACGTTGTAAACGGGATTTTACATGATGAGAGCCGCAGAAAGATGCTGGCTAGCCTGTGAAAGTCTATTAAAAATAACATTTAAAGCACATTGTAAACGTTCTAGCTCCTTTAATCCTTTACAAACGATTCCATTACATGTAAGTGTATCTACCCAGGGCATGTCCGATGACCACATAGCTGGACTTTCATGGTTCACTGGAACCAGGGGCTGGAAGATGCAAAGGAGCTTTCCTTTGGATCCAGCACCTAAAGTGTCTGCCGTTTCCCACACTAGTCCATAAGGTTTTACTTTCCACTTCACTCACAGCTTAGAAAAACCATAGTATTAGAGATTCAGGGGCAGGGATTCTGCACAGACTATGGATTTGATTATACAAGGAACAATAAGTTACTGTGAACAATTCCATTTATGCCTAGTTTTCCAGCACACAATATGGAGGAATTTAACCTGTGAGCCATACAGATGGCCAAGCCCAGCAGGTGGAAACGTGAGATGAGGCCGCTGACTGGTGACCTCCATCAGCAGCTTCTCCCTCCTGAAGGTGGCCCAGGCGTGGGGGTGGCTGGGGAGCCATGACTGTGAGTGGCCTTAGTCCTGGGAAGCTGAGGGCAGAGCAGGAGGGAGGGGGACAAAACCTCCCCCACCCCCACCTGACGGCCTAACCTCCCAGGTGCAGGTGCAACCAACGCACATTGGTTTTTCTGTTTTTAGGATTTTGTAAACCATAACTTCAACTTTTATTTTAGATTTTAGGGGGTACATGTGCAGGCTTTTTAGCTGGGTGTATTGTATGATGCTGAGGTTTGGGGTACGGTTGATCCAGGTACTGAGCATAGGACCCAATAGTTTTCAACCCTTGCGCCCCTCCCTCCCTCCCCCTCTAATAGTCCCCAGCGTCTATTGCTCCCATCTTTATGCCGACGAGTATCCGGTGTTTCATTCCCACTTATAAGTGAGAACACATGGCATTTGGTTTTCTGTTCCTGTGTTAGTTCACTTAGGATAATGGCCTCCAGCTGCATCCATGTTGCTGCAAAGGACACGATTTCGTTCTTTTGATGGCTGCATAGTATTCCATGTCAACATGCATTTTAAATCAGACCAAGTTTGTGTAGAGTAAGCTCCTCTTTTCTTTAGCTGTGCCCATCCCCTGGGTACAAATGCCACCCCATGTCTCAGCCTTCTGTCCCCTCTAACACCTGGGCCTCCCAAATGACCCACCTCTGCCCCTCACATCATTCTTAGCACCTAACACAGACATCAGGAGAAGAATAATCTCTTAAACAAAGGCTCAGTGGTACGTGAGTAAGTGAGGCTCCTACCCCCTGAGAGGACTTGAGAGTCTAAGATAAACGTTGGCTTCCAAGGGAATCCCTGACCAATAGAATTGCAGGAAGTGTGGCCATGTGGGGTGAAGGCAGGCTGTGCACATAGAGTGACCGACCACCTCGGCCCCAGGCACAGCCTCCTCCGTCAGTTCCTGTTTTTCTAGGGCATTCCTCTCTTTGTTTTTAAACTTCAGAATCTACAACTTTTTTTTTTTTTTTTTTTTGAGACGGAGTCTCGCTCTGTCGCCCAGGCTGGAATGCAGTGGCACAATCTCGGCTCACTGCAAGCTCTGCACCCCAAGTTCACGCCATTCTCCTGCCTCAGCCTCCCGAGTAGCTGGGACTACAGGCGCCTGCCACTGCGCCCGGCTAATTTTTTGTATTTTTAGTAGGGACGGGGTTTCACCATGTTAGCCAGGATGGTCTCAATCTCCTGACCTCATGATCTGCCCGCCTCGGCCTCCCAAAGTGCTGGGATTACAGGCTCGAGCCACCGCGCCCAGCCTACAACTTTTTAAAAAAGTTATGGCCGGGCATGGTGGCTCACACCTGTAAGCCTAGCAATTTGGGAGGCCGAGGCAGGCAGATCACCTGAGGTCAGGAGTTTGAGACCACCCTGGCCAACATGGCAAGATCCTGTCTCTACTAAAAATCCAAACATTAGCCAGGCATGGTGGTGCGTGCCTGTAATCCCAGCTACTTGGGAGTCTGAGGCAGGAGAATCACTTGAACCCAGGAGGCAGAGGTTGCAGTGAGCCGAGATCATGCCATTGCACTCCAGCCTGGGCAACAGAGCAAGACTCCTTCTCAAAAAAAACAAAAATAGTTATCAGAGTTTGGGTTTGCTTGTCTATATACATCAGCTCACAAGGCAGTGGGAACAGAATCTCTAACCCTTTGTTAATGTTCACTGCACACAAATGTACCTCTGAACGGTTACTGTGCATGGATGTGGAGCTCCCTCTCCAGATGGGAACATGTACAACACAGCCCAGGGAGTTGACGCTTCACGCCTGGTGAGTTGGTCTTATGCAGAGATCCTGGTGGTATTCGCATAACAACAAACTCACAAACTCAGTCACCACTGTTTGAGCAAAAGTTCTATTAAAATATCTGTAAAGTTGATAAGATGCATAGGACATGTGGGATATTGAAATAATGAGAAAATTAATGTAAAGGATGGTAGGAGGAAGAATGCTATGACAATTCGCGGCACTGTCTTCTAAACATCCACTGCGTCCTTAAGCGTTTGGAAAGGTCACTTCTCTGGTCCTTGAGAGTAGATGATTGCAACTCGTAACACAAGATGTTTGCTGAGTCTAGGAAAGGATTCACGTGCATCCTGAACAAGGCTCAAACAGGCGAGAAAGGGGGACAACAGCCGTGTAATTTTGTGTCATATGAGAGAAAGCATGAACTTGATATGAATTTGATCTTTCAAGAAAAGGTAGACAGAAGTAATTATTTTTAAAGGAAAGCTGATATTTTCTTATATTGACTAAAAAGAAAACATTAAGCTTTCCCGTGTGGGAGAAGGAGAATCTCAAAATAACAGATGAGGACGTGCTTGGGTTTTTAATTATCATTTTTTAAATTTCCAAAATTCATTGACTGAGTCGGTCTCCCTACATAGAAGTTTCTCAATGTTTAAAGTTTCTCTGCAACCTTCAAAGGAGGCTCCTGGACTAAGGTTTTACTCCAGCTCTCTGGCGTTTGGCTGAGTCTTGTTCTTCGTTCTAGCACCCAACTTTCTCTACAGCTTATTCATCTGTCCTGGCCCCATGACGTAGGGTTACTTGTAAAATCCAAACACATCCTCAAAGAGTGAGCACTCTTGATATGCCAGAAACTATTATTGGCCCTCGCAGACTTTTCCAAAATACATTTTAAGTGGACTGTCTCTTCTCCTGATACGAGAGGTTTAATTAGTGCACCTCTTCTGATGGGAAGCTTAGCTCTGTCTATCAACAGTAGGAAAAAGAGTGCTCGAGCAGAACTCAGGCCCAGAAATCTGACTTCTGAAACTGAAATTCATTATCTCACGGGATAATGCAATACATAGATAGAGATGGGAAAAGGGAATGTGTTCTCTGTATTGGTTTAAACAGGTGGGTAGGGCATCCTAAAAGTCTTATGAAATGTGTTACAGCCACGGGAACTCCTAAGCAGCCTTGAAATGGTAATATAAATTTAAATTTATTGACATAAAAATCCATATGTTTATTAGTGGAAAGGCAGATTATAAAGGGTTTACCTGTGGGATCCCATTTACACACAACCATGTATTTTTATGATTATGCATGCCTGTGTGTACGTTAATTATACAGAAGGAATGAATAAAAAGATATCAATTTAATAAAAACAAACAGTAGTTATCTCTTTGTGGATGAAATGTTCACTGATTTTCATACCATCCATACACTTCTCCATGGGATTTGAATATCTTACAAGAGCATGCATAATGTTTACAATGAAAACAAGCGGTATTGGAATTAATATGCAGATTTCTGAGACATTTTTAAAGACAGTGAAATTTCTATGATTATATAGTTTTGGGTTAATTTAAAAAAAAGTATTTGATAATTTCAATATGCAATTGCCTAATTCCGAACAATCAAAAAATTATATTTGAAGACATTGATCCAGGCCAGGCGCAGTGGCTCATGCCTATAATCCCAACACTTTGGGAGGCTGAGGCAAGTGGATCACCTGAGGTCAGGAATTTGAGACCAAACTGGCCAATATAGTGAAACCCCATCTCTATTAAAAATACAAAAATTAGGCCGGGCGTGGTGTCTCACGCCTGTAATCCCAGCACTTTGAGAGGCCGAGGCGGCGGATCATGAGGTCAGGAGATCAAGACCATCCTGGCTAACATGGTGAAACCCCGTCTCTACTAAAAATACAAAAAATTAGCCAGGCGTGGTGGCGGGCACCTGTAGTCCCAGCTACTTGGGAGGCCAAGGCATGAGAATCCCTTGAACCAGGGAGGCGGAGGTTGTAGTGATCCAGGATCGTGCCACTGCACTCCAGCCTGGGCAACAGAGTGATACTCTGTCTCAAAAAAAAAAAAAAAAAAAAGAAAAAGAAAGAAAAAAAATAAAGACATTGATCCATTATCTTGCAAAAAGAGCAAATTTCTACAAAACAGAATAAGTGCACTGTTAAACAGCTTTTTTAACAAAAACAATTGGAATAAATTGCCTTTCAAAACATTCTTATTGGTTCCTGACTTTTAATGTGTAAAAAATTTTAAATTTGCTATGGCACATTTTAAAAAACATTTTATTTAATCTAAGTTGAGATGATTTTACATTTAACAGTAATGCTCATCAATGTATGTCAACAACTTTCTTGTTTTGAAAGGCTTTATAGGACTCTCTTAAATTAGGAATTTCAATCTGCCGATATACATGTGTTATGGCAGATGATTAAATACAAGAAAGAAATAAGCAACATATTTTATTTCTGCTGTGAGAAATCTCTTTCTAATTTAGTTTATGTGATATATCATGTTGTGCTTTATAATTTTTAATACATGATGCAAAAGTTTTGACCGATCCTTGCTCCCCAATCTGAAATGCCATTCTTAAGAATAGAACAAACAAGAATAAACCAACATACCTGAGGAAATGAAAACACATTTTTATTTTTCAAGAATGTGAGTAACTTTAATAAAGAAAATATTTTTCTCAAAATTATAGTTTTGTTTGCTACAACCATGGAAGAGTAAGCAGCACTTGCCAATGATTCTGTTCTACTCAGTCTTCAGCCATAACATGAGGAACAGAACTGCCTCTTGTGCAGTGCGGACGTCTCCCGGTGCCTGGACATGCACTTTTTTATATTTATTTATTTATTTATTTTATTTTTTTGAGATGGAGTGTCGCTCTGTCACCCAGGCTGGAGTGCAATGGTGCAATCTCGGCTTACTGCAACCTTCGCCTCCCGAGTTCAAGTGATTCTCCTGCCTCAGCCTCCCGAGTAGCTGGGATTATAGGCACGCACCACCACGCCCAGCTAATTTTTGTATATATATACATATATTTTTTTTTTAGTAGAAACAGGGTTTCATCATGTTGGCCAGGCTAGTCTTGAACTCCTGACCTCAGGTGATCCACCCACCTCGGCCTCCCAAAGTGCCAGGATTGCAGGTGTGAGCCACCACGCCTGGCCTGGACATGCACATTCATTTGTAACTCACCTGCATTCTTCACTCTGGCAGCTACAGTTTAAATAAAGAAGATGAAATTTCATGGCTGAATTTAGGTTTCTGGAGACCACGTCTCCCCTTCTAGTAGATGGCATTCCAGCAGTCAGGGGACGTGTATGGGAGGAGGAGACGCCATGCACTTGTTCCATATGCTCTGTTGCAGGAAGTCCTCTTAGATTCACGCCTCTTGGTAGACCAGATGCTGGTCTCGGTGTCCTCATCCTATTCTGGCACCTAATACAGGGTCCTATAATTATCTCCCTGCTAGAATCCAAGCTCCTTCATAAGAAGGAACGTGATTGTTTTGCATGTGCCGTTGGTAGTGCAGTTCCTAGAAGACAGAATGGCATGGCAAGTGGCCTGCCCAGCTAGCACAGTGTGCCTTTACTGCGGCCCAGGCGGGAAACCACACCAGGCTTTCGGAGGCAGTCCTTATTTCTTTTTTTTTTTTTTTTAATTATACTTTAAGTTTTAGGGTACATGTGCACAATGTGCAGGTTAATTACATATGTATACATGTGCCATGCTGGTGCGCTGCACCCACTAACTCGTCATCTAGCATTAGGTATATCTCCCAATGCTATCCCTCCCCCCTCCCCCCACCCCACAACAGTCCCCAGAGTGTGATGTTCCCCTTCCTGTGTCCATGTGTTCTCATTGTTCAATTCCCACCTATGAGTGAGAATATGCGGTGTTTGGTTTTTTGTTCTTGCGATAGTTTACTGAGAATGATGATTTCCAATTTCATCCATGTCCCTACAAAGGACATGAACTCATCATTTTTTGTGGCTGCATAGTATTCCATGGTGTATATGTGCCACATTTTCTTAATCCAGTCTATCATTGTTGGACATTTGGGTTGGTTCCAAGTCTTTGCTATTGTGAATAGTGCCGCAATAAACATACGTGTGCATGTGTCTTTATAGCAGCATGATTTATAGTCCTTTGGGTATATACCCAGTAATGGGATGGCTGGGTCAAATGGTATTTCTAGTTCTAGATCCCTGAGGAATCGCCACACTGACTTCCACAATGGTTGAACTAGTTTCCAGTCCCACCAACAGTGTAAAAGTGTTCCTATTTCTCCACATCCTCTCCAGCACCTGTTGTTTCCTGACTTTTTAATGATTGCCATTCTAACTGGTGTGAGATGATATCTATCTCATTGTGGTTTTGATTTGCATTTCTCTGATGGACAGTGATGGTGAGCATTTTTTCATGTGTTTTTTGGCTGCATAAATGTCTTATTTTGCGAAGTGTCTGTTCATGTCCTTTGCCCACTTTTTGATGGGGTTGTTTGTTTTTTTCTTGTAAATTTGTTTGAGTTCATTGTAGATTCTGGATATTAGCCCTTTGTCAGATGAGTAGGTTGCAAAAATTTTCTCCCATTTTGTGGGTTGCCTGTTTACTCTGATGGTAGTTTCTTTTGCTGTGCAGAAGCTCTTTAGTTTAATTAGATCCCATTTGTCAATTGTGGCTTTTGTTACCATTGCTTTTGGTGTTTCAGACATGAAGTCCTTGCGGTGCCTATGTTCTGAATGGTAGTGCCTAGGTTTTCTTCTAGAGTTTTTATGGTTTTAGGTCTAATGTTTAAGTCTTTAATCCATCTTGAATTGATTTTTGTATAAGGTGTAAGGAAGCGATCCAGTTTCAGCTTTCTACATATGGCTAGCCAGTTTTCTCAGCACCATTTATTAAATAGGGAATCCTTTCCCCATTGCTTGTTTTTCGCAGGTTTGTCAAAGATCAGATAGTTGTAGATATGTGGCATTATTTCTGAGGGCTCTGTTCTGTTCCATTGATCTATATCTCTGTTTTGGTACCAGTACCATGCTGTTTTGGTGACTGTAGCCTTGTAGTATAGTTTGAAGTCAGGTAGCGTGATGCTTTCAGCTTTGTTCTTTTGGCTTAGGATTGACTTGGTGATGCAGGCTCTTTTTTGGTTCCATATGAACTTTAAAGTAGTTTTTTCCAATTCTGTGAAGAAAGTCATTGGTAGCTTGATGAGGATGGCATTGAATCTATAAATTACCTTGGGCAGTATGGCCATTTTCACGATATTGATTCTTCCCACCCATGAGCATGGAATGTTCTTCCATTTGTTTGTATCCTCTTCTATTTCATTGAGCAGTGGTTTGTAGTTCTCCTTGAAGAGGTCCTTCACGTCCCTTGTAAGGTGGATTCCTAGGTATTTTATTCTCTTTGAAGCAATTGTGAATGGGAGTTCACTCATGATTTGGCTCTCTGTTTGTCTGTTATTGGTGTATAAGAATGCTTGTGATTTTTGCACATTGATTTTGTATCCTGAGACTTTGCTGAAGTTTCTTATCAGCTTAAGGAGATTTTGGGCTGAGACGATGGGGTTTTCTAGATATACAATCATGTCATCTGCAAACAAGGACAATTTGACTTCCTCTTTTCCTGATTGAATACCCTTTATTTCCTTTTCCTGCCTAATTGCCCTGGCCAGAACTTCCAACACTATGTTGAATAGGAGTGGTGAGAGAGGGCATCCCTGTCTTGTGCCAGTTTTCAAAGGGAATGCTTCCAGTTTATGCCAATTCAGTATAAACAAGCCTCACGAGGATGTGTGATAGATTACTGATTTCTTTGAAGACAAGAAAGAAAATCTAAACAGTAAGAATAATATGGATTTACTAAAATTGAAGATTTCATGATTAAAAATTAATAGAGAAAGAACATACATTGATTTTTAAACCATCAAAGAAATTGAGCTCTGCTAACAGGCTGGGACGTGTCCATGATTGACTTGCTCCCTCCTCTTGAGGGCGAGGGAAGGGAGAGAAATAATCTCTCATATCTACATCTCTCAGAAACTGTTACCCAGAGCTGAGAAATGTGTTTGCTTGTCAAGAAGATTCTCAGCCTTGGTTTGAAGAATTTAACAGTTTCCTGGATATCAGACCTGATCTTGTCGGTGAGGAGCGGAAGAATTTAAATTCCTCGCTCCTTGGTAACATATTAACTCTTTCAAACCACAAAGGCATCTGTATGCTGGAATATGCAGTTTCTGAAAGGACTGCTAAGGGACAGAAAGAACAAATTGGCTGCTCTGAGATGAACCATTTTCTCTCCTTTGCTCATTATTCTGTTTCCCAGCAGAGTCACAGACTGGAGGAACATAAAAAGTGAGAGCTAGGGTGTTTGGTTTTCTGTTCCTGTGTTAGTTTGCTGAGAATGATGGTTCCCAGCTTCATCCATGTCCTTGCAAAGGACATGAACTCATTCTCTTTTATGGCTGCATAGTATTCCATGGTGTATATGTACCACATTTTCTTTATCCAGTCTATCACTGATGAACATTTGGGTTGGTTTCAAGTCTTTGATATTGTAAATAGTGCTGCAGTAAACATATGTGTGCATGTGTCTTTATAGTAGAACGTTTTCTTAAGAGACCCGAGAGAGGACCAGGGTTAAAGGCCAAGCCCGGCAGGCCCAGGTCCACAGAGTGGGAGGACAGACTGAAAGACAGCGCATTCCTCTTTTTCTGGCCATCTTAGCACATTCTCTGGCCCTTTGGTCACTCATTGATGATGGCATGCTGTCACCACCACATGGCATGATTATGGCTTTTTCCATAGAGTACAAGACCCAGCCTCCTTTTCCACTGATTTCTCTCTTCATCCGTCCACTCTGCCTTTCTTCCTCTCTTTTGTTCATTCGTTCATGTATACATTTCTATATTCTATCAACAAACATACTTCAGAACATGTGTCATACTTTGGGACAGAATGGTCAATGAGACAGGAAATTTCTTGCCCTGCTCAGGTAAGAAATTAGTAGCTTACACAGTGTATTAGCCTGTTCTCATGCTGCTAATAAAGACATACCTGAGACTAAGTAATTTATAAAGGAAAGAGGTTTAATGGACTCACAGTTCCACATGGCTGGGAGGCCTCACAATCATGGTGGAAGGCAAAGGAAGAGCAAAGTCATGTCTTACATGGCAGCAGGAAAGAGAGAGAGTGTGCAGGGAAAATCCCCTTTATAAAACCATCAGGTCTCCTGAGACTTATTCACTATCATGAGAACAGCACAAGGAAGACCCACCTCCATGATTCAATTACCCTCCACCAGGCCCCTCCCATGACACGTGGGAATTATGAGAACTACAATTCAAGATGAGATTTGGGTGGGGACACAGCCAAACCATATCACACAGATAGCTTGATTATTAATTAGAATAAACTCAGAAATTCTGCACCAGTGAGGGAGCAGGGAGCTGGAAAGGTGCAGAGAAGGGAACTGAATTTGGTGGAGTGGATTAGATAGAAATAGCCAGGACCAAAGGCAGCCAGAATGGAATGTGGGGAGACTTGAAAGCAAGAAGGCAGATGGTACCTTTGAAGAGGTGCAAGAGTTTCACCTGGGTAGGCAGCTACCTGTGATGAAGAGAAAGTGAGATAGGAGGTGGGTGGTGCCCTCCTTTGCAATACATGTTAAGGAGTTTGGACTGTTAGCCACAGACGAGGAAAGAGATACATCTTAGTTCCTTTGGGTTATAACAAAATACCACAAACTGGGTAGCTTAAAAAACAACGTTCATTTCTGGACTCTGGAAGTCCAGGATCAAAGTGCTGGCAAATCTGTTGTCTGTCTGGTAAGCGCCCATTTCCTGGCTTGCAGACAGTCACTTCCTCACTGTGTCCTCATGTGGTAGAGAGAGAGCTCTGGTCTCTCTTTCTCTTCTTACCAGGGCACTAATTCCATCTAAAGGCTCCATCTTCATGACCTCATCATCCAATGCCTCTCCTCCAAGAGCCATCACACTGTGGTTAGGGCATCAACATAAATGAATTTGGGGAGGACACAGACATTCTGTTAATAGCAGCATGTATGATTTTCAGCAAGGGACATACATAGTCACATTTGTTTTCTAATAATAATGATCCAGCTTCTATCTGTAAAAGTGGATTTCAGGGAGCCAGACTGGAGGAATAAGATCTCTTAGGAGATTTACAATAGTAGGAACAAAGTTTGGAGGCATCTTCGTGGCATGGTAGCAATGAGGATAGAGAAGCCATCTGGTGGTAGGGAGATGTAAGAAACAATGAACCTGATGTGGAAGCCAGGAGGGAGGTGAGACTCCCAGGGGTGCCAGCATGAGAGCTGAAGCCATGGACACACAATGTACTGGGCTGGGTGCACTCGAGGGCAAATGGATTTTCGGGGAGAGATAGTGAGTTTAGTTTTGGAAACGTTGAATTGTGTTTGATCACCACACCACCATCAGGAGACTTTCAGCTGTTTGGAACAAGGGACTAGAAGAGGTGAAAATGGCTGGGGGATCAAGTGGCAGTTTCTAAAGAGAATCAACATTCTCTTCCACCATACGTAGATGAACACTGTGCTGTTAAGTTTAAAGAAATTATTCCCGTGTCCTTTTTTTTCTCTTAAAGCATCTGCTTTATTTGTACAATTAGGGCATGTGGTGTGTCCCTAAGCACCCGGGCATAGTGGAGAGTCAGGAAAAGTAGCCTGGGGAAGGAGGGCACATGACCTCACTGCAAACATTTCCCTTTCATGTGAGGGTGGGTACCACCTTTAGACGGGGACATGTTGGCCACTGAATCAGATCAGCACCAAGGGACCATTCAGAAAGCAGCAAGTGTGTTGTGATTTGGAGACAAACTGGAAAAAAAATTAATCAGCTATTTATCCCCTTTTAAAATTAAGCATGTTAAAGATAAGAATAAAAATATTTTGCCTTCATATCAGCTTCCCAAGAAAAGGTGTGCTATGCTGTTTTGTGTTTTTATGCTTTTGAGTTTACACTGGGTGAGTATGAGGAAATTAACTGCTGTGGGATTAATCTCCACAAATAGCAGTAACTTAAAAATAACAACATAAGAGATTAGCATGCTTGAGAAGCATGAGGGGGAGTGACTTTGATTGTTTTCACTGAATTTACTGTCCTTTCTTGCTAAGTTCACTGTTTTGTGATGTGCCTTGTTCCGTGTGTCCCTAATTTGCAAATGTTGGGAGAAGTTGCGCTTGATTGACACTAACTGTATGTAGGAGGAGCAGTCTCTTGGTTTTTGTGCCTGTATAGATCATCGCTTTACACTGCCGTCCTGTGATCTTCCTAAACTTTTAAAAGTATATTTGGAGATAAGCACAAGGTGGGTAATGCTGGCATGCGAGCCTTTGCCCTAAACATTCAAAAAGCGCCGTCTCTTAACGTGTGTCTTCGTCCCCCCCAAAGAAGACGGTGTGTACAGGAGGAACATAAGGAGAGAAGCATACCTCTCCTCCTTGTTATGACATCTTTCAAAACTTAGCAATTGTCAGTGAATATGAAAAGAGACAACTCCAGCAAAGAAGAGGGGCTGGAGTTTTTAAGGACAGGACAGGGGACTGCTTTTAAGGCTGACTTACCAAGACACCCAATAAATTTCCAACAGGCCACCGTGAGCATTTCTGATTCCATAGATGCCTTGAAAGGACTTAATTTTTTAGTTCATATATTTCTGTAGACTTAGTCTATTCATATCACATAGATTCTTTCTCTCTCTTTGTCTCTCTCTGTCTTTCTTAAATTTTACTTTTAAGTTCTGGGATACTTGTGCAGAACATGCAGGTTTGTTACATAGGTATATATGTGCCATGGTGGTTTGCTGCACTTACCAACCCATCATCTAGGTTTTAAGCCCCGCATGCATTGGATATTTGTTCTAACGCTCTCCCTCCCCTTGCCCCCACCCCCCGACAGGCCCCAGTGTGTGATGTTCCCCTCTCTGTGTCCATGTGTTCTCATTGTTCAACTCCCACTTATGAGTGAGAACATGTGGTGTTTGGTTTTCTGTTCCTGTGTTAGTTTGCTGTGATGGTTTCCAGCTTCATCCATATCCCTGCAAAGGACATGAACTCATTCTCTTTTATGGCTGCATAGTATTCCATAGTCTATATGTACCACATTTTCTTTATCCAGTCTATCACTGATGAACATCCAGGTTGGTTCCAAGTCTTTGATATTGTAAATAGTGCTGCAATAAACGTATGTGTGCATGTGTCTTTATAGTAGAACGATTTCTTAAGAGACCCTCAAGCTCTGCCCAAAATGATGAACTCTCGGCTGGGCGCAGTGGCTCATGCCTGTAATCCCAGCACTTTGGGAGGTCAAGGTGGGCAGATCATGAGATCAGGAGATCGAGACCATCCTGGCCAATGTGGTGAAACCCCCATCTCTACTAGAAATACAAAAATTAGCTGGGCGTGGTGGCACCTGCTGTAATCCCAGCTACTCCGGAGGCTGAGGTGGGAGAATCACTTGAACCAGCGAGTTGGAGGTTGCAGTGAGCCAAGATCGCACCACTGCACTTCAGCCTGGCAACAGAGTGAGACTCCATCTCAAAAAAAAAAAAAAAAAAAAAAGGATGAACTCTCTTGCATGTCCCCTTCCAGAATTAGAGACCATGTACCTCCTGCAGAGAACGTGGTGTCTGAGAGAGTAGTCTCTGTGCAGCACAGAGTGAGGTTACATGACCGAGTTCTCACTTGGGAAAACCGAGTTCCCACTTGGGAAGAGCTGTCAGAAGCACCAAAACCTCACGGTTACGTCTCACAATCACTGCTCTTGCAAGTCCTCCCCAGTGGCCCGTTTTCCATGGGACAGCTTGTCATGAATATATTGTGTCCATGGCCCCACCTCACCCCCACATTACAGGCTAAAGTCTGCTATTAGCCAAGCTACTAACCTCTCATTTAGTTACTAATGTGCTTTGTCATCTCTGTAACCATATGTCCAAAGGCTAATGGTGGGCATCACATTTATCAATCTAATCAGTAAGTAAATAAACTCTCCATGCAGCCCCTTTCACCAATAAAATGACATTTTAAAATTGCAAAAGCAATTTTAAAAAGAGAAGGTGACATCTGCACTGGAAATTATGAATATGCTTGTGTTGCCTTTTTCTAAACTAGGAGCCACAAGCATAATTTTGCCATAACTGTTGTATCATAGGCTGTTTGATTTATGCGCATCTGTGCACTAAGTGGTGTTTCCTCCAAGTCCCCTAAGTAATGTGCATCCTAATGTGGATGGATTGACCCCTTCCTGTCTTTTCC